>NC_000002.12:106277496-106580527 GCF_000001405.40 Homo sapiens
TTGCAGGGTTGGTAAATGATTTGTAAGGGAATTCAGGGGCTTGAAGAACATACAATGATCTGTAACAAAGTTGGGCCCGGGGAACAAACAGTGGTTTGTAACAAAGTTGGGCCCGGGGAACAGACAGTGGTTTGTAACAAAATGTCCAGGCTTGTTGACAGTCTTCAGTCTTCCTTCCTGTGATATGGGTTGGGTTTTTTGATACATATAAGTAAATAATAGAGATGGGAGCTGCCATGTTGCCCAGGTTGGTCTGGAAATCCTGGCCTCAAGCAGTCTTCCTGTCTCAACCTCCCAAACAGTTAAGATTACAGATATGAGCCATCACGCCTTACTATGAGTTCAGTTAATGAAAACAAAGGGACGGGGCCAGAGATACTTGGGGAACAATTTTTCTCCTTGGCAAGTCTGTCTGGTCTTCATACAGGTAGGGAAAAAGTGTCTTCTTCCATCTGCTGATCCTTAAGGGCCTTTAATACAAAATACCATACCAGGGAGCCATATTTCAGGTGAAGTTCCCTGTGGCCCTTCACCACTCACAGACAGCTGGAGCAAGTTTCCAAAGCCTTTTCAGCTCTTCCTGGAGAGGCAGCCCCATCTAGCAAATACAAATACAGAGTACCCAGCTACGTCTGAATTTCAGATAAACAAGAAATTTAGTATAAGTACATCTGGTGCCATATTTAGGAGATACTTATACTAAAACATTATTCATCGTGTATCTGAGATTCATATTTAACTGGGCATCCTGTGTTTCTATCCAGCAACTTTACTGTCAGGCTCACTGTCAGAGTCCCTCCCCCTTTTCCTTTTTCCCAACAGGAAATTATATTTTGACAATATTTTGGATTACTTTCAAAGCATTATCTCACTATTTACAGTAATGCGTTTAATCTTTTTAAAAGAATATCCCCTTGCATGAGAGCACTGTTTCCTCAACTAGTCTGGTTGGAAGAAGATCCTGGGGTCCTGGACCCCACCTCAGACCAACCAGATCAGAACCTCCAGGTAACAGGCTTGGGAACCCGTGTTTACGGCAAGTGCCTCAGTGATGCCATCACACAGGCAAGTCTGGGAAATGCTGGAAGAGAGGCCACCTCTCTGCTCCAGAGAACACAGTAGATCAGTCCCACAAGGAGTTTGGTCTCTGCTGGGTGGGAGGAGTCTCTTGGCCCATGATAAGTGCTCCATGAAGCTCTGTGGGCTGAATGCCGGGCAAGAGCACACACACAGCTCAGGCTGTGGGGGCATGTTGGGGCTGGTTGCCCTCCCAGGGGATGCCAGGACCCCACAAATGACCTCTACTGGCCTCACTGCTGTCTCCTGAGACCACCCAGGGCCCTGCCTCCCCCTTATGCTTCTCCAGTCTTGGTGCTGTGGGACTCCTTGCCACTTTTCTTTGAATCCTTGGGTTTTCTGTTCTTAGTCTTTCAAAATCATTAAAGGTAAAAGTTTCTTTTAAACTCCTCTAAAAGTTTCCTTCTCTATTTTTCAATGCTACTTCATTGTTCTCCATCTTTTTTTTTTTTTGAGACGGATTCTCACTCTGTTGCCCAGGCTGGAGTGCAGTGGCGCGATCTCTGGCAACCTCTGCCTCTGCCTCCTGGGTTCAAGCGATTCTCCTGCCTCGGCCTCCTGAGTAGCTGGGATTACAGGCACGCGCCACCATGCCTGGCTAATTTTTGTATTTTCAGTAGAGACAAGTTTCACCATTTTGGTCAGGCTGGTCTCGAACTTTTGACCTTGTGATCCACCCGCCTCAGCCTCCCAAAGTGTTGGGATTACAGGCGTGAGCCACTGCACCTGGTGTGTTCTCCATCTTAAACATCTATCCCCACCTCCAACCAAAGACATCTTCATAATTCTGCCTTTTTTTTTTTTTTTTTCTGAGATGGAGTTTCACTCTCGTCGCCCAGGCTGGATCGCAATGGCATGACCTCGGCTCACTGCAACCTTCGCCTCCTGGGTTCAAGCAATACTCCTGCTTTGGCCTCCTGAGTAGCTGGGATTACAGGCGAGCGCTACCATGCCCATCTAATTTTTGTGTTATTAGTAGAGAGAGTTTCACCATGTTGGCCAGGCTGGTCTCAAACTCCTGACCTCAGGTGATCCACCCGCCTCAGCCTCCCAAAGTGCTGGGATTACAGGCGTGAGCCACCGTGTCTGTTCCTGCCTTTCTTTTTTAATGTGAACTTTTACTGAAATATAATGTAAATTTAGCAAAGTGCTTGAAAAAGTGTACAAATAAAAAGAATTTTCACAAGGTACAGACATGCGTATAAGCAGCACATTGCTGAGCACAACCTGGAAACCCTCAGTACCCCCTTTCCAGTCTCGAGTGCCCCTTCTGAGAAACCCTCCTCTGGAGTCCTAACTTCATACATTAGTAGTTTTACCTCTTTTTGAACTTCACATAAATTGAACCACCCAGTATGCATTCTTTAGTGTCTCCTCCCACCTAACCGTGTGTTCATGGGATTCCTCCGCACCGAGAAGACTGCAGTTAGTCCACGCTAGCTGCTTACTGTCCACCATTGTGGGGATACAAGTTCTGCTGTTGATAAACTTTTAGTTTGCTTCTAATTTTTTATTATTACAAATCACATTCTTGTCATGTCTTTCAGTGACTGTATCTATGAATTTAGGAGAATTGCTGGGTCACAGTGTGTGTGTATGTTTAACTTTCATAGATAATGTCAAAAAGTTTGACAAAGTGAAATTTATATTTCCAGCAGCAAAGCCCCCACTTGCTCTGTGTCCTTGCCAACACTGGGTTCTTGCCGTCCAGGTGGGTGCACAGTCCTACTTTTCTATTAAGTACATACTTTTGCAAAGTAATCATTTGAAAAAGAAACATCCAGACTGAAACAGGAAAGGTCTGAAAAAAGGTGAGATTCCGGTGGCTGAGAAAGTGAGCAGGAGGAAAGAGCATACTCCGGGGGTCAGCTCAGGTCCAGGGAACAACAGCTGATGGTGATGATAATAAGTGGTTGTTAACTGTTCCCACATGGGAAGTGCTGCTCAACACACATTTTTAACATCTTTGACAGCCTTAAGAGAGAACTACTATTACATTCACTTTAAACATGACACACAGGGATGTTACATAACCTTCCCTGGGTTCCCAGCTTAATTATTTTTTTCCTCTCATTAAGCACACACAATTCTTTTATTTTATTTTTATTTATTTATTTTTTTCTCCCCAGGTTATACAGCTTTAAACGAAACTGCCTGTGGTCTTTCACGAAGCATACAACACTTTTGACTGATTTCGTCTGCTCGCAAGAGGGGCAGGGTGGCCTACACTGGCGATTTGCCTCTTGTCCCAGGGTCCAAACAGTGTCAGCTGCTGATTTCTCCAGCTGCCTGGCAACCTATTCACAGTGATTCTCAAACTTGAATTGTGAGCTTTGTAAATGGTGTCAAGTACACATTCACATTCCAAGGCTCCAGCCTTTCCTCCCTTGGATTCTGTTTGAGTAGGTCAGGAATGGAATTAGGATCCATTTGTAACAAGGGCCCCTGGCAATTGCTACATAAGCAAGGATGGTCTGATTGAGGCAGTGCGGGGTTTGGAAATTTCTACTCCAAGGAGTCTTGAAGCCAAGTAACCAGAGATTGCTGCAGGCAGCTGGAAAAGGCAGCACTGAGGGGAGCCTTGGGGTCATGCCTCCTCATCCATCCTGGAGCGTGTGGGTGTAAATGCATTTAAGTTTTACTTTTTAAATACATGCATATGCACAGAAATGTGTGTGTGTACATGTTAAACTTTCATAGACAATGCCATATATGTACACACATACATACATACATATAGTCTATCCACATTAGTCATGAAATCCACATTTGCAAAGTCACCTACTCTCTTTTTTTTTTTTTTCGAAACGGAGTTTTGCTCTGTCTCTCAGGCTGAAGTGCAGTGCCACCATCTCGGCTCACTGCAACCTCCGCCTCCCGGGTTCAAGCAATTCTCTGCCTCAGCCTTCTGAGTATCTGGGATTACAGGCACCTGCAACCACGCCCAGCTAATTTTTTGTATTTTTAGTCGAGACTGGGTTTCACCATTTTGGCCAGGCTGGTCTTGAACTCCTGACCTTGTGATCCACCCACCTCAGCCTCCCAAAGTGCTGGGATTACAGTCGTGAGCCATCGTGCTCAGCCACAAAGTCACCTACTCTCTGAAACGCATTTGAAACCTCAAAACTGAGTACTCGTGGTGCTTCTGTGGTCATTTGCAGACATGTGCAAAGCTGTGAAAAATGTGAGTTGCTTGACACGCAGTTCCCTACTGAGGTCAAACAAAGCAAGGCTCTGCGTCTTGTTCTCTACACACAGGGTCTTTTCTTGGTCCATTTAGTGCCATATCTTTTGCATTTTGTGCTTTTGGGTGGTGATTTTGCTGTTTAATGTGGTCCCCAGGCATAGTGCTGAAGCGTTGTCTAATTGTTCGTAAGTGCAGGAAGGCTGTGATGTGCCTTCCGGAGGAAACACACTTGTTAGAGAATCTTCATTCAAGCATGAGCTACAGTGTTGTCCAGTGTTCGAGGTGCCTTTATAGGACACAGCTACTGCCGGCTTCCCAGCCAGACTGAGAGCTCAGGGTGTAGGCAGCGCCTCCTTCCTGCATTCCTAGCTCCAGTGCTGTTCAGCTTCAGTGGAACCTGGTGAGCACCGCTCTCAGCAGGCTGAGCTTCCAAGGGATCTACGGCCACATAGGGCCTTCCCTGTACTCACAGAGACTAGCAGGGAGCTCTTCTTCAGCCACTCGTGCAGCCTGGACACCCCACCCCCTGTGAACCCTCTCCCATGTGGAAGCTAGTAGTTACCAGAAGGAAAGGAAAAACAGTCACAGAGCATGCACTGCGCATTCTAGGGCACAGTTCAGGGAAATTGGGCCCATTTATGACTCTTAAATTCATACGTGCCTATTTCAGTGCAAATATCTCAAGGAACTTAAGTTCATACGAAGGTTCTCTGCGTTACAGATGGGAAATGAATCCAAATGTTCTTTCTGGGCTAAGCTGGTTAGAAAAACATCAGCCACGTCGAGAGAGCACCTCTGTCCTTGGTGACCAGCTGGGCTTTGCGATCCCTGGTAGGGCCAAGCCAGCATGCAGGAGGGGTGTGGGAAGCACTCCAAGCCCAGTGGATAGCTGGCTACAGCTAAGTGAAGGGTCCCTGCAGGGAGGCTTCCCAGCGTCCCCAGAAGGCAGGCTGTGAGCTCTTGGCAATCCTCCTAATGTCCCTCTGATACACAGTTAACCTGCTAACAAAGTAGTTCTTGGGTGTGAATATTGGGGATCCTCCATATTTTTTGCTCTTGTGGTCCTTTAAAAAATTATGTAATCTGAGCTGAGACAGAAAGATCTTTCCTGCTTTTGGCTGAAATAGATCAAAAGACTCTTGCTGTAAGAATTGCTTGGTGCTGTCCATTCTGAGTGATGGAACAGTGGGGAGGTGTTGCTAAGCAACACTGCACATCCTTCCGAAGTCCATCATCTCCTAGCAACAGGCGGTGGGGTGCGACCCCCCTGCTGCGGGAGCCACCACGGGTGCGCTGCCTGATGCCCATTTCACTCCCCTCTGGTCACAGGCATTCACTCTTGCGACAGCTGGACTTCTTGAGTGCCTACAAATCCCCTTACCAGGAACCAGGGATACAGAAATCCAAAGTTGAGGTCTCTGCCTTCAGTGGGAGTTCAGCCTGGTTTAGAGCAAGATATAGAAACAAACAAAAAACTGTATCATCTCAACAGTTGACCTCAGAGTACTTCCTCAGGAAGGCCTTGGCTTTATTTAGGAAAGATCTGGATAAACTTCTGGAGCACGACAATTTGGTTCACGAGGGCACAGCTGTTGTCAGAGACAGGAATTGGTGGTTGGAGTTACTGAAAGAGAGGGGAAGAGAAGGCAGGACGTGCACAGGTGGCCCAGCTGTGAGAAAACCTGGCTGGAGGACCACTTTCAAGAGTGATATGGATTTTTAAGTGCTTTGCTTTTAAAAGTACCTCCGGTGACCCATAAATCTTCAGTAAACATTCTGTGGCTCCCAGCAGAATTCTGTTCACTGTTACCACGGAAGAAGTGATCAAAGAGAAGGGGCTCTGTTGGGTGCATGCCAGGGCAGAGGTCAAGGAAAAGCCACGGATAGGGACAAAGAACAGCTTGACAAAGGCTGAAAGTTGACACAAAGGCGACCTTGAGAACAAAAGCCCCCTGCCCCCAAAATTCAGAGAAACGTTGGGCAGGACACTGACTCCAGTCTGAGAAGCTGGGTGGTGGGATCTGAATGGGTCCTATCCAGATCTGAAGGGTGGGGAGCACCCACTGACTCCTGGCTGTCTGGTGGCAAAAGTGAGGGGAGGAGCTTCCAGTTCTACCTGGGAGGCAGGGAAAGGTGCCCAGAGGAGGTGATGCCAAGCAAACTCCCACAGGAGGAGACAGGAGGAGGTGCTCATGAGAGGGCTCCAGCCAAGCAAAGGGAGCAAGGGCCCATCTGCCCATCGGGTGTCAAACCTCTGAACATGGAGAAGTTGTCATTTAGTGAGGTGTGGGGCAAAGGTGGAAAACCTCAGACATGACACCCCAGCTTCAGTAAAAGACTACATTTTTTTCTCAGATTCAAATCTCACACCAGGATGGCCCTGTCTACCTTCGAAAGTGGTGCCGTATCCAGAAATAGATGATGGCTGGATGGATAAACAGACACCAAAGAGAAACCCATTACCCTCTCTCAAGAAGATTGTCTAAGAGCGTATTCTCAGAGCAGCCTCTGATGCTGGGCATGGCAGAGCTCACAGAAGGACTGAACTTTTTAAAATTCACACTGTGCTATCTGGCTTGCTGAGTCAGTTTGCAAAGCACTTGCGTTGTTAGTATCTGGCTTACCTCCTTATTTCAGGGAGAAAGTTTCCCGGCCTGTGGTGGCTGCCCTGAGGCAGTCTGCCAGCTTCCCTGTGTCTGCTCTGCCTCAGTCATCTCAGGGTGCAGGCAAAGCCGGCCCTTCTACCTGGCAGTGCTGAACTAGGAAAAAGTTTGCTCAAAAACACTGAACAGCCTGCCCCGGGGATGGGTGCATTCAATGTGTCTGCGCTGTCAGATACATCTGGCTTCTGCATTCAGGACAATTACAGGGCACTTTGCAAAATTACTTACTGAGACGGAGGGCCCGAGAGCACTTCTGTTGTGACAGTGGAGACGGCCACTCAGAAAGGCTGCTCTTTAAAGGACGATGGAGGTGCTAACGGAGAGCCTGGTTCCCAGGCTCACCCACACCTTCCAGGGCATGTGGGTGGACGTGGAAGTCAGTAAAAAGCAAGGGCTTCTCCCAGTGCAGGGCCTGGAAGAAGGAAGGGCATGGGGGCGGTCTGGCTCTGGTCCTAACAGCTGGTCGGGAAAGGCTTCTCATGAGCACTTCACACACAAAGTGAGACTGATGGATGTTCTGAGGAGCCACCTTGCATGCCGGTGTCTGTTGAAGGAATGAACGTGTGGACAGCGCAGGTGCATAGATCCAGTCTTCCTCACTGGCTGTGGTGATCTCACTGGTCCACATGCCCCCTCTGTTCTTATAGGAACCAAACAGTCCATTTCGAGGTGGAACCTCACAACAGCTCTCCGGGCCCTCCCAGACACACCCCGGGACGGGGAGGGGAGTATGCTGTAGGGCCAGGGTCACCTGGGGTTATTTTGTTCCACGGTTGTCAAACAGACCGACCCTCAGCAGAGAGGCAGGGCGAGGAAGGCAAAAAAAGAGGGAGACCTGGGCTGCAACTGAGGTTGCCACGGTTTCCATCTCTGCTCAGGGTCTTGCCTCTGCAGATTTGATTCAGAAAGTGGAGCTGTTAGTATACCAAGAAGGAAGGTGTCTGTGGGAAATTAATTCACACTCACAGGGCTTGTAAGCCAGAAGGCTGGCTTCCTTGTTGATTGTTGGAGGCATAAAGATGACCTTGCCTGTGAGCCTGGCCTGAGCACTTTGCCAAGCTGTCCTTCAAGTATAAAGGTGACAGACAAACATTCTCCAAGATCAGAGGGAGACAGCACCCAGGGCCCTTTAAAAATGTAGTTGAACATAGTGAGATCACGTCTCTACAAAAAGTAAAAATAAAAAATTAGCTGGGCATGGTGGCACATGCCTGTGGTCCCAGCTTACTGGGAGGCTGAGGTGGGAGGATCCTGTGAGCCCAGAAGTTCAAGGCTGCAGTGAGCTGTGATTGCACCATTGCACTCCAGCCTCTGCGACAGAGACAGACCCTGTCTCTAAAAGAAAAAAAGTAGCTGAAAATGAAGTCTGGCCAACCAAGAGATGAAGCAAAATGAGAAATGAAGTCAGGGAGAAGCCATGGGGAAAAGATTGGTAAGAGAGATGACTCCATGTAAGCAAATAGTTAAAGCTAGACTATGGAAGAAATTGTGGCTTCAGAATAAAATGTAAATCTTGACAGGAGAAAGCTAGCAAACTCAGGGGGCTGAGGAGAGGAGGGAAGAGGAAATGTAAGAATGTCAATTTCCTTATTCATAACAAGGAGTTAGTAGATACCGTCTGTAATTAAAACTAAAACACATTTTAAAATAATTGCTACTTATTAATATTTTTCATAAACCCTTTCCTCAATTTTAGCAGGTTATTTTATAAACCATTATTTTTTTTTCTTTTTTCTTGTTTTAGTTGTTTTGACAGGGGGCCTCATTCTGTTGCCAAGGCTGGAGTGCAGCAGCACAATCATAATTCACTACAGCCTCACAACCTTTTGGGCTCAAGCAATCTTCCCACCTCAGCCTCCCAAGTAGCTGGGACTACAGATAGGTGCCATCATGCTTGGTTAATTTTTGTTTTTTTTTTTTGTAGAGACAAGGTCTTGCCATGTTGCCCAGGCTGGTCTCAAACTACTGAGCTCAAGCGATCTTCATGCCTCATCCTCCCAAGTTCCTGGGACCACTAGTATTTTTCGTAATGAGGAAATATTTCTCTGAAATTCAGCAATTTCTTTCATTTTACTTCAGTTTCTTTTGTGTGGCCAGGGCCGGGGGTGGGAGTTGTTAAATTTAAGCACAATTATCCTCAATATTTATTGTTTAAAATAGAACGTAGGCACTAATAATAAAATAAGAAGCTATCATCAAGAAACAACATTAAAGGAGTTCAGGGAGAAGCCAATAGGATGTGAAAGGTATTTGCAACATAATCTTAACAAATCAGTGAGAAAAAGGCAAACCTACCCAGTAGAAATAAATTGTGTGAAAGATTTGAACAGGCACTTCACAAAACAGATAGTAGCTGAATTGGCCAATAAATACAAGGAAAGGTGCTCAACCTCATTAGTCGTCAAAGAAATGCATATTAAAACCACAAGAAGCTATGGCATCATACTCAGAATAGCCAAAATGAAGGGGAAAAAACCCCTGAAATATCAAGTGTAGACAGTGGACATCCCTGGAGCTCTCATGCATTGTTGGTAACAGGGTAAATGGGTACAGCTATCTGGGAAAACAGGCCCTGACCTCCCCTTCCCCTTCCCTTTCCCTTTCCCCCCTCCCCTTCCTCTCTCTTTACTCTTCCTTCCTTCCTTCCTTCCTTCCTTCCTTCCTTCCTTCCTTCCTTCCTTCCTTCCTTCCTTCCTTTTGTCCTTTCTTTCTTTAGGATCTCACAATGTTGTCCAGGCTAATCTGGGCTCAAGCTATCCTCTTGCCTCAGCCTCCCAAGTGACTGGAACTACAGGCATATGGCATCACACCAGGCTGTTTGGCCTTTTCTGATTAAAGTTGAGTGTATACATTCTTCATGACCCAAAAATTCTACTCCTGGGTAACAATTCTATTAGAGTAATATCTAACAAATATATACAT
Source organism: Homo sapiens (assembly GCF_000001405.40). Classification (NCBI taxonomy): domain Eukaryota; kingdom Metazoa; phylum Chordata; class Mammalia; order Primates; family Hominidae; genus Homo; species Homo sapiens. The sequence goes on from NC_000002.12 coordinate 106,287,346, forward strand.
ATGTATACCAAAACATGGACAGGAATATGCATAGCAGCATTATTTAGAAAAGCCCCAAACTGAAATAATCCAAATACTCACTGGCAGTTGAATGCATAAACTGTGGCGAAAATGGAATAGTCATAGCAACCAAAATGAATGGGTATGTGAAATGTTATCAATAATTCTCACAAAGACAATTTTGAGCCAAAGAAGCCAGACAGAATAATACTTAATTCCTTTTATAAAAAGTGAAAATGAAAATATGAAAGGAATCTATGCTTTTAGAAGTCTGGGGCTGGGCGCAGTGGCTCATGCCTGTAATCCCAGCATTTTGGGAGGCTAAGGCAGGCAGATCACAAGGTCATGAGTTTAAGACCAGCCTGGACAACACGGTGAAACCCCGTCTCTACTAAAAATACAAAAAAAAAAAAAAAAGTTAGCTGGGTGTGATGGTGGGCACCTCTAATCCCAGCTACTTGGGAGGATGAGGCAGGAGAATTGCTTGAACCTGGGAGGCAGAGGTTGCAGTGAGCTGAGATGATGCCACTGCACTCCAGCCTGGGCAACAGAGAAAGATTCTATCTCAAAAAAAAAAACAAAAAAAAAACAAAACAAAACAAAAAAAAAGTCTGGACAGCGATACTTAGGGGAAGAAGGAGGGAATCATGATTATGAGAACTTTTGCCTTGTCAAGGACAGAAGGGAGGCTTTTGGGATGCAGGTAATGTTCTATTGACCCAAGTGAAGGTTGCACAAATGTATTTATTTTGCAATAATTGTTTTTTTAGTTTTTTTTTTTTTTTTGGAGACAGAGTCTTACTCTGTCGCCCAGGCTGGAGTGCAGTGGTGCGATCTCGGCTCACTGCAAGCTCTGTCCCCCGGGTTCACACCATTCTGCTGCCTCAGCCTCCCGAGTAGCTGGGACTACAGGTGCCCGCCACCACGCCCGGCTAATTTTTTTGTATTTTTAGTAGACACAGGGTTTCACCGTGTTAGCCAAGATGGTCTCGATCTCCTGACCTCGTGATTCGCCTGCCTCCACCTCCCAAAGTGCTGGGATTACAGGTGTGAGCCACTGCGCCTGGCCTTTTTTTTTGTTTTTGTTTGTTTGTTTGTTTGTTTGTTTGTTTGTTTTTTGAGATGGAGTCTCTGTTGCCCAGGCTGGAATGCAAGGGAGACATCTTGGCTCACTGCAACCTCCACCTCCTGGGTTCAAGTGATTCCCTTGCCTCAGCCTCCTGAGTAGCTGGGGTCACAGGCATCTGCCACAATGTCAGGCTAATTTTTGTATTTTTAGTAGAGATGGGGTTTTGCCATGTTTTGGCCAGGCTGGTCTCGAACTCCTGACCTCAGGTGACCCACCTGCCTTGGCCTCCAAAGTGCTGGGATTACAGGCATGAGCCACCGCACCCGGCCTTTTTTAGGTTTTTACTATTTATTTATGACAAATATTCCACATCCATGATTCTCTTCAGTCAAAAGTTCTTTAATACAATCCGTCGGTCTTGGCCAATTGGAGAATGCAGTCATGTGACTTACCCATCCTGCGAATGGCCCTGCAGATAGCATAGGTTTTAAACTGGTGGTTAAACCTGCCTGCTACCTTGTCAACCTTGGCCCCGTTCATCTGGATGGATTTGTGGTCCTTGGCATCGATGATGCAGTTGCTATTGGACCATTTCCATGGCATGTACAGGCCTATGAACTCACCAGTGTCATTCTGCATCTCAAAGCCGCACCTGCTGCCGCCACACTGCGCGCGAGCAGAGAAAGCCATTTTGTGATAATTATTGCATTTGCAATTTTAATTTGTTCCCAAGCTGGTAGTATATATGTATGCTGTACTTCCATAAAAGTTTTTTGATAATAAGGTTAAAATTAAAATTTAAAAGTAGAATTGTGATATCTCATTTTGGTATAATTATTCTTTCTACGTGTGGGTAAGCATTGAGAGTTTTTTTTTGTTTGTTTTTGTTTTTGTTTTTGTTTTTGTTTTTGTTTTTGAGATGGAGTTTTGCTCTTGTTGCCCAGGCTGGAGTGCAATAGCATGATCTCGGCTCACTGCAACCTCTGCCTCCCGGGTTCAAGCAATTCTCATGTCTCAGCTTCCCAAGTAGCTGGGATTACAGGCATCTGCCACCACATCCAGCTAATTTTTGTGGTTTTAGTAGAGGCGGGGTTTCACCATGTTGGCCAGGCTGGTCTTGAACTCCTGACCTCAGGTGATCTGCCTGCCTCAGCTTTCCAAAGTGCTAGGATTACAGGTGTGAGCCAGTGCGCCTGGTCTGCATTGAGAGATTTTTATTTATTTATTTATTTTTGAGACGGAGTCTCACTCTGTCACCCAGGCTGGAGTGCAATGGCGTGGTCTCAGCTCACTGCAACCTCTGCCTCCTGAGTTCAAGCTATTCTTCTGCCTCACCCTCCTTAGTAGCTGGGACTACAGGCACGTGCCTCCACACCTGGCTAATTTTTGTATTTTTATTTTTTTTAATTTAATTTATTAATTTATTTATTTATTTGAGACAGAGTCTCACACTGTCGCCCAGGCTGGAGTGCAGTGGCACAATCTCGGCTCACTGCAACCTCCACCTCCCGTCCACGGCCAGCTAATTTTTTTGTATTTTTAGTAGAGACAGGGTTTCATTATGTTGGTCAGGCTGGTCTCAAACTCCTGACCTCGTGATCTACCTGCCTCGGCCTCCCAAAGTGCTGGGACTACAGGCGTGAGCCACTGCACCCGGCCGAGAGATTTTTATAAGGATCTTTGCTAAATATTCATAAAGGTTTTTTCTGGATGGTAACATTTAAGGTGAGTTAAAATTCATATTACTGTTTGAATTTCTTTTTTCTTTCTTTCTTTTTTGAGATGGAGTCTCACTCTGTCTCCCAGGCTGGAGTGCAATGGCGCAATCTCGGCTCATTGCAACCTCTGCCTCTCGGGTTCAAGCGATTCTCCTGCCTCAGCCTCCCGAGTAGCTGGGACTGCAGGCGCCCGCCACCATGCCTGGCTAATTTTTGTATTTTTTTTTTCAGTAGAGATGGGGTTTCACCATATTGGCCACGTTGGTCTTGAACTTCTGACCTTGTGATCTGCCCGCCTCGGCCTCCCAAAGTGCTGGGATTACAGGCGTGAGCCACCACGCCCGGCCTATTATTTGAATTTCTATAATGTATGCATCATTTCTACAGAAATCGAGCGATGACATTTTGCTACAAAGTAAAAAGACCTTGTTCAATGGCAAGGATGGGTGAAAACCAAGAGGGCATTAGAAGAGGAATAAATGTAATTAGGACTGCCCAGCAACAGGGCGGAGCAGTGTGCTTTACAAAGGAGTGATCCTCTGGCTTTGGAAGTATCCCGGCAGAAGAGGATGAAGGGCTGTCTCTGCAGAGATTTCACCCTGTGCCTCCAGCCCTGATTCCATGCGTCTGATGCCATGACCGTGCTGCAGTTGGCTACTGTTCAGCGACATTTGGGAGGCATTGGTCTCATTAGAGCCTTTTGCTCAAAGCCAACTGGAGGAGGGGTTATTTCAGGAAATGATTCCTAGACACATCTGTTCTCTTTGCTGATGTGTGGATTCTTGTTAGCCTCAAACACAGAGGCTGTTGCCTTTAATTTGGGTTTTCTATCATCCTTTGTGGCCTATCCCCATTATTCCTTGAGCACTTTTTACTTTCTGGTACAAGATGCTCCAAGCTTATATTTTCTGTGCTTCAGGCCTGGAATCAGCCATTTTTCTTAGAAAACCTGATTTCTTTTGAGGAGAGAATAATATCTAAAAACCAAGGTCTTGGGTGCTCACTGTGATAGGTGAGTGTATGGCTGCAGGGGTTTTCATTGCTCACAGGCTTCCTCAGTGAACAGAGCAGGGCAATACATGGGTAAACATAAACACGCATACCTGCATGCATACATTCATCTATATTTCCATATTAAAATATGTTGAAAACCATGGGTTCTCACCAATATTTTCAATTCTAATCCATTTTCACAGTTTTTATTCTAGTTGTTCCCTTTAGTACAGTTGATCCTTAATGCAGGGACTAGGGGCGCTATCTCCACAGCTGATAATCCACATAAAATTTTGTAGCCACTTCCTGTTGCTGTTGCAGTGAGCTCAAGTGTCATATCACCTAAAGTGCTATGTGATGTGTATCCAGGGTCTATGCTACCTGCTTTATAGGGATTATCTCATTTTGGAAATACTTCCATTCAAAACGGGTTTAACTAAAAGTATTTTGATATTTGAAGCTGCAGTTGGCTGAAAAACCCATTTATATGGAAAAACTAATTCACTACGACGGATTCAGTTAAATGATGACTTTTATGTACTCTGTCTTCTTACTCTCTCCATAATTGTGTGTGTGTGTGTAAGTATATATGTATATAAAGGAAAACTTCTTTTATATATAAATATTCTATATATATGATACAAATATGTTCTCTATATTTTTTAATATGTAATTGACCTTTTAACAACTTGGGGGTTAAGAGTGGCAACTGCCACTCTGACCCACCCCCTGCACAGTTGAAAATTCACATATAACTTTTGAATCCCCAAAAACTTAACTACTGCTAACCTACTGTTGACCGGAAGCCTTGATAACATAAACAATTGACTAACACATATTTTTGTTGTTGTTGCTATTGTTGTTGTTGTTTTGAGATTGTGTCTCGCTCTGTTGCCCAGGCTGCAGTGCAATGGTGCAGTCTCGGCTCACTGCAACCTCTGCCTCACAGGTTCAAGAGATTCGCCTGCCTCAGCCTCCCAAGTAGCTGGGACTACAGATGTCTGCCACCACGCCTGGCTAATTTTTTTTATTTTTAGTAGAGACGGGGTTTCACCATGTTGGCCAGGCTGGTCTCGATCTCCTGACCTCAAGTGATCCTCCAGCCTCGGCCTTCCAGAGTGCTGGGATTATAGGCGTGAGCTACCGCGCCTGGCCCAATTAACACATATTTTGTATATTGTGCGTATTATATACTGTGTTCTTACAATAAAGTAAACTAGAGAAGAGAAAATGATATTAAGAAAATCATAAGGAAGAGAAAATATATTTACTAGTCATTAAATGGAAGTGGATCATGATAAAGGTCTTCCTCCTCATTGTCTTCATGTTGAGTAGGTTGAGGAGGAGGAGGAATGTATATATACACAAGCTAGACAGCTGAGGCTAATTCTTCTTCTGAACCAGTCTCTGTCAATTCCCCATTCCCCATTCTCTTTAGTCTTGCAGTTGGTTTATGTCTTGTATATACTTCAAGGGCCACTGGAGCCGAGCCTCCTTGGGGTCACCTTCCTCAACTGCCCTGGTTCCTAGTCTTCCCCTTCTCTGAGCTCCTGGAGCTCTCTATTCCTTTGCAGTTCATTCAGTACACATCAGTGCAACCTGGTTTTGCCATTCATCATTTCATGTGTATAGAGGCAGCCACTGATGCTAGTGCCAGATCCTTTGAACGATCAGCACTTAGTGCTCTGAATCCCTCCCAGCTCCTGGGATGCTTGCTACTGTTGAAGATAATTACTCAAGTCACTGTATGTCATTCATTCTTCCATCCTCTGAGAGCTGCAATTTTCTCATGTGTTATGTTATATGTTATATGTTATATGTTATGTTATAATCATAACAGAGATTATATCATCTACCTCATCGGTGGTGTTTTAGCCATTAACGAGAATAAGTTGTGAAAAAAGTTTTTTAATTTCAGCATCGCTGTATCAGTGTTATTTATTTGTGATGCATTTTAAACAGGACTCAATGTACTCAAATGTGGTTTTCACACAGCTTTTTGGGAACATTCCTCCAGTGGATGGTTAGGAGGGAATCTGTCCAGCTTGGGCCTTGGGCAGGGCCCCACCTGCTGCCGCTGGACTTGTAGAACTAACACTAGAGACAGCCCTTTCTGGGTACACTTGCTTGATTGTCTGACTCAAGCTGGGGTACTCAGATTTTCTCCCTTAAATTTAGGATTGAGCTACTGAAATGTTAATTATTCTTTGCTGTAGGTGGAATGTTTGTGTCTTCCCAAAATACATAAGTTGAAACCAAATCCCCAATGTGATGGTATTAGGAGGTGGGACATTTGGGAGATGATTAGGTCATGAGGGTGGAGCCCTCATGAATGGGATTAGTTTCTTTACAAAAGAGACCTCAGACAGCTCCCTTGTCCTGTCTGCCTTGAGGACACTGTGAGAAGATGGTTGTCTATCTATCAGGAGCTGTTTATGAACCTCACAGGACACCTGATCAGCTGGCACCTGGATTTTGGACTTCCAGTCTCCAGAGTCATGAGAAATACATTTCTATTTGTTTCTGAGCCGCCCAGTCTGTGGTATTCTGGTATAGCAGCCTGAATGGACTAAAAAATTCTCTATTAGGTGCTTGAAGTGGAAAGCAATGTAAACTTTAAGCCATCTTTGGACAAATCTATACCGTAGTAGAGACAGCAGCTTTGAGAGAGTGAGAGTGAGGTGGATGTTAAATGAACAGCTGGGAGAAGACCCTTCCATAACCCTGTAGAGACGGAGATAACATCCTCAGTCCCAACTTTCTGTTTCTGGTTCTTGCTTTGCCGGAGCCCCAGCAGTTCATCCTGCTACTAGATTCCAGCAGATGCTATTATTCTATGTGTTACCAAAATTTTGCCTAAGCTATTTTGCGTATTTTCTACATATATATGTATTTTTTAACCAAAAGAGCCTCAATGAAGGCAACCGATAATGTTAGGTGCAACTGTTCTGTATTTTCTGATCAAGCCAGTTATTCTAAACTTGAAAACAATAATAAATTTCAGAGCAGTAGTGTAAGACTATTTTATGAGACAAATACCTTTTTATTACCAAAATGCCCTAAAGGACCAAAAAAAAAAAAAAAAGTGTCACAATATGTTTTCCCAGAAATTTCTTTTCTGAGTTTGAAATGTCAAGGGAGTGTATTTTGTTTTTCAAAACATACTTCTGCATTTTATAAGCACTAGGGATTAGTGCTTATAAAATACAGCAATGCAAGCCTGTTCCAAGAAGTGGCTGGGGCCTACGGCAAGTCACACTCTGCTTTTCCATGTCAAAGTCCAAAATCTGCTTTTAGTTTTCATGCTCTTGACCTTTCTATAATCCTTGCCACTATCTATTAATTGCTTTCATTCATTTACTTATTCATTCATTCATTTATTCATTCATTCATATGGGCTACCCTCACATGAAAATCTTTTCATTCAAACCAAAGGTCTTTTTTTCCATTACCAGACTTTTTTCTTCCTTTTTATATTGACCCATAATATTGTACATATTTATTGAGCGCCTGTGATATTTTGATACATGCATATAATATGTAATTATACATGCATATACTATGTAATTTGTAATGACCAAATCAGGATCTTCATCACGTCAATCATTTATCAAATGTATTGTGAATATTTCACATTTTCTCTTCTAGCTATTTTGAAATATACAATAAATTATTGTTAACTATAGTCACATTAAAGTGATTATAGTTGTAGTAAATTAGTTCTATTATTCTACCAAACAATATAACTTATTTTTCTATCTAAATGTGTGTATCTTTTAACCAACCTGTCTTTGTCCCCACTCCCCCACCTGCCCAGCCTCTGGTAACCACCATTCCACTGTCTACCTCCATGAGACCCGCTGTTTTAGTGCCCACCTATGAATGAAAACATGTGATATTTGTCTTTCTGTGCCTGGCTTATTTCACTTAACATAATGCTAAATGGTCTTTTTATCTCAATGGATTCTCCTTTGCTGAATTCTTAAATGTAGGTTTTCTTCCTTTTTTTAAATTCTCTTTTTCTCCCTGGTCCTCTCCTAGGAGAAGGGAACAAATCACGTTGTTCTCATGCTCAGGAATTTTAAAATGACTCATTGTAGCCTACAAGTAGAAATCTAAACTGTTTGCCATGGAATTCAAGGCCCCTCAAGGTCTTCAGCATGGGGTTTTCTACTTTCCAACCACATTTTCTACTCCACATACCCTCTGCCCCTCCACGTTGGGTTGCGTGCCTGCCCGGAGCCTGCCCCTATTGTCATTTCACACCTTCTCTTGTCCTCTCTTGTCTTCCTGGATTGGCTTTCCCCTTCTCTTTGCTCATGACAATACTCTGGGAAACCTGGTCCTCTCTGTTGGATTGAATGGTATTCCTTGTGGCCTTCCCCAATTCCATGCTTGCACTACAAACGTGGTCTTTGTTTCTGTCTGCCTCATATTAGAGCTGCTTGTCACTGCCACCTTCCTTGTTAGGTTGTTAGTTCTTACTTGGGAAAAGGGGTACCTCTTATTTTTATCCTCCCCTCATCTGCCCATTGCTTTGTAAGTAACAGGTGTTCAATACACAGTTACTGAATGTTGAGGATGTTGAGTGTAGTGGTTAAGAGAACTGGACCCTGAAATCAGACTACGAAGGATTGAAAGCCAGCTCTATTCTGCACTCAGTGTGCTATCTCAAAAGCTATGCATCTGTGAGATGAGAATAATAATAAATCAATAACTGATGTCCTAGGCTGTTGGGGGATTAAATGAGATAATAGAAGATGTGGTACAGCGCCTGACACATAAACAATGCTCTGTGTTTGCTCTTATTATAAATTAACCTAAGTGCTTAGAGCGTCCTTAAAAACTAAGTTCCGGCCGGGCGTGGTGGCTCATGCCTGTAATCCCAACACTTTTGGAGGCTGAGGCCAGCAGATCATGAGGTCAGGAGATTGGGAACAGCCTGGCCAACATTTTGAAACCCCGTCTCTACTAAAAATACAAAAAAAAAAAAAAATTAGCGGGGCGTGGTGGTACGCACCTGTAGTCCTGGCTACTCGTGAGGCTGAGGCAGGGGAATCGCTTGAACCTGGGAGGTGGAGATTGGGAGGCGAAGATTGCAGTGAGCCAAAATCACGCCACTGCACTCCAGCCTGGTGACAAAGCGAGACTCCATCTAAAACCAAAACCAAAACCAAAACCAAAACAAAAACAAAAACCAAACCAAACCAAAACAAAACAAACGACAAACAAAAGAGCAAAAAAACCACTAAGTCACAAGGTATTTGTCCCCAGGGGAGTTTACATAGAGGGGAAGGGTATTTTCTATTTCTTTTACCTTGCAGAGGGCTTGGGTGCTTATAGACTGATTTCCACCTGTCATATATGCAGTTTTATTTTTTCAGGATCTGTCTATACCAGCTATTTCTGTCCTGCTCATTTCCTCCTTGAGTCAGAGCCCATCCATTATTAGTTACAGATGTTCTTAAACTTGAATGAGCAGCAGGATTCCTTGAGGGTGCGAGGACTGCTAAAGCACAGATGGCTGGGTCCTTCCCCAGAGTTTCTGACTCTATAGGTCTGGGCGGGCACTTGAGAATTTGCATTTTGAACAGGTTCCCAATGATACTGGTGCTGCTGATCCAGCGACCCCACTTTGAGAACCACTGCACTCTCAGGACCCAGCTCCCCAAACCAACAGCCTTTTTTGTGGTCTTTTAGGGTAGAGTACCCAGTAGAGGAAAGGTCAGCAGATCCTTTGATCCCCAGACTTGACTAAATGATTCTGTTAGTAATTTGTAGGTTTTTAACTTGCCAATCTCTAAACTTCTTTAAATTATTCAAGTTGACATCTCAGGTGGAAATATTTCAACGTCACATTAGATAGGTGCTGAGTTGAGGATTCTCAGGTAACCATCCTCATTAGCTTGATGCCTGATGTTGCCTCTGTCGGCCAGGTTAGCATAGCCAAAGCTGTGTCCTCCTGGTGTAGATGTTGGCTGTCCCTACTAGAGTGTGGTCCTTGCTTGGTCGCTGATGTCAGCTCCTCTGCCAGGAAGGAGCTGTCTCTTTTGCCAGGCAGATTGGCAGGAGAGATGGAACATGAGTCAGGAGAGGCTGGAAGCACAACCCTACACTCTATAAAAAACACGCTCCCAGCTGGGCGTGGTGGCTCACGCCTGTAATCCCAGCACTTTGGGAGGCCAAGGCTGGCAGATCACGAGGTCAGGAGATTGAGACCATTCTGGCTATCACGGTGAAACTCCGTCTCTACTAAAAATACAAAAAATTAGCCAGGCGTGGTGGCGGGCGCCTGTAGTCCCAGCTACTCGGGAGGCTGAGGCAGGAGAATGGCGTGAACCCGGGAGGTGGATCTTGCAGTGAGCCAGATCGTGCCACTGCACTCCAGCCTGGGCGACAGAGCAAGACTTTGTCTCAAAAAAAAAAAAAAAACACGCTCCCAGAGATCGCGCCATTGTATTCCAGCCTGGGTGACACAGTGAGACCCCATCTCAAAAAATAAATTAAATAAATAAATAAATAAATAAATATATAAATAAATAAATAAAAATAAAACATTCCCTCTGGGATGGACACAGCACCCCTGAACATTGCCAGTCTTTTGGTATACAGGTGCCTGCCTTTTGGGGTACAGGACTTCTTAAACCTGAGATTATTTTCATAGTATGTGCATGGGGTGTGAGAGGGAGCTGGGAGCAGACATTAGCTTGTTCAATCATCACAACAACTTCTGTGAAAGTATTTACTACTGTCTTCATCGCATAGATGAGGAAACTGGGGCCTGTTGAGAAGATGTTCACTAACATCTCCAGGATCTCACAGTGTGTTGGTGTCGGCCTGTGTGTGAGTCCGTTCTCACATTGCTACAAAGAAACACCTGAGACTGAGTAATTTATAACAACAAAAAAAGGAGGTTTCATTGGCTCACAATTCTGCAGGCTGCACAGGAAGCTCAGATTCTGGGGATGTCTCAGGAAACCTACAATCATGACGGAAGGTGAAGGGGGAGCAGGCACGTCACATGGCGAAAGCGGGAACAAGACAGAGAGAGTGAGATGCCACAGTTTTTTTTTTTTTTTTTTTTTTTTTTTTTTTTTTTTTGAGACGGAGTCTCACTCTGTCGCCCAGGCTGGAGTGCGGTGGCGGGATCTCGGCTCACTGCAAGCTCCGCCTCCCGGGTTCACGCCATTCTCCTGCCTCAGCCTCCCAAGTAGCTGGGACTACAGGCGCCTGCCACTACGCCCGGCTAATTTTTTGTATTTTTAGTAGAGACGGGGTTTCACTGTTTTAGCCGGGATGGTGTCGATCTCCTGACCTCTTGATCCGCCCGCCTCGGCCTCCCAAAGTGCTGGGATTACAGGCGTGAGCCACCGCGCCCGGCCGCCACAGTTTTAAACAGCAAGATCTTGCAAGAAGACACTCACTATCACGAAGACAGCACTCAGGGGATGGGGCTAAGTCATTCATAAGAAATCCACTCCCACGGTCCAATCACCTCCTACCAGGCCCCACATCCAATACTGGGGATTACAACTCAACATGAGATTTGGGTGGGAACATACTTCCAAACTGTATCAGCTGGGTTATAATTATAACTAAGTGGGCCCCAGCTAATGGGTGATGGAGCTACAGAAGTAATAGCCTTGTGTCTTTATGGCCGAGGCTCTGTATCAGACAGCTTGTGGCTTCCTTCATTCATTTATACATTTATTAAGTACCTACTATATGCACGTCATCATGTAAAGCATTCTGGGAAACAAGAACATGAATCAGCCAAAAATATTACCTTAAGAAATTAGTCTAGTTTTTTTCAAACAAAACATCTTGCATATTTATTACTAAACTGACCTATTAATGGAGAACCATAAAACAAGAAAAATCAATATTTTCTCCGTAAAACATGTCCAACTATTCATAGTAGTGACTTTTTCAGTTTGATATGGTGAGAACGTAGTGACCTCAATGCAGTGTAAATATATGAACCACCACATATGTGATTCCATATAACTCAGCTTGGTTCTTTCCCAATGTCTCCTCTTGGAGTTAAACCCGATTTTATTACCAGTTTTCATTTAAACCCATTAATGATGAATTCCAGTTAGCAATGAATCATAACATGACAGAATGGAAATATTGGCTATCACTCTTATTTGATAGACGAACAAAGAATAAGGAAGTAACGAGGTTGGAGTAATGGCAAATCCAGGATTTAGTATAGCATAATGCTCCTACCATCATTAAATTTCATTACAAAGGGTCATAATTGAGAAATTCTAGTAAAAACAGGTGTAAGGTAAGATGATTTTGGATGTAAATAATCCCAAATCAATTGACGTAAAACAAGGGACACTGAGCGTCAAAAGTCCCTGGACATCCAGAGAAAGGGCATGGCTCAGTAGTGGCTCTGTGATTTGGTCAGTTGCCAGGTTCCTATGTCCTCTCCCTGTGCACCCCTTAGGTTGGGCTTCGTCCCAAGGTTGCTTCCCAGCCAGGATTCAAGATGACAACAAGTGACAACAAGTAACAACAAACATCACATCCGGATGTGACAAGGTCTGGTTGGGAAGAGGAGCTGTTTTCCCCTGTGGCCCTTTCCATGAGCAGAGAAAACTTTTCCAAGAAGTTCCACAGCAGACGCTCCCTCAAGGCTCAGCTGGCCACTCCTAAACCACTTCCTGATAAGGGCTTCCCAGGTTTGGCTTAGATCAATCATAATTTTCCTGAGTCTCAGAGCAAAACTGGGGCTCTGACAACATGAAACGGGCAAGAGGCTGTTGCAGGCAATAAATGTGCCTGCCTGAGTGTCATAAAATATAGGCTGCCCCAAAGAGGTATATTGTAAAATGACATGTACAGTAAATGGCCCTGAGGGTAAGCCCTTTGTGCATTTCTTACTTTGAATGAAAATAGCAAGTGAAGTATATTGCCTTTCTCTGCCTTGTAAATCACTATGATAGGCATGTACAATCTTCTGCATGTAGCTGACAGTAGGCTTTCACTGATCCATTTGAATATATGCCCACCAATTTGTTGGAATTCATTTCTGTTCAAATGAAAATTTAAAAGATGTTGGCTGGGCGCAGTGGCTCACACCTGTAATCCCAGCACTTTGGGAGGCTGAGGCGGGTGGATCACGAGGTCAGGAGATGGAGACCATCCTCACTAACACAGTGAAACTCCATCTCTACTAAAAATACAAAACATTACCTGGGCCTGGCAGCGGGCGCCTGTAGTCCCAGCTACTCGGGAGGCTGAGGCAGGAGAATGGCGTGAACCCGGGAGGCGGAGCTTGCAGTGAGCCAAGATTGTGCCACTGCACTCCAGCCTGGGTGACAGAGCGAGACTCCGTCTCAAAAGAAAAAAAAAAAATTTAAAAGATGTTAACAGGATCTGTGGTCATATTTTCAGTAATTGTGTCAAAACCTATTTCTCTCAGGTGGATTTTCAACATGGGGGATTGTATGAACTCTGGGAATTATATATGTGATAATATGATTCAGTAGAAGGTGCAATGTCCCCACATTCAAACCATAACAGTACCTATATGGTTAAAAAAAAGCACTAGTCTCTGGCTGCATTGCTTGTGGTTAATGTGGCATCATCATTCCTATCCCATCTGAGTTCGGGGATCATTTCCCTACTTGGGTTAGAACTGGCCAGTGAGAAAACTCATGAGATTTGGACGGTAAAGCGCATCAGAGGCCATCACCCTTGGGAAGTGGTAAGGGTCAAACATGTAGGTTCTCAGATCTTTTCAAAAGCTCCAACTCTATGGACACAACAGTTGTGCCACCCTTTCCAGGAAGCTTTGTAGATGTAGTGGAACTCCATTGCCCACTGCTGTCGACTACTCTGAGTTTTGGTGGCAGCTTTCCCGGCATCCCCTCCTGCTGTTCTTGCAGTAGGCATGAAGACCTCAATTCTGTCTTAAATGCTTCATACCCAGAATGCAGACAGTGGCTACTGCTTTCCGCATCAAACCCTGGCAGGTCAGAGCCTCTTGCATTTCTCTTTTCAAATCCATCCCTCAGTATGTGGGGTGGGGGTGGTGGTCGGGGGTTGGAGGGTAAGGGGAGTTGGGTGGGGGAGGCACACACACACACACGCACACAGACACACATTTCGTTAACTCAACTTCCTTTCCCAGAGTTAATTACTATTCAGAATTTGGTGTGTATCATTCCATTTATAAACACACAAATATCCTGCATACATAGTATTTAACAAAAATAACACAAATGAGATGGTACAATATGTATCATTTAGCAGTATTTTTTACTTTTATAGATCTTAAATTTATTTTTATGACATAGATATTGTCTTTATTATTTTTAAGAATTTCATAGTATTCTTTTATATGGCCATAATACAATTGGTTTAACCATTCTCATATTGATTAGCAGGTAGGTTGTTTCCAGTATTTTGCTACCATTAATAGTGCTGCAATGAACATGGTTGGAAGGTTATCTATGTGTTTGTGGGGGGTGTTTCTGTAGGACACACCCTAGAGGTGCAATTGCTGTTACTGAGGGCATGCACATTCAATATTTTGATACATATTGCAAATTTCCCTCTAAAAGCTGTGGCAGTTTTTATCTCATCAACATTATATCTTGATTAGTAATTCCTTATTTGCTGTGTAAAATGTCAAAATAAAAGGTCCCTTATCACTTCTCATAACTACATAACCTTTTCCGATTTACATTTTGTATCACTTTATCTCTACAACTTTCAGGATAGATGTGAATTTAAGGGTCAAAAATGTTGGGACAAAGAGTTATGAGGGGTAAATAGACAATGAAAATTTGGTTACCTAATTTCCAGTCTTTGGTACTAAATATGTCATTTTAATTCAGCACTTTGCCTAGAATTCTTTCAATAAGGGATTTAGAAATAATTATTAGGAGCTTAGTATTAGGGTGAGCCACATAAAATTATTGTTTTTGCAAATTAAAGATGGTCCTATATTCACAATTTTATATGGTTCATCCCAATACATACACAATACAGGAAACGCTGTACACATCAATGTAGCAAACATTTTTTTTTTTTTTTTTTTTGAGACGGAGTCTCGCTCTGTCGCCCAGGCTGGAGTGCAGTGGCGGGATCTCGGCTCACTGCAAGCTCCGCCTCCCGGGTTTACGCCATTCTCCTGCCTCAGCCTCCCAAGTAGCTGGGACTACACGCGCCCGCCACTACGCCCGGCTAATTTTTTGTATTTTTAGTAGAGACGGGGTTTCACCGTTTTAGCCGGGATGGTCTCGATCTCCTGACCTCGTGATCCGCCCGCCTCGGCCTCCCAAAGTGCTGGGATTACAGGCGTGAGCCACCGCGCCCGGCCCAGCAAACATTTATTGCTGGAATTATTGTATGTCTATTACGTACAAGGCAATGCATAGGATTCAAAAAAATATTGGGGATAATATTGAGCTTAAGGAATTCATGATAATGAAAGTGAATGACTGGGTCTTTATGGTTTGAGATGTGTTTCTCCTTTCTTTCTCACAAAATCATAGCACTCTGAGGCAGACATCCAATCTGTCACTTCTTTTGTCTCATCTAGTAGAACATATTGCACATAGTAGGTCTCACAGATTTAAGCACTTTTGTGGTTTATATTCTGGTAGAAGAAAGACAACATAAAAGTAAACAAAATAATACATACCTGTCACGAAGAGCTATACCCCACAGAGGGTGGCTGGAATTAACCTGCCACTACTCACAGGTGCCAAAAGTAGACACAGAGTTGCACCAATCCCCCAAACCCCAAGTGCATGAAGTGAGGCCACATGGGCCTAGCTGGATAGTACACATGCAGTGGGTTGCACCCAACCAGTGGAGTGCAGGGCCAAAGGTTTTGTGCCTTGGGAGGTGAGCAGCCAACGAGAGAGCTCCCCTCTTCTGAGTAAGCAAGCAGTTACACAGTAGCCACTGCGTGGTTGTGGTCATCTTGACCTGTTGAGCTTCATGCCTTTGACAAACTTATCAGTAGATTCAACACAGCCAAAGAAAGAATCAGAGAACGTAAAGAGAGATAATTAGAAATTACATTGATTAAAAGACAAATGAAAAAAGAGTTAAAAGAACAAGACAGAGAACCCAAGAGCTATGGGACGATATCAACTGATGTAATGCACATGTATTGGAATTCCAGAAGGAAAAAATAGAGAGAAAGGGGCAAAGAAATATTTGAAGAAGCAATTGCTGATAATTTTTCAAAATTAATGACAGATACCAAACCACATAACCAAGAAAATCAGAGAATGCCAAGCAAGATAAATACAACATGAAATAAAATAAAACAAAAAACAAACCAACCAAAATAACAACAACAAAAACCTACTAAAAACCTATGCATCTACGCATGTCGTATTTAAATTTCTCACAGGACAAAAAGAAGATTCTGAAGGCAAGAAGAGAAAAAAAGACACGTTACATACGAGGAAACAAATATAAGAATTACATTTGTTTATATATTGTTATTGAATTATACTATCAGAAGTTATGTAAGCCAGAAGACATCTTTGACATGGTTAAAGAAAAAAAAATCTGTCAACCCAGAATTGTACATATACATAAAATATCTTTCAAAAATGAAGAAGAGGCTGGGCACGGTGGCTCGCGCCTGTAATTCCAGCACTTCGGGAGGCTGAGGTGGGCAGATCACTTGAGGTCAGGAGTTCGAGACCAGCCTGGCCAACATGGTGAAACCCCATCTCTACTAAAAATACAAAAATCAGCCAGGCGTGTTTGCGCGTGTCTGTATTTTCAGCTACCTGGGAGGCTGAGGCATGAGAATTACTTGAACCCAGGTGGCAGAAGTTGCAGTGAGCCAAGATTGCGCCATGGCATTCCAGCCCCCTGCAAAAAAGAGAAGAAGAATAAAGTCTTTTTTTTGGGCAAATAAAAATTGAGAATGGATTGTCAACAGATCTACACTAAAAGAAATGTTAAAGAAAGTCTTGAGGCAAGAAAAAATGTGGTGCAAGACAGAAACTTGGATCTTCACAAAAATTAAGGAAAACTGGAAATAGAATAAATGAAGTTAAAATAATTTTTCCTATTTTTAATTTTTCTAAAAGAGAACTATCTAGAGCAAAAATAGTAACAATAAATTATATGTTTATAGAATGTATACAAGCAAAATATATGACAAAAATAGCACAAAAGATGAGAGGGAAAAATTGTATAGATTCCACCTTCCGTATCCTTAGAAAATTGGTTCCAAGACCCTTGGGGATACCAAAATCAACTGATGTTCATGTCTCTTATATAAAACGGCATAGTATTTGCATATAACCTATGCATATCTTTCTATATGCTTTAAATTATCTGTGGATTATTATAATGAATACATTGTAAATGCTGTGTAACTTGTTCTACTGTATTTTTTGAATCATTTTTATTGTTATATTGCTATTTTTTATTATTATCAGTTTAAATATTTTCCATTTGTAGTTGGTTGAATCCAGGGCTGACTGTGTAATTGTAAGATCTTTATATTACAAGCAAAGTAACATCATATTATTCAAAGATAAACTGTGATTATTAAAGGTGTACACTGTAAACACTAGGGCAACCACCAAAATTTTGGAAAAACTGTTATGTCCTTTCATCTTGGCCACTGACATGCCATCCAGACGGAGGAAGATTTGGAATCTTTGGGGCCACATGAGTCTCTTGCTGCATCGACAAACACTGAAATTACCTGGGGGGCCAGGATCCTGCTGGGATCATGCATCACCACAAGATCAACTTCCACAAATAACACCCAGGTTCCTTTGGGAAAGTTGGTATGCGGCATTACCACTTGAAGTGGAACCAGAGCTTTGCCCGAACGACTGCCCTACTGTAAACTTTGATAAATTGTGGACCTTGGTCAGTGAGCAGACATGGGTAAATGCTGCCAAAACCAAGACAGGAATTGGTCCCATCATTGATGTGGTGTGGCCAGGCTTCTACAAAGTTCCAGGTAAGGGAAAACTGCTAAAGCAGCCTGTCATCATGAAGGTCAAATGCTTCAGCAGAATTGCTGAGGAGAAGATTAGGGGTGTGAGTGTGGTGGGCCTTGTAGCTTGAAGCCACATGGAAGGAGAGTCATTAAATGCTAACAAATGCTTTTCAAATAAAAAAACAGATATGAATAATGACTCCATAGTGAAGATAAAATGGATAATAAAAAATCCCCAATTAATCTGAGACAGCAGGAAATGAGAAAAAAACCAAAGAATAAATAGAAAACAAGTAGAAACATGATCATTGTAATCCAAGCATATCAATAATCACATAACATGTGAATAGTTCAAATGCACAAATTTAAAGACAGTGAGTATCAGATTGGATGAAAATGCAAGACTGAAGTTTATGCTGCTTAAAAGAGACCCATTTCAAATACTAAGGTATGATGGGTTAAATGTAAAAGGTTGAAAATATATATGGTGCAAATATTAACAAAAAAAGCTGGAATATCAGAAAAAGTAGAATTTGAACAAAAATATTGTCAGAAAGAAAGAGAGACATTACTTAGTGATGAAAGGGTCAAGTCTCCAAGAACACATTGACAACCCTAGAGGTGTAGGCACTGAACTAGAGAGCTTCAAAATACATGGAACAAAAATTGCTAGAAATGAAAAGAAAAATAGACAAATCTACAATTATGGTTGGAGACTTAAAAATCCTCCATCAGGAACTGACAGAACAAGTAGGCAGAAAATCAGTACAGATAATGAAGACCTCCACAACACTTTAAACTGCCTTGACCTAGCTGACGTTTATAGATCACTCCACCTGATAGCAGAATACATATTTTTTTCCACGTGCACATTGACATTTACCAGGATAGATCACATTTTGGGCTTTAAGAAAACCTTAACACATTAAAAAAATAGAAATCATACAAAGAGTATGTTCATGTTATAATTAAAGTAGAATTCAATAATAGAAAATATTCTTGAAAATTCTGAAATATTTAGAAACTAAACATCATATTTCTAAATAACTCATGAGCCAAAGACGACATCTCAAAGGAAGTTTTTAAATGTTTTAAACTGAATTAAAATAAAAGGATATTTTTCTCAAACGTGTATGATGCAGTTTGGCAATGCTTATTGAGAGTTTTATAGCATGAAATGCTTATATTGGAAAATAAATGTCTCAGATTGATCATCAAACCTCCATACTTAGAAACTACAGAAAGAAGAGCAAGTTAAAGCCTAAAACAAGCAGAAGTAGGAAAATAATAGTTATAAGTTAAAATCAATAAAATTGAAAACAGAAAAACAATAGAGAAAACAAAACACAAAAGCTGGTGATATGGCTTGGCTCTGTGTTCCCACCCAAATCTCATGTTGAATTGTAATCTTCAGTGTTGGAAGAGGAGCCTGGTGGGAGGTGACTGAATCATGGGGGCAAACTTCCCCCTTGCTATCCTCGTGATGGGGTTCTCATGAGATCTGGTTTTTTGAAAGTGTGTAGCACTTCCCTCTTTGCTCTCTCTCTCTTCTGCCAGCAATGCGAAGATGTGCTCGCTTCCTACTTTGCCTTCTGCCATGATTGTAAGTTTCCTGAGGTCTCCCCAGCCATGCTTTCTCTACAGCCTGTGGAACTGTGAGTCAATTAAACCTCTTTTCTTTATAAACTACCCAGTCTCAGGTTGTTCTTTATAATGGACTAATACAGCTGGTTCTTTGAAAAGATAAATAGCACTGATTCTGAGATGCAGAGAAAACAGAAATTATCAACATCAGGAATGAAAGAGGGCACATTACTATAGACATTAAAAGGTACTAACACTATATGAACAACACTGTGTCTATAACCTCTACAAGTTAGATGAAGAGGAGTAATTTCTTGAAAGACACAAACCTCAGGAAGAAATACATAATCGAGTGAAAAAGAAATATAATTTGAATTATATTTCACTATCTCTTAAAAGATTGAATTTGTATTTAAAAACCTTCCAACAAATACAATCCCAGGCCCAGATGGTTTCCCTGGTGAATTCTACCACCCTTTAAGGAAAAAAATACTGTCAGTTCTAACACAACCCTTTCCAGAAAATAGAAGTATACTTCCCAACTAGTTTTATGAGACCAGTATTTACCCTAATTACAAAACCAGGCAAAAACATTATAGGAAAACTAGGGACAAATATCCCTCATTATCATAGATGCAACAATCCTTCACAAAATATTAGCAATTTGAATCCAGCAATATAGAGAAATACTACATCACGGTCAAAGCAGGGTTTATCCCAGGAATACAAGGCTGATTCAGCCATTCAAAATTGATCAATATTATTCACCATGTTAACAGACTAAAAGAAATGCATTAATCATCTCAATGAATGCAGGAAAAGGATTTGATGAAATTCAACTCAATTCAGTTCAAAATTCAATTAATGAGTGAATTCAATTTATTCATTCATGATAAAAATAAAACTCTGCAAAAGCTAAAAATAGAAGATAATTCCCTTAACCTGAGAAAGGATATCTATGAAGCACAAACATGTAGCTAACCCTATGCTAAACAGTGAAAGGTTGAATGACTTATTTCTCCACCTCCCAGAATTTGATCACAATCTGTCATTGTTTGATGTATTATAGTTTATCTATTCATAGATTGAAGGACATCTGGATTACTTCAGAGATTGGTAATTATGAATAAAACTGTTATGACAATTCATATATTGCAGGTTTTTGTGTAAACATACATTTTTGTTTTTCCTAGGTAAATACCTAGAAATGGGATTGCTGGGTCACATGGTAAGTATGTGTTTAATCTCATAAAAAACTGATAATATATTTTCTACAATGATTTAACTATTTTGCATTATATCAGCAAGATAAGAGAGCACCAGTTTCAGTTCCTATATCTTTGCCAACTCTTCAGATTGTTGGTGAATTTCTCTAATAGATAGATATGTTTCTGTCTAGTAGACATGTCTGGTATCTTATTGTGGTTTAAATTTGCACTTCCCAAATGACTAATACTGTTGAGGATGTTTTCATATGCTTGTCACCTGTATATCTTCTTCGTTAAAGAGTCTATTCACATTTTTTGCCCAATTTTTAAAAACTGAATTATTTTATTTCTTATTGCTGAATTTTAGGAACTCTTTATATAGTCTTAGTGGATGAAAGTCCTCTGTCAGAAATGTGATTTGAAAATATTTTCTTTTAGTTTGTGTCTTGTTTCATTCTCTATTGTATCTTTCGCAGAGCAAAAGTTTCACATTTTAATAAAGTCTAATTTATCAGTGTTTTCTTTTATGAGTCATAGTTTGAAGTTGCATATAAAAACTCTTCACCTAAATCAAGGTCATGAAAATTTTCTACTATGCTTTCTTATAGAAGGTTTATAGTTTTAGCATTTTTTTTCCAGTCTGTTTTGAGTTAATTTATGCATAAGGTGTGAAGTATGGATTGAGATTTATGTTTTTGTATAGGATTGTTCAATTATTCCAGTGTCATTTATTGAAAAGACTGTCATTTCTCCATGGAATTGCCTTTTCCAGCCTTGTCACAAATCATTTGTCTACTTTTGTGTGCACCTCTGTTGTGTTCTGTTGATTTGTCTGTCCTTTCACCAATGCCACACTGTCTTGACTGCTGAAGCTTTACAGCAAACTTGTCCAACCCACAGCCCGCAGGCCACATGCGGCCCAAGATGGCTTTGAATTCAGCCCAGTACAAATCCATAAACTCTCTTAAAATATGAGAATGAGATTTTTGCATGAACTTTTTTTCTTTTTAGCTCATCAGCTATCATTAGTGTTAGTGTATTTTCTGTGTGGCCCAAGACAGTTCTTCTTCTTCCAATATGGCCCAGGGAAACCAAAAGATTCGATACCCCTGCTTTAGAGTAAATCTTGGAATCGTGTAGGGTGAGTCCTCTGATCATTTGTTTCTCCTTTTCAAAAAATTGTTTCTGGCTATTTTATTTGCCTTATGTATATTTTAGAATCAGGTTATTTATATCTGTAAAACAGCCTGCTGGAAGATTGACTGGGACTGTGTTGAACCTATAGACTAATTTGGGAAGAATTGACATTTTAATAATATTGAATCTTCCAATCCATGAACACAATGTATTTCTTTTTGGACAGTATTAGTAGCCTCTGTAGCATCTGTTGGTTAAAACATAGGTGAGCGACATAGCTTTCTCCTTTTTAACCTCTCTATCCTGTTTATGCTACAATGTCATCAAGTCTCAGAACAAATTTTACTACATGAACAATAATTATCAAGTAGGCCCAAGAACACACTAACACGGTTTTTGAGTCTACTGTGGTAGGCTCTCTAATATATATTACAACTTTCTCTGCTGGTTTAAGATGAAGATAATTGAAGGTTCCTGGTAGCCTCCAGGATGAGGGTTTTGATTTGACTCTTTCAGCTGCTAATTAACCATCCCTTTTGAAGGGTGTAGGCCTGATTAGGGTGGTGATCCACATACAGCATCTTCCAGCATACATGAATGATTGTTTAGATGGCAGAGTTGTAAAGCAGAGGTTTGGCATTGATGAGAATGCTTCTGGCTGAGGACGGACCCCATGGAGCACACCTGACCAAGGGCCTGGCTACTGCACTTGAAACCCATAAGTGCTCTTCCTTTGAGGCCACACTTGCCCCGGGCTGCTTAGAGCCAGTGACCGAGTGCGGCAGGGATACCAAAGCAGATGTGATCCTGAGAGGCATGGGGTCCCTTTACTGGCTGACTTTAGCTCAAGGACTCCCCAACATGTCCTGCAAGTTCCCTGTGCAGCAGCCTAAGGTGCTTGCACCCAGTCTTCCCTCCTTTTCTTCTTTAGGCGAGGTCACACTTGCACTGTGCTGAAATGGCTCTCCCCCTCCCTCCCCACTTCTTTTGTACCCAAGCACTTTTCCTAATGAAGTCCTCGCTCATTTAACCCCATCTTGACGCCTGCTTTTTAGAATATGCCCACTAACAAAACATCACAGGCAGGTTTTTTGTTTGTTTTGTTTTGTTTTTTTTGAGGCAGAGTCTTGCTCTGTCGCCCAGGCTGGAGTGCAGTGGGGCGATCTCGGCTCACTGCAACCTCCACCTCCTGGGTTCAAGCGATTCTCGTGCAGCCTCCCGAATAGCTGGGATTACAGGCGCACGCCACCACGCCCGGCTAATTTTTGTATTTTTAGTAGAGACGCGGTTTCACCACGTTGGCCAGGCTGGTCTCAAACCCCTGACCTCAAGTGATCTGCCCACCTCGGCCTCCCAAAGTGCTGGGATTACAGGTGTGAGCCACCGCCTGGCCAAAACTATTTTGTAAAGGCGGGGTGTGGGCCTGGTGATGATTTCAAAGGGGCATGTGCGAAGATTTTCACAAAAGTTTTTAATTTTATTTTTAGAAGACCATCCTTCCAATCACAATCCTGATTCAGCAAAATGGTCAGACGACGACAGAGGTGTGAGTGGACCTTCTCCAGGCGACCCAAACTCACTCTGCGTGCCACGTTCAGGTCATGCCACGACAATTTCGCAGTAAGCCCCAGGACCTGGGGCGCGTTTTGAAGCCAATGGCCGTGAAGGGGAAGGAGCGACTCCATTTGGGAAGAAGAGTCTCAAAAGCGCCCTGGTGATGCCTCTGGGAGGCAGGGGCGGTCCTGGCAGGGTGGTTGATGTGGTCTGCGCAGCCTGCATCCCCGGCCTCCCTTTCCCTGACTTCCCGGTGGGTGCGACCAACGTGAGGCGCGGGTCCTGGGTGGGCGCAGAGAGTGCCCGGGAGTTTGTTTCCCTTCCTCCCTGCTCCCTGCTTGGCTCGCGCGGTCCTGCTGCTCTTCCTAGCTCAGGGCAGCTGGCCTCTCCCACGCAAGGCACCGGAGGAGAGCTTTGTCTGCACTGCAGTACCGCATTCTTGCCTCTTTCAGGCCTGGCAAGGTCACCGCTTCCTACAGTTCCTAGCCCCTGGGTGCTTTCTGCTGAGTTCCCTCCTTCTGCCCAGCTCCCACCTCTGCCGATAGCCCCTTTAGTAAACTCCTTTCAGCAAAACTCCTTGAAGGTTATTAAGAAGATGGAATAGGAAAAGGATTGCAAAGTCACCTGGGCGGTGTGGAGCCCCATGTGGGTATGGCATTGCTTTATGATCTGTTTACTGAATTACAGTTCCTAGTCTGTGAGGGGCCTCCAGGTAACTCTTGAAAAACCTAAAGTTCCCGAAGGGCTCTATTAATCTCCAGCCCCACACCCCACCCCATTTTTTAAATTACTCCGCATTCGGTGCTATTTTAATCACCTCACGCTACTTTAGGTGGTATAAAATCAGAATATTAACCAAATTGAAATGTCTGAGAATAGAAATAAGGGATGTAATTCCAAATTTCTCCCTGGTAATGGCCTCTCATTGATATTTCTCCTACTGCAGGCTTCCTTTTAAGACTCATGGCTTCAACTCCCAGCCTCCTGTAGTTTTTCTTTTATCCTGTTTTAAAATACAAGATAAATGTTGCCTGAGGTCTCGTGTTTTCTTGCAGGGTCATATTTGATCTACTGTACATAGTTGTATATTCTTACTAATGGAACACTGAAATATTTGTATCAGCAGGGTCCTGCCAGGTGACTTCTCTTAGAAAATGCTGCCTTTGTTGTTTTTGATAAAAATGATTGGCCTGTCTGCACCGAATTCATTGGGACTGCACTTTTTCTACAGCTAACCATTTCAAAGAAAAAGAAATGATAAATTCATACTTGTAACAGTTAAGTCAAGGCTACCAGTATTGCTTGTAAACCAAATAAATCAAGTCACTTTAAAAGAGCACTTCATGGCCGGGCACGGTGGCTCACGCCTGTAATCCCAGCACTTTGGGAGGCCGAGACAGGCAGATCACGAAGTCAAGAAATCCAGACCATCCTGGCCAACATGGTGAAACCCCATCTCTACTAAAAATACAAAAATTAGCCGGGCGTGGTGGTGGTGTGCACCTGTAGTCTCAGCTACTCGGGAGGCTGAGGCAGGAGAATTGCTTGAACCTGGGAGGCAGAGGTTGCAGTGAGCCAAGAATGCACCACTGCACTCCAGCCTGGCAACAGATCGAGACTCCGAAAAAAAAAAAGCACTTCATGATGGATTACTTATTTATTTAAATAACTTCCAACAATCAAAACATTAAAATGCAAAGAAATTTGAGTAAAATGCAAAGAAATTTGAGTGCAATCTCGGCTCACTGCAACCTCTGCTTCCCAGGTTCAAGCAGTTCTCTGCCCCTCCCAAGTAGCTGGGACTACAGGCATGCGCCACCACGCCCAGCTAATTTTTGTATTTTTAGTAGAGATGGGTTTTCACCATGTTGGCCAGGATGGTCTCGATCTCTTGACCTTGTGGTCTGCCTGCCTTGGCCTCCCAAAGTGCTGGGATTACAGGCGTGAGCCACCACACTCAGCCAAGTTTACCTTTTAACATGGACACAGGGAGGGGAACATCACACACCACACTGGGGCCTGTCGGGGGCGGGGGGCGAGGGGAGGGATAGCATTAGAAGAAATACCTAATGTAGATGACGGGTTGATGGGTGCAGCAAACCACCATGGCACGTGTATACCTATGTAACAAACCTGCACCTTCTGCATATGTATCCCACAACTTAAAGTATAATAAAAAAAAAAAGAAAAAGAAAATAACTGGAAATCTCTAATTTAGTTGTCAACAGGTAATTGTTATTAACGGTAACATTATCATGTGTGTCAATTTGTTCAGTTAATCACTAAGCCACCCTATAATCCTAATGCATTTTTAAGGACAAAGCGATTCATCTTAAAATTGATTACTAGTTAATGACATCTATAATTAGGGGCTGGGGTGAGAAGAAACATTCTTATTCTCTAAAGCCTCAGGCAGTAAAACAAGAGCCTTAGCTTGAAAGGCCTTTAGTTTTCTGGGGAAAAGGTGTTCAAGGCTGCTGCTTTTTGAATGGGTGTGCAGTTTTCTGCTATTGAACCCATGAGTCTTTTTACTGTGGGGGCCTCTTGAGTTTCGTTGGATTCTGGTTCATTCCATATGAAACAATAGCATTCTTGGTAACATTTGGCAATAACCAAGTCTTGGGAGAAATTTAGTTTAAAAAACGCTTCAGGGTGGGTTTTACAGGACAGTGGCTCTCTACCAGGGACAATGTTGCCCCTCCCCAGGGGATATTTGGCAAGAACTAGACATGTTTTTGATCACCAGGATGCAAAAGGGGGTGCTCCTGGCTCGTGGGTAGACACCAGGGATGCCACTCAACATTCTACAATGTATAGGACACCCCCCACAACAAAGAACAATCTGGTCCAAAATGTCAATAGTGCTGCCGCAGAGAAACTCTGGTAGAGGATGCTGAGAATGATGGGGGCTCTTTGCTTTCCTCAAAGATGGCGTGGGCCTCATGGATCAATTCTGTGGTAGAAAGGGAACTACAAATGAACGACAGCTGACGTGTGGGAGCATCGGATCTTATTGGCCTCTCAGGGTCTCTCCTCAAAGCAGGCCGCACTCAGAGATTCTTACTGACTGGATTCCCGTTTTTGTTTTTTTATTGTGGTTGCTGTTTGTTTTGAGACGGAGTTTTGCTCTTGTTGCCCAGGCTGGAGTGCAATGGCGCAATCTCAGCTCACCGCAACATCCACTTCCCGGGTTCAAGCGATTCTCCTGCCTCAGCCTCCCGAGTAGCTGGGATCACAGGCATGCGCCACAACGTCCAGCTAATTTTGTATTTTTAGTAGAGATGGGGTTTCTCCATATTGGTCAGGCTGGTCTTGTACTCCCAACCTCAGGTGATCCACCCGCTTGGGCCTCCCAAAGTGTTGGGATTACAGGTGTGAGCCACCATGCCCGGCCTAGATTCCTGTTTTAGTAAAACTCAATTGTTTAGGCTTTTTCTTTTAACTTGTTTGAAAAGGTCAATATATATATGTACTTTGTTTAACTTTTCAAACAAGTTAAAAGAAAAAGATTTTTTATATATATATATATGTATGTATATATATATATATGTATGTATGTGTGTGTGTATATATATATATATATATATATATATATATATATATATATATATATATATATATATATATATTTAAGCTGACTAAAGCCAAGGAAGTATTTCCTTTGGGATTTCTACAAATTTTCCTTTCTTCCCTCTTTTTTAAAAAAAATTCCACATGGACCATCAATGTTCACCATTGTCCATTGTGTTATAGATACAAAGAAAACAGGCTGATAGGTGGGAAACCTTTCCAAATGCAACCACAATAACCCTCCAAAGGAAAATGGCCCTTCAGCCATTTAAAATGTTTCTGAGAACTGAACAAAGTGAACTGCACTGTATAATGAATTTGAGCTTCTAATTGGCTAAACCTCTTTTTGTTTAGGAGAGAGAAATGAAGAGGGCTATGTCATGCCCAGGGTGGAGCCAAGCTTGAGTCAAGCAAAGGGAGGTTTGATTTCGAATTATCTTGGTTGCACCACTTCCCTCTGGGGCTTTCAAAGCACTGCATCAGAGAGATGAAAATCGATAAGAGAACATTTCTATAGCACTTTTGGTTTTTTGGAGGAAGTGTCATGGAGATGGAAGCAGTATCATTGTTCACATTAGACTCAGTACAGTCATATAACAGAGAGGAACACACTGAGCAGAGTGCTTTGTGATGACTTCATCTTTTTCTGATCTAATAGCCGTTAGCAGCTAACATAGGTCCATATGGAGAGCCTGCCACATAGCTCATATTACCAGCCTAATGATTTTGTTGGGTTCCTTTTATTTATTTTTTGTCATTGTCAGTATTCAATATAACTTACTTTTGAAAGTCTAACCAAAAATATAGGCAAGTGAATTTTAAAAATGTATATAATGAGCCCTCAATAAAATCCTAGTAAATTGTCAATTTTATTTTCAGGATATGTTTCACTGGTAATATAGGTATATATATTTTTTGAGATGGAGTTTCGCTCTTGTTGTCCAGGCTGAAGTACAATGGTGCAATCTCTGCTCACTGCAACCTCCGCCTCCCAGGTTCAGGCGACTCTCCTGCCTCAGACTCCTGAGTAGCTGGGATCACAGGCATGCACCACCATGCCCAGCTAATTTTGTATTTTTAGTAGAGACGGAGTTTCTCCATGTTGGTCAGGCTGGTCTCAAACACCCAACCTCAGGTGATCCGCCTGTCTTGGCCTCCCAAAGTGCTGGGATTACAGGCATGAGCCACTGTGCCCAGCCTCACTGGTAATATCTTAAAACAAGTTATTGGCATGTAAAAATGTTTGAAAGTGCAAAGATAGATATAAACTCAAAATAGTAGAATATTTCTATGAAATCTTTTAACATTTCATCTTATTTAGCGCTTAACATATTAATTATTGAGCATTTGTTAAACACTGTGTTTTATATGGAAGTGATCAAAACAGACCATCAGATTGAAACACAGTTGAAACCTAACAAAGATAAGAAAAGTATATATTGATCAGAGATAAGAGAAGATAGAGAAATATTTATATGGAGAAATTTTATAGCAAGTGATATATCTATTTGGAATACAGCAATTGTATTGGTGGGATTCTCCTCTGAATAAAAAGATTTCAATGTGAAGAGAAAAGAAATTGTATAGATTGCCTCCAAAGGGCACTGGGGCTTTGGTCAAAAATAACAACTTCACAACAGAGGAGCAAAGTAAAAAGCTCATGTTCTACCAGGCAGGAGATGGGGGCTGTACATTGGGTCGCAGGTGATGTTAGGCCAAAGAAGATGGTGTTCTGCCCTGGCTCCTGCTGAGGTCAGGGTCATAGGCATGCATCAGCAGGGCCACTTAGGAAGCAGGTCTTTGTACAAGCCACAGGAGCCAGGAACAAAGTCAGGGGAAGGCAACACTTTCCTCAAGAAACTATGGATATTCATCACACTGTTCAAGGAATGGGTATGAGCAAGTTTATAAATGCATCAACAGAGACTCTCGTGATCCTAGCTAAGGTCAGGGTGAAATTTCTGTTTTTTTTTTTTTTTTTTTTTTTTTTTGAGATGGGGTCTCGCACTGTTGCCCAGGTTGGAGTGCAGTGGCGCAATCTCCGCTCATTGCAAGCTCCACTTCAGGTCAGGGTGAAATTTCTTTCGAGACTAGAAGTTTGGATATTAGGGATGTATCCTTTGATATAATTCTTTCTTTTTTTGTCCGTCAAGGGACCTATTGTATCAGGTCTCTGATCTTCCCTCACTTAATTAAGCATTTCTTACTTCTACATACATATTGACCTGAAAGTTAATATAAGTTGAACTCTGCAGTCCTTCAACATCGAGCTGCAGGGCCAAAGCACAGGCTTCCTATGAAGGGAGGATTGCATCTGAATTCTGAATTTGCCACTTGATCGTTGTGTGTCCTCGGGCAAATTACTTGCCATTCCCAAGCCTTACTAATTTTCTCATTTTTGTTACAATATTGTTAGGATTAGAGGACATGGATTTTTTTTTTTTTTTTTTTAAGACAGGGTCTCACTGCGATGCCTAGGCTGGAGTGCAATGGTGCGATCTTGGCTCACTGCAACTTCCGCCCCGGGTTCAAGTGATTCTCCTGCCTCAGCCTCCTGAGTAGCTGGGATTACAGGCACCTGCCACCATGTCCAGCTAACTTTTATATTTTTAGTAGAGATAGGGTTTCACCATGTTGGTCAAGCTGGTCTCGAACTCCTGACCTTGGGTGATCCACCTGCCTCAGCCTCACAAAGTGCTGGGATTACAGGCGTGAGCCACCGCGCCCAGCTGGGGACATGGATTTTTAATATGACGAACAGGGTGCCTGGAATATAGTAGGAGCTTACAAGATGTTAGCGCTAACTAATTTGGGACACACTGGTCACCTATCAGGTTAAAAGAATCAAACACATTTTGGAGTGTCTAACCCATCCAGGACTCCAAGAAGGACTTGGCATCAGGGATGAAACTTAGCAGTGAAAGCAGCAGAATGTTTTCAAGAAACCTCACCATCAAGCTCCCAGGCACCTCAGTGTTTGCTGAATTGATTCCAAATGCTTATTTAGGGGAGGTAGCCAAAAGAACTCTAGAGTCTTAAACAAACACAGGCAGAATTATAAACACCATTCATGCTGCAGATCACAAACATCAGATTCTCAATTTTTTTTTTTTTTTTTTTTTTTGTGGAGACAGAGTCTTGCTCTGTCCCCCAGGCTGGAGTGCAGTGGCACAATCTCGGCTCACTGCAACCTCCTCCTCCCAGGTTCAAACGATTCTCTTGCCACAGCCTCCCAAGCAGCTGGGATTACAGGCCATCGTGTCCAGCTAATTTTTTGTATTTTTAGTAGAGACAGGGTTTTGCCATGTTGATGAGGCTTGTCTCCAACTCCTGAACTCAGGTGATCTGCCCTCTTTGGCCTCCCGAAATGTTGGGATTACAGGCGTAAGCCACCGCGCCTGGCCCGCAAATTCATTTAATGTGTAAGAAGAAGCAACAAGAGCAGAGGCCTAATTCTCCCCCAGGCCACTTTGTATTGATCTCATTTCCTCTCAGGATGTTTAGTTAAACTAGACATCATGGTCATACTTGATAGGAGAGGGGTCTGTCATAGTAATATTAGGGCCCGCCTTCTAGATACAGGGAAGGGCAGTGGTCAGATGTTCTCTACGAATAAGAACTCTCTTGGTCATTAATTATTTGGCAGATAAAGAGCTTTGTTAGAATCAGAAAGTGTCTCCTATGGTCTGATTGTTTTTCCTACCCAGAAGAATTGATGTTAAGTTATCCCACCCTTACATTTGCAGGTACTTCAGAGTGCCCCTCTAACAGATGAGGACTTATTTATTTAAAAATGTAATCCCAATGCCAGGATCACACCTAAAAACAATTCCTTCCTACAATCTAGTCAGAGCCCAGATTTCCCCAATTGTCTCACAAATATTATTTTACTATTAGGCTTTTTTGAATCAAGAAGACCCAGAGAAAAACCACAACCTAAATTTGATTGACATATTCCTTCTTATTTCTTCCTTGTCATTTTTTTATTGTTGTTGAAGAAATTGGGCCAATTATCTCATTTGTTAGATATAGCTGGACAATGGCAGGTATGAAATGGGTACTTTTATGGCTTTGAATGAGTTTCTGAATATGCTGCTTAATTAATGATGTTTTTTTCTTATCTCTGATTGCCAAGCCCCTCAAACCCTGCTGCTTCCCTCTGGCTCTGTCTCCTACCTGGTGTTTGAGCATCATGCTGGGTCCTGCTGTTCCTGCTGCTTTCTCTTTCTCACTCATCACCTATGTCGTCTCCTAGGTCTCAACTCCAGGTGTGTGTCCTGTCCACACAGTAGCTCTCTCCAGCTCCCTTGACTAGGTAAAGCCCCCTAGTATATACATCCTCATTGTTTCATGTGCCTTCACTTTGTATCATTCATCAGGGTCATTGCCTTACTTTTATTTGTGTGAGTCATTGTTTGATGTCTATTTTTCCTTCTACTCTACTCATATCCCATTGTATTTCGACAGTGTCTTCTTTTCGTCATTGTGTTCCCAGTACTTAGCACCATGCTTGCCATATGGTAAATGCTCAAGGAATATTTGTGGAATGAAGATATACACTGTCTATGGACTTTAAAAAGTATCTACACAATCCTGCATATATAAGGTATGGAAATAATTGTACATTCCACCCTCTGCCTCTGTGACTTCCTCCACAATTAGATGTCTGCATTTATATAACTCTCACAATGGCCTTGGATAATGTGTCTGTGTTGAACCATAATTACTGCTGTTTTGTAATTTTCAATCTATCTAAGTGTGTTCAGTGCTCACCATCTGTCCTTCTCCATGCTAATTGTAGTTATCTCTTAGTTGCTGGCTTTAGTCCCTAAGATGGTTCTTCAAGGAGGGCTCATGAGTGCAGTGGTCCATGACACATTTAAAAATACCTGAATGTGGGCTGGGCGCAGTGGCTCACACCTATAATCCCAGCACTTAGGGAGGCCGAGGCGAGTGGATCATGAGGTCAGGAGTTTGAGACCAGACTGGCCAAGATGGTGAAACCCTGTCTCTACTAAAAATACAAAAATTAGCTGAGCGCAGTGGCGGGCGCCTGTAATCCCAGCCACTCGGGAGGCCGAGGCAGGAGAATTGCCTGAACCTGGGAGGTAAAAGATGCAGTGAGCCGAGATTGTGCCACTGCACTCTAGCCTGGGTGACAGAGACTCCGTCTCAAAAAACAAACAAACAAACAAACCTGAATGTTGTGATGGTGTTCAGGAAAATGCTACTCCAAAATATGACACCTTGGCACTTGAGAAATGGCGGAAGCAGGAAGGTTACCCTCAACTTCCTGGCCCCTTCTCCCCTGAAACAGACTGTAAAATCTACGAAGGATTTTCTGACCTTTCCCTGAAGCAGGTTGTAAGGCCTTCATGTGAGAGGTGCTCTCTCCATACTGGAAAGAAAGGAAAATCCTTAACTCTGAGGACAAAGGGACAGAGAAAAATCTGAGCAAGCAGGCCTTGCTAAGTTCCTCTTAGTTTATTGCCATTAGATCACACTCCTTTGTCCATTTATATTTCTCCTTGATGGTTCACTCCTCATCAAACATAGCATAAAAATACACAAGTATAACAGTTTCTGTGAGTCTGCATTTCCTTATGAAGGCTCCCATGTCCTGGAAAGCTTTTATTAAGTAAATACACTTTTCTCTTGTTAATTTGTCTTTTGTTATAGGGACTTCAGCCATGAACCCAGCAATGGGTGAGGAAAAGATATTTTTCTTCTCGTCTTCTTTTTTTTTTTTTTTTTTGGTCTGAGACAGAGTCTCACTCTGTTGCCCAGGCTGGAGTGCAGTGGCGTGATCTCGGCTCACTGCAAGCTCCGCCTCCTGGGTTCACACCATTCTCCTGCCTCAGCCTCCTGAGTAGCTGGGATTACAGGTGGCTGCCACCATGCCTAGCTAATTTTTTTGTATTTTTAGTAGAGATGGGGTTTCACTGTGTTAGCCAGGATGGTCTCGATCTCCTGACCTTGTGATTCGCCTGCCTCGGCCTCCCAAAGTGCTGGAATTACAGGCATGTACCACCACGCCCGGCCTAATTTTTGTGCTTTTAGTAGAGATGGGGTTTCACCATATTGGCCAGGCTGATCTAGAACTCCTGACCTCATGATCTGCCTGTCTTGTGTCTGCAGTTGGTTCCTGCTGGTGGGTTCAGGATCTCGCTGACTTCAATAATGAAGCTGCAGACCTTCGCTGTGAGTGTTATGGCTCTTAAAGATGGCACGGACCCAAAGAGTGAGCGGTAGCAAGGTTTATTGTGAAGAGCGAAAGGACAAAGCTTCCAGGGTGTGGAAGGGGACCCAAGTAGGGTGCCTCTGCTGGCTGGGGTGGCCAGCTTTTATTCCCTTATTTGTCCCCTCCCATATTCTGCCATATTCTGTTTTTGTCCTATCAGAGTGCCTTTTTTTCGGTCCTCCCTGTGATTGGCTACTTTTAGGATCCTGCTGATTGGTGCATTTTACAGAGTGCTGATTGGTGCATTTTACAGAGTGCTGACTGGTGCATTTTACAATCCTATTGCTAGCTGCAGAGTGCTGATTGGTGCATTTTACAATCCTCTTGCTAGCTACAGAGTGCTGATTGATACATTTTTACAGAGTGCTGATTGGTGCGTTTTACAATCCTAGCTACAGAGTGCTGATTGCTGCATTTTACAATCCTTTTGTAAGACAGAAAATTTCTCCAGGTCCCCACTTGACCCAAGAAGTCCAGCTGGCTTCACCTCTCAGTTTCAGCCTCCCAAAGTGCTGGGATTACAGGCATGAGCCGCCATGCCCAGCCCCTTCCCCTGTCTTTACACTTGAATGATAGCTTGGTTGGGAAGAAAATGTTGAGTTATGTGTGTCAAACAATTAGGAAGAATATCAAGATTTCGCAGGGGTGTGTGTGTGTGTGTGTGTGTGTGAGACAGAGAAACACAGTCTATTTCAATGACCTTCTAGTAGGCTTTATAATTCAGAATATTTCTAGTCTCAGTGCTTCATATGGAGAAAAAACTGGAGTCTTTCATTGCAGTCTCTGTAATGAATTAAATCAACTGTTGAATTAAAATATAAAACCTTGCTGTTTATCTCGTTCTGTAACCATCATTTTTGTTGTTGATATTTATGTTAGAGTAGGCTGATAGCTAGACATGAGCAGTAGTGGGAGGAAGCCTCACATCTGAGGGACCACCCAAAATGTGCATGCTAATAACATCGCTAATGCTGGAGTGGGCCAGCAATTAGTCAGATGTGGGGGGGAAAGGAGGGGAGATACCTACGCAGAAAGGAATGCCCCCAAACACCCTGTAATCATTCACTCTGCAGTTAGCCTGTCGGAATGTATCTAGCTGCATACTGATAAGAAGGGAAAAAGGACAAAGGGAAAATATCTAAGACACAGCCCAGTGCAATAAGTACAGGTTTGACCTCCATAGACCTTCCTGGGGTGGTGGTCACGAGCAAGGCTGCTGTTAGGAAGGATTCATAGCCAACACCAGCTCGCACATGAGCATCAACTGATGGTAAGGGGGCGTCCACAGACCAGGGCAGGGAACTAGGCTGGGAGAAAAGGCTGAGACCTAAGACATGGCCAGGCACAGCGGCTCACTCCTGTAATCCCAGCACTTTTGGGAGGCCGAGGCAGGTGGATCACGAGGTCAGGAGATCAAGACCATTCTGGCCAACATGGTAACACCTGGTCTCTACTAAAACACAAAAAAATTAGCCGGGCGTGTGCCTGTAGTCCCAGCTACTCGGGAGGCTGAGGCAGGGGAATCACTTGAACCTGGGAGGCGGAGGTTGCTATGAGCCGAGATCATGCCACTGCACTCCAGTCTAGTGACAGGACAAGACTCCGTCTCAAAAAAAAAAAAAAAAGAAGAAGCAGGAACTTAAGTTTTTTGTTTGTTTGTTTGTTTGTTTTTTGAGACGGAGTCTCGCTCTGTCGCCCAGGCTGGAGTGCTGGAGTGCAGTGGCGCAATCTCGGCTCACTGCAAGCTCCGCCTCCCGGGTTCACGCCATTCTCCTGCCTCAGCCTCCCGAGTAGCTGGGACTACAGGCGCCCGCCACTACGCCCGGCTAATTTTTTGTATTTTTAGTAGAGACGGGGTTTCACCTTGTTAGCCAGGATGGTCTCGATCTCCTGACCTCATGATCCACCCGCCTCGGCCTCCCAAAGTGCAGGGATTACAGGCGTGAGCCACCGTGCCCGGCCAGGAACTTAAGTTTTAAACTGTCCCTCTTAATAAAAACCACAACGCAGGGCTCTTGGGACTGTTTCCAGCCCTGTCAGCCTGCTTCTCTCTTGCAGTGTTCTTTTATTTCCTTAATAAGCCCTTTGCTTACTTGACTAACTGGTCTCTTGGCCAAATTCTTTCTTCTGAGAAGGTTAAGAACTGAGGACCCCACACTTCCTGATAGCATATAGCTTAAATCAAGATAATTATTGTAAGAGGAGGATTGAAGCATTATGTTGTTATTTATCCCAGAAATTCCAATCCTAGTTTTGTACCCTAGAGAAATGTTCACACATGTGCTGAAAGAACTGTATCAAAGAAGGTTTATTTCAACATTGTTTATAAGAGCTTAAAATGTGGAAACAAGCTAAATGTCTCAGCAAGATGATTAATTGCTGTTTATTCATATAATGTAATATTACAAATCAGTGGAAATAATGAGCCAAAGCCGGACATTAAAAATATAGATAAATTTCAATTATATGTTGAATTTAAAAGAGAAAATTGCAAAGGAATACTATACATTGTATATGAATATGGAGAAATGTACCAAGGACAGACAATGCCAAATGCCAAAAGCCAACGAGCTGGGAGTGGGAGCCTTGGGGAGGGGCAGGAGGAGGAGGGAATGCATTTGGACGGAGGCAGGTAAGTGGGGCCTTCCACGTATTTGTATCATTTTATACCTCTTCTAGGGTTAAAATATTTAATAGCACTAAAGAAAGCTATGTTGTTGAGTAAAAGTTAACCTCTGGTAATTAAAGCCTACCTCATTGTTTTTTTACTAAATACGGAGTGGCTCAACAGTTCATAAAACCTCCCCACCCATGTTATTTTCTTATCTCCTTCCTACTTTTCTCTGATTCCTTTCAGAACTCTTCCTTCCTTTCCTCCCGCTGATGATGCATCTGAAAAACTAGATGTATGTCCTACCTATCTATTGATTGATCTATCTATTCTCTGTATATCCATCAATTCATACATCTATGTCTATCTTTCTAATTTATGTGGCTGTTCATCCATCCATCCCACTCATCCGTCCGTCCATCCATCCATCCATCCATCCACCCATCCACCCATCTCTCTATCTCTCTCTATCTAACTATTCATCCACTCAGCAATCTATCTGGCATGCATCTGTCTAGATGTATATCTCTAGGGAGAACTGCTGGTTTACTCTACTGATGCCAGGTTTGACTTAAATCCCTCTATCTGACAGAACCAGTTCTCAAATGCTTTGAACTTGAGAAAAGCTTCCTCAAAAAAGAGGAGGAGGAGAAGTATAATCCCAATAGCTTTCCAAAAGACCAGCACTAGTTACACTGAATTTGTCAGCTCTGCTGAGCCTTTGAGTTCTGTTCTGAGCAGGAGAAGCTGTCAGAGGTCCCTGTGATTTCCTTTCGGTTGCCGGAGGCAAGCCACTGACGGTTGTCTTTTATGCTGTTATTTATCGCTTGCTGATCTTTCTTGGAAGACTGTCACTTCAGTGTTTTCATTTCAGGCCTCATTCATAGCTTCCACGCTGTGACTGCTGAGAAGCTGTTCATGCCGCAGTCATCTCTCACCTTACGTTCGAAGTGAGATTGAAGTTGGGTCTGAAGGAAAAATAGGAGAAAATGTGTCCTACACAATATGTAATTTTTGGGGGTTTATTTGCCCAGAGTTCCCTAGAGAGTAGCAGCTAAATGATTTCCCTTGCTGTCTCTTTGAGGCATTATTAAAGGTGATTATCTGCGGGGAATGGATTGCTACTCTATTACTATTTTCAGAAGAGTGAACAAAATGTTTAGTTTTCCCCTGCATTTGAACATATGATATATCGGGGTGCTGCGGTGACTCAGCTGGCTGGGACACACTGCACGGACGGCACACATCGATCGGCACAGGATGGGGAGATGAAACAAGCAGGCTAGGATACCACTTTTGCTTGACCCAAAGCAAGAAATGTCAAGTAGCGGGCTTTATCCTGGAACCTTTCAAAATGTTTTTGCCTGGTGCAGTTGAATACATGTATTAGAAATCTATACAGAGATGTCATCTGTAGAGTCTTAGAAAATAATACCCCCAAAATTAGGACTTCAGAAGCAGCTCTCTCTGGCCTTTTCCTGCCCTCGTGTCTCTCACCCTTCATTGTCCCCTAGATCAAACCATGGAAACTAGAACCCCTCTCTCTTGCTCAAGGCGGATCTCCAACGCCAGACATAAAACCTAAAAATATTACTCAATTTCCCCTCTGCAAATGTGTAAAAACTGCCATGAAGAAATGATCTGACTTATCTTGTTTGATTGTAGGTCATAAGACCCTCATTCCACAGAAGGTCCTACCCCATATCCAGAAGGAAGTATCAAAGAAAAAAAAAAAGCTTTTAAATAATTGGGCCGGGCACAGTGGCTCACGCCTGTAATCCCAGCAATTTGGGAGGCTGAAAGGGAGGATCTCTTGAGCCCAGGAGTCTGAGACCAGCCTGGGCAACATAGTGGAATCCTGTCTGCAAAAAATACAAAAATCAGCCAGGCAAGGTGATGCACACCTGTAGTCCCAGCTACTTAGGAGGCTGAGGAAAGAGGATTGTTTGAGTCCAGGAGGTCGTGGCTGCAGTGAGCCATGATAGTACCATAGCACTCCAGCCTGGGTGGCAGAGTGAGACCCTGTCTCAAAAAATAAGAACAAGAATTAAAGTTAGTTCTATTCAGAAGTCTTACTGAGGACTGTAGGCACAGGCCTATAGTCGGGAAGCAGTTCTGTGAGACGGCTCTGGCCGTGTTTTAGCCACTGCTTATACACAGGAGGTGGGGCTCATACGGGCAAAATTACATCACACTTGCTCAGAAGTTACGTTCAAGCACAATCACATCAAGGTTTGGGTGTAAGAATACATCTGGTTATAGATCACTAAAGTACATTTGGTTATAGATTATAGACGCATAATCACTAACCCTGCCAGACGTCTTCTTTCTTTCTTTCTTTCTTTTTTTTTTTTTTGAGATGGAGTCTCACTCTGTTGCCCAGGCTGGAGTGGAGTGCAGTGGTGTCATCTTGGCTCACTGCAAGCTCCACCTCCGAGGTTCACACCATTCTCCTGCCTCAGCCTCCTGAGTACCTGGGACTAGAGGCGCCCACCACCACACCCGGCTCAGGTTTTCACCGTGTTAGCCAGGATGGTCTTGATCTCCTGACCTCGTGATCCGCCCGCCTCGGCCTCCCAAAGTGCTGAGATTACAGGTGTGAACCACCGCACCTGGCCCAGACATTTTCATATTTGTAGGAAAAGGCAAGGAGTAGGATCATTTATCTTTTGAGGAATATAGTGACTCGGGCAAGAGACATGGGGGGCCACGTGCTTTATTCCGTTTTGTCTTCAAAGCATCTTTCCAAGAGCTGCACAGGGTCCTCACAGAGTCAGGGGCTTTGGGAAATTATGCTGGCAACCCTTCTTCTGCTTGTTACTTCATCTCACAGAAGGAATCCTGCTCAGAGGCCAAGAAGAATCTAGACAGACAGGCCTCGCTGGGTTCCCCTCTCAACCTACTAGCATTAGACCCTGCCCCTTCTATCCAATCCTGGGGTAGGGGCTAATGCTAATAGGTTATGAATTTAAGCATAAACATGGGCATTTTCCCCTGTATCTTTGGGTCTTCATTCTGAAGGCTCCTGTGTCACATAAAACTGTGGTCACATAAATTTGTGTGCGTTTGCTCCTATTAATCTGCCTCTTGGCAGTGATTTTCAGCAAACCTTCAGAGGCCAAAGGGGAAAATTTCCCTCCGTCTCTACAAATCTATATCGAGACTAAGGGATCTGGGACTGGTCTGAGATTTCTCTAAGCCAAGGACCCTGCCTGCCCTCCAGTCCCACCAATACCACCATCTCTTCAACTAGGATCCACTAAGAGCCTCAGATCTGCATTCTAGGTGGTATTGAGCTGCAGATTACAGGAAACTCAGGTTTATAGGGCAGCAGCCTCTTTCTTATCTTCACAAGGGCAGGAAAGGGTCTGAACTTCTTTTGTGTGTCTTTTAAAACCAAGACAATATGTGTTCAGCTAATATTGATTAAAGGATCAGCCCTGCATCTTTCAGTCTCTAAATCGTAACACTGTATCATGAAGCCACAATGATTAAAACAGTGACCTGCTTGTAAAGAATAGACAAATTACTGGAATAGTGTAGAGTCTTGAAGTAGCCCCAAATAGTTAAGAAAATTTAATACACGATAATTTGAAAGCAGTGGGGGAGGAGATGGGTTATTTAATAAATGGTTGAGACAACTGAAGAAAAAGATTATAACTCTCCTGATACCAAATCCATTCCAAATGACTTAAAAATTTAAATGTAAAAACTGTCAGCATGGGAGAATTTTAAAAGAATATTAAGAAAATAGTAAGAGCTGGGAAGATCCTTTTGAACAATACTCAAAACCAAGATACCATGAAAAGTAAACA
Source organism: Homo sapiens (assembly GCF_000001405.40). Taxonomy (NCBI): domain Eukaryota; kingdom Metazoa; phylum Chordata; class Mammalia; order Primates; family Hominidae; genus Homo; species Homo sapiens. The sequence goes on from NC_000002.12 coordinate 106,326,797, forward strand.
TTAATACACGTGACTACATTTTAAAAATTTCTACAAAGCAAAAAATGCAAAAAGTGAAAGTTAAAAAAAAGTTAGAATTCAAACCACAAACTGGGCAAATAAATACTTGCAATGAATATAACAAGCACTTAATCATTTAATATAAAATCATTAGCCCACCAATAAGAAACAGACCTTAGAAAATGTGCAAAGGATATGAATAAGCAAGGTATTAAGAAAGAAATCTAAGTGACTCAACCACCTGAAAGGATGCTTGTTCTCACTGAAAATTAAAGAAATATAAATTAAAATAATGAGATGTCACTTTGTACCTATCAGATAAATCAGATGATCCATCAAAATCAGAAAATTCAGTAATACACAGGGAGTGGGGAAATGGCATTTCCAACATTCCTATACATTGCTGGTGGGAGCGTAAGCTTATCTTTAGAGGGCAATTAGACAATATTCTTCCAAAATGCACATACTTTTAAATTTGGTAGTTCAACTTTTAGAAATTGATTCTACTGATGTTCGTACAGGTGCACAATGAAATGTAAATATTTATTGCGCCACTTTTTATAGGAGCCTAACTCTAGACAAAACCTAAGTGTTTACCAAACAAGAGGACTTGTTAAACAAATTATAAAATAGTATTATCTGATAATGAAATTATTAACATTGCTGTTATAAATCAAGTAGATCTATGTATGCAACGATGAAATAATCTTCTAGATATACTGTTTAGTTAAAAAATGCACAGGGGGCCGGGTGCGGTGGCTAAGCCTGTAATCCCAGCACTTTGGGAGGCCGAGGCGGGTGGATCACGAGGTCAGGAGACCGAGACCATCCTGGCTAACACGGTGAAACCCCGTCTCCACTAAAAATACAAAAAAATTAGCCGGGGTTGGTGGCGGGCGCCTGTAGTCCCAGCTACTCAGGAGGCTGAGGCAGGAGAATGGCCTGAACCCAGGAGGTGGAGCTTGCAGTGAGCCGAGATCGTGCCACTGCACTCCACCTGGGCGACAGAGCGAGACTCCGTCTCAAAAAACAAAATGCACAGGGGCTGGGTGCACTTGCACATGCCTGTAATCCTACCACTTTAGGAGGCTGAGGTGGGTAGATTGCTTGAGCCCAGGAGTTTGAGACCAGCCTGGAAAACATGGAGAAGCCCTATCTCTACTAAAAATACAAAAAATTAGCCAGATGTAGTGGCAGATGGCTGTAGTCCCAGCTGCTTGGGAGGATGAGGTAGGAGGATCACTTGAGTCTGGGGCGGTGGAGGCTGCAGTGAGCTGTGATCACACTACTACACTCCAGCCGGGGTGACAAAGTGAGACCCCATTAAAAAAATGCACAAGATAGCACAGGATAGTGTATTCCTCTTTGTGGGATTTCAAGTAAATGAGCAAATGATGAAATACTCTAAAAATCAAACTGGGCAATTGGCTATCACAATACATGCAAAATATAATTTAGTTTCAGGAACAGGAAAGAACACAAGGTATAATAATAATATAGTTTGAGCATTTGTAATCCAACAATCCAAAATGCTCCAAATCCAAAACTCTTTGAGCTCTGACCTGCTCAAAGGAAATGCTCATTGGAGCATTTTGCATTTCAGATTTTTGGATTAGGAATGCTCAACTGGTTTGTATTCTACAAATATTCCCAAGTCTGAAAAAATCTGAAATCTGAAACATATCTGCTCCCAGGAATTTTGGATAAGGGCTGCTCAACTTATAATAATAATAGCAATACCAATAATACCATATATAATATGAGAAAATGCAGAAAATAATTTTTTTAATAAACTTTGATTGAGGAAAACTCTAAGCAACTGCAAAACCCAGTAGTCATAAAATTAAATAAGCTGACAGATTCCACTACAGGAAGATTTTTAAACTTCTGAATATCAAAGGACAGCATAAACAAAAAGGGAATTAATGGAAGAAAATAGTTAATGTGTAGAAGAGATAGATGAATAAGTCTGCATGTGCAAAGAGCTACTAAAAAATCTACTAAAAACAAAAGGTAAATAACCCAATAGAACAGGAATTGTAAAACCAAGTGCCTGCAGAGGTGAGGCAGGTCACAGGAGAAGGTCAGTGGCCTGTTCCAAGAGGATAGGAACGTGGGGCCCATGGGTGCCCCTGCCCACTAGAAGAAGACACTTTCTTCTGCTTCAGCCATTTGTTGCCAGTGGGGGCCCAGTGTTGTCAGAGCCTCCGCATTTTCTAGAGAAGCTGAAAATAAAAATTTAAAAAATATTAACTATCTCAATATCTAAATGTTGGCAACTGGCTTAATTTGAAAAGAACTATGAAACGCTGTGTGGAATGAGCAAAAATATACGCCTTCAAACCTTGTTATAGAAAAATGAACAATGGTTGTAAACAGGCCATTCACAAGACAAAAGTCATGACTGATATTTATTCATTGGAAAAAGGCCACAAGATACACTTTTTACCCATCATATTGCCTGGAATGAAGAAAAATGAATAATAATATACAAGACTTTAAGTAAAAGGGTAATTGTATGGTCAGTTGTTAGCAGCTTAAATGTTGATGTCCTCTTACTGAATGGCATTTTGACACTATCGAAAATTTTAAAGGCATGTCCTTTGGTTCAGTAATTCTATTTTAAATATTTATTCTACAAAAATATTTTTACTTGTGCAAAAATATGCACTTAGTATTCTTTGTCACATTGCTTATAAATATGAAACACCAGAAAACTCATTCCCTATGAAAGGATAGTTAAGTAAATTATGGTTGAATCTGCACTGTATAATGCTCTGTGGCCACTGAAAAGGATGAATTAGCTCTTTATGGCATTCAAAGAGCTCCAAGGTATGGTGCATGAAAAAAGCAAGTTACAGAACAGTACATATGATATGATCTCACTTATGTGGAAAATTATTTGTATGTGTACATCTATGTTTATAAATGTACACAGAACAGCTTGAAACTCTGTATTCCAACTGTGAGCAGTGTCAGCTCTGGGGAAAAAGTGTGATTGATGGTGGTGGTAGTGGTGTTGTATGGGGGGACTTTACCTTTTTATTTGGATCAGGGTCAGCAAACTATATCTGTAAAGAACCAGATTGCAAATATTTGATGTTTTGTGGTGCATTAGTTGGGGTTCTCGAGAGAACCAGAGGAGATTTATTATGGGAATTGGCTCATGCGATTTCAGAGGATAAGAAGTCCCACAATCTGCTGTCTGCAAACTGGAGACCCAGGAAAGCCAGTGGTGTAATTTAGTCTGAATCTGAAGGTCTGAGAACTAGGAGCTCTATGTCCCGGGGAAGCAGAAGGTGGATGTCCCAGCTCAAGAAGAGACAGAGAGAATTTGCCCTTCGTTCACCCTTTTGTGGTATCTGGGCCTTCAGCAGATTGGATGAGGCCCACCCACTTTGGTGTGAGCAGATCTTCTTTACTCAGTCTACTAATTTAAATGCCAATCTCTTCTGGAAACACCCTCCCAGACACACCCAGAAGCAATATTTTACCAGCTATCTGGGTAAACCTATTGGGAGAACCTGCCCCCAATATTTCAACGTAGGTTCTTTCTATTTTCCATAAGTGTCAGCTGGCTGAGAAATAAAGGGAGACAGTACAAAGAGAGGAATTTTAAAGCTGGGCCACCAGGGGTGACATCACATATTGGTAGGACCGTGATGCCCGCCTGAGTCTGAGACCAGCAAGTTTTTATTAAGGGTTTCAAAAGGGGAGGGGGTGTAAGAACAGGGAGTAGGTTCAAAGATCACATGCTTCAAAGGGCAAAAAGCAGAACTGCTAATAAGTGTCTAACAAGGATCACATGCTTCTGAGGGAACAGGACAAAGGGAAAAAGCAGAACCACCGATAAGAGTCTATGCTCAGCGTTGCACATATTGTCTTGATAAACGTCTTAAACAACAGAAAACAGGGTTCAAGAGCAGAGAACCAGTCTGACCACAAATTTACCAGGGCAGAGTTTTTCCCCACCCTAGTAAGCCTGAGGGTACTGCAGGAGATCAGGGTGTATCTCAGTCCTTATGTCAACCGCATAAGACAGATATTCCCAGAGTGGCTGTTTATAGATCTCCCCACAGGAATGCATTCCTTTCCCAGGGTATTAATATTCCTTGCTATGAAAAGAATTTAGTGATATCTTTCCTACTTGCACGTTCATTTATAGGCTCTCTGCAAGAATAAAAACGTGGCTCTTTTTGCCCAACCCCGCAGGCAGTTAGACCTTATGGTTGTCTTCCCTTCTTCCCTAAAAATCGCTGTTAGTCTGTTCTTTTTCAAGGTGCACTGATTTCATATTGTTCAAACACACGTTTTACAATCAATTTGTACAGTTAACACAATTATCACAGTGGGCCTGAGGTGACATATATCCTCAGCTTACAAAGATAACAGGATTAAGATATTAAAGTAAAGACAGGCATAAGAAATTATAAAAGTATTATTTGGGAACTGATAAATATTCATGAAATCTTCACAATTTACGTTCCTCTGCCGCGGCTCCAGCCGGTCGCTCTGTTCAGGGTCCCTGACTTCCCGCAACATATAGCTTACCTCAGTCAAGTAGCCATGCAAAATTAACCATCACTGTGAGTTAGTTAATACAAGTAAAGGGCTCACAGCAGTGCCTGGCACAGAGTAGACACAGATGAGAGTTTGCTGCTGCTGTTATTTAATGCTATTCCATGGTAATGGCACTTATCACTGTTTTCAATGAGTATGTAGCTCTCCTTGGCTGGAGTCTGTTTTAGGCAAACTTAAGAGAGCTTACTTTATTATATGGAGTTTCCTAAGTAACTTCTTTTGTCCTATGAAATGAATGAAGGAAGGAGTATGGATCCCCTTAGGAGGTGCACAAGGATTCTGCCTCAGGAGAAAACACACATCTTCACCTAAAAAATTCCCTGCCTCTAAAAGTTATTTCTGGGACTCAAGGCTTCTTTTTTAGTTCTCTATCACCAGCACTGAGTGAGGAAACTGACACATCTGAGTGTGAATCAATATTTTTGAATTGATTTAAATGTGAAAAACACTTCTGCTATAAAAATATGTGGAAAGGCATGATGTACAATGATCTATACACAGTTGATGGTAAAAAGTTTTAGGGTAAAAAAGATAAATATCCATAGAGTGGTGACTAAAAATAACACCCCAATTGTTAGCCACAGTCGTGTGAGTCGTGGGACTCAGAGACGCTTTTTCGTGTCTTTCCTGTACAGTTAATTTTTCTGTAGTGAAGATGTATAACCTTGACGATGAAAGTATAGCAAGAAGCACAGTTTTTCTAAGATTTGACCCCAGGGGGATCTCCTAGGGCAGGGGTCGCCAACCCCCGGTAGCAGTCTGTGGTCTGTTAGGAACTGGGCTGCACAGCAGGAGATGAGCAGCAGGAGAGCAAACAAAGCTTCATCTGTATTGACAGACGATCCTCATTGCTTGCCACCTGAGCTTCACTTCCTGTCACATCAATGGCAGCATTAGATTCTCATAGGCACATGAACCCTGTTGTGAACTGCACATGTGAGGGGCCTAGGTTGCATGCTACTGCTGAGAAAATAATGCCTGATGATCTGCCACAGTCTCCTATCACCTCCAGATGGGACTGTCCAGTTGCGGGAAAACAAGCTCAGGGCTCCCACTGATTCTGAAACCAACCCAATAGTTCCATAGACTGTTCTTTTGGATAAATAGAGAAATTAACCTTCCTGATCTTAAAGCTTGAAGCTTATGTTTGTTTTGTTTGGGTTCCCTCCTCAGGAACTGACCTTCAGGCCTCTCAAAAAAAGTATCAAAGAACTGAAACTCACCAGATCACCACATCCAGACAATGAGACCTGGACGCCTCATTCCTTATGATCGCTTACTTACCCCTCCCTAGTTCCTGTTTTCTTACATATTGTTACATTTCTTCCCTGTTAAAAAAGCCCCTAGTTTTGGTCAGAGAGATTGATTTCAGACTGAGCTCCCATCTCCTTGGCTGCAGCACACAATTAAAGCCTTCTTCCTTGGCAATACTCATCATCTCAGTGATTGGCTTTCTGTGCCGTAAGCAACAGGACCTAAACTGAACCCTTGGTGTTTTGGTAACAATTCCACATTATGGTGAGGCATATAATTATTTTGTTATATATTACAATGAAATAATAGAAATAAAGTACACAATAAGTGCAATGCACTTGAACCATCCAGAAACCTCATCGGAACTATTCCCTCTTTCAAAGACCTTTGATTCTACACATTGTTTCATTTGGCAACATTTATTTATGATGATCTGCCTTTCACTGAATGATTTATGTTGCTTTTCTCATTTCTTAAGCTCCTTGCCCAAAGACAGTGCTCAAATGCTACTGTGTCCGGAATTGGTTCCTTCCAGTGGGTTCTTTGTCTCCCTGACTTCAAGAATGAAGCCACCGACCCTTGCAGTGAGTGTTACAGTTCTTAAAGATAGTGTGTCCAGAGTTTGTTCCTTCAGATATGCCTGGAGTTTCTCCCTTCTGATGGGTTCGTGGTCTCACTTGACTTAAGGAGTGAAGCTGCAGACCTTTGCAGTTAGTGTTACAGCTCTTAAAGGTGGCGTGTCTGGAGTTGGTTGTTCCTCCTGGTGGGTTCGTGGTCTCGGTGACTTGAGGAGCGAAGCCACAGACCTTTGCAGCGAGTGTTACAGCTCATAAAAGCAGAGTGGACCCAAAGCATGAGCAGCAGCAAGATTTACTGTGAAGAGCAAAAGAACAAAGAGTCCACAGCATGGAAGGGGACCTGAGCAGGGTGCCAGAGCTGGCTCGGGTTGCCAGCTTTTATTCCCTTATGTGGCCCCACCCACATCCTGCTGATTGGTCCATTTTACAAAGTGCTGATTGGTCCATTTTACAGAGTGCTGATTGGTGCGTTTACAAACCTTTAGCTAGACACAGAGCGCTGATTGGTGCATTTTTACAGAGTGCTGATTGATGCGTTTACAAAGCTTTAGCTAAACACAGAGCACTGATTGGTGCATTTACAATCCTTTAGCTAGACAGAAAAGTTCCCCAAGTCACCACCCTACCCAGAAGCCCAGCTGGCTTCACTTCTCACTACTGTCCTGTGGGTCAAGTTAACTCTAAGTTTGTTGTATGGAAGGGATTCCTGCATGGGCTGGGCTGTTGGATGAGATGGGTTCTGAGGTTGCTCCCAACACTAAAGCTCCTTATTTCTTTTTTTGCTTTGTTTTGTTTTTGTTTTTGTTTTTTGAGACACAGTCTTGCTGTGTCACCCAGGCTGGAGTGCAGTGGCATGATCTTGGCTCACTACAACCTCTGCCTCCCAGGTTCAAGCCATTCTCTGGCCTCAGCTTCCCGAGTAGCTGAGATTAGAGGTGTGCACCACCATGTCTGGCTAATTAAGGTTTCTCCCTGTCAGCCAGGCTGGTCTTGAACACCTGGCCTCAAGTGATCCACCTGCCTCAGCCTCCCTAAGTGCTGGGATTGCAGGCATGAGCCACCATGCCTGGCCTCTAACTTGTACAACATGCTCATCTCCTTCCTGGAACTCTATTGAATTAAAATGCAAGCCAATTAAATGCTGTCTAAGACTATGGAGGGAACAAAGTTTTGAGGGCACACGTTGTCCACAAATCACCACTTTGACCCAGAAAGGAGGGACAACGTTCAGTTTTGATATGGGTTCACATTGCTATGTGATGCACATTTCTCCCTCTACTTTGAAGGGTCACATGAAAATGGTTTCTTGTTCTCTCCTGATCCCTATAGTGCCCTGGAAAAAATATCTAAGTAAACATGTTGGTTTTTAAAAAATGTTCATGTCAGGTTTTTTTCATAATGTAATTGGATAAGATTTCCATGCCCCCAAGTTAGAGCATTCCTTCTTAGACCTGATCCTCAGAAGAATGCAGACAGATTTATATTGCCTGGGGGGGGGGTGGTCTGGAACTGGGGTAGGTCCTTGTTCCATGAAGTCCATCACTTCCATAATCAAGTTTGTACTGCCGTTGAATTCTTAGTACCAGTTATTAACACTTGGCCTGCAGGTTTAAAGGCCAAGACTTTATCCCGGAGTTTGAGAGTTTCCTGAATTTGTCCCTATCTACTTTTCAACCTTTACCCTCAATGCCTGACAAAGAATTCCCAGCTAAAGTGCATGTCATATGGGATATGCACTGTTCTCTAAATAGATCTTGGCATTCAGTCGTTCGTTTATTCAACAAGTATTTATCCAGTGCTTATTGTTGCTATGACCAAGACCGTGTGACAACAGCTTTCAAGGTACTTAAAATTTCTCTTTGTTCTTTTTAAACTCAGTGTCCCAAGTCTCTCTGAGCCTGAGTGTTATTCTTTGTTTTGAGGCCAACACAAATTCCATCTCTTTGTGAGATACTCCTGGCTCATTTCACTTTAAGTTTATGCCTACAAATTTCTATCAATTTCAACCTCAATCCTGCATTTCTCTGGTAATTTACACCCACATCTTCTCTCTTCTTAAAACTCTGCCTATCAGTTCATAACTCCATCTGTTACAGAGAAAACAGAAGCAAGGAGAGAATAGCCTACTCTTCTATTTACAAGTCTGCCAAAGTATCTATGACCCTATTCCCTCTCACCTGCTTAAGGGATCTATTCCTGCGATTACTCCCCTTCTCTCATGAAAAATGCAGTTTACCTTTCTGCTGAATTATTACCCTAAGCATTGACATATGCTGCAATAGGCTGGGCTCAGTGGCTCACAGTTGTAATCCCAGCACTTCGGGAGGCCAAGGCGGGTAGATCACGAGGTCAAGATATCGAGACCATCCTGGCCAACATGGTGAAACCCCAACATGGTGAAACCCCGCCTCCACTAAAAATACAAAAATTAGCTGGGCTTGGTGGCGCATGCCTGTAGTCCCAGCTACTCGGGAGGCTGAGACAGGAGAATCTCTTGAACCCAGGAGGCGGAGGTTGTAGTGAGCCGAGATCGTGCCACTGCACTCCAGGCTGGCGACAGAGTGAGACTCCGTCTCAAAAACAAATAAATAAATAAATGCTGCAATAATAAGTAGGAAAAAATATCTCCTTCCTAGACCCCATGTCTCCCTCAACTATGGACCATTTCTCTGCTCACCTTCAGAGCAATCATGCCGGGCAACATTAGTCTATATTCATGGCCTCATTTCTTTCTGATTCTCCTGTTGCACACTACGGTCAGGCTGTGAAGGACCTCTTGTCAAATCCACAGTGGCTCTCAGTTCTCATTTCATTTGAACTCTCAGCAAGCGCTTGACATAGTTTATCAGTGGCTTTCTTATCGTTCTTTTTCCTTGGCTTCTTGGATGCCATGCTCTCCCGGTCTTCCTTTCCTCTTTTTGGCCACCTTTTCTAAGGGTCTTGCTGGCTCCTCCTCGTCCCCTTGACTTCTCCATGGTGCAGTGCCCTGGTTCCCTTCTCTGCACTTTCCTGGTCTCATCCAGTCCTGTGAACACATAGAACACCATTTATGTTCCGATGATGCTCAAGTATGTATCGCTAGCCCTGACCCTGTCTCCCTGAGTGTTTCCTGAACAATCTTGACTTGATGATGTGAGGGAAGCCTTCCAAACCTGCAGAGGTTTGGCAGCACATCCAGGGTTCAATCAGACTCCTGCCTTTCCTACTCTCTGCTCTAGCTGCACAAGTTTCTTTGTAGTTCCTCCAACAAACCAGGACCCTTCTAGTTCTCCCTACTGAGAATTTTCTTTCCATAGATATTTACTCTCTCACTTTATTTAGATCTTGTCTCCTGTGTCACCTTATTAGAAGGCTTCCCTAACTACCCTGTCTAAAATACTAATCAAATAGCGTACTCTCTAAACTCCCTTCACAATCTGTCCCCAACCCTGACTCAGTTTTCTTCACTGCACATGCACTTGTCATTATATGATTCATCTTATTTGTTTGTTAATTGTCTGTCTCCTGCCCTAGAAAATACATTCCATGAGGTCAGTGATTTTGTCTTGTTCATCCTCAGATCCCGTGTACCTAGAAGAGTGTCAAGCACATGAGTGAAGGCATGGATGTTCCAGGCATTAGTGATCTTGCCTTTCCCTAAAGGGCTGTTGCAATTTTAAATCTGCACATTTGGCAGGAAGCCCTGCCTTGCTTTATTGTGTATGTGTTTGTCTCTATGTTTTCTTTGCCAGGTCAGTGTCAGATAGCACAAGACAGGGACTGTGCTTCATGCCCTGTCATGCTTTTGCACAGCAGTGCTCTGACCAGTAAGTGTTCAGTATGTGGATGTTAATGTGGTTGTGGCTTAGGTTTTCCTTCTGATGTAAGCATTTCTTTCTTTCTTTCTTTCTTTTTTGTTGAGACGGAGTCTCACTCTGCCACCCAGGCTGCAGTGCAGTGGTGCAATCTCGGCTCACTGCAACCTCTGCCTCCTCAGTTCAAGCGATTCTCCTGCCTCAGCCTCCCGAGTAGCTGAGATTACAGGCATGGGCCACCATGCCTAGCTAATTTTTTGTATTTTTAATAGAGACGGGGTTTCACCGTGTTAGCCAGGATGTGTGCTGTTGACTGGGCCGGGCCAATTCTTTCTCTTTTTGAGATGGAGTCTCGCTCTGTTGCCCAGGCTGGAGTGCAGTGGTGCGATGTTGGCTCACTGCAATCTCCGCCTCCTGGGTTCATGGGATTCTTCTGCCTCAGCCTCCTGAGTAGTTGGGATTATAGGCACCCTCCACCAGGTCCGGCTAATTTTTTGTATTTTTAGTAGAGACGGAACTTTGCCATGTTGACCGGGATGTTCTTGAACTCCTGACCTCAAGTGATCCGCCTGCTTTGGCCTCCCAAAGTGCTGGGATTGCAGGTGTGAGCCACTGTGCCTGGCTGAGTCCTCAATAATTCTTAAGAGTGGAAAGAGTTCCTGAGACTAAGGCATTTGAGAACTGCTGTGGTAGAGGCAGTGAGGGTGGGAACAGGACGTGGCTGTGTCTCATTCTCCTGGGGGATGACAATTTAGAGGAGACTTGTTGATTTGGAAGACAGTCACTATGGACAGCGTTGGAGAGTTCTACACTTTCTGACTGGTCCAAGAAAGACTAGATGTTGTGAGTCAAATGGGCCAGAGTGCTGTTTCTCTCTTCACATACTTTAGGTTACCAAAACAACATAAATGCCCATTTTTGAGTATTTCACTGTAGAATGGAGAGAAGCTTCCTTCTGGTATCTCACGTCATCTTCTCCTGTCTCCCCTGATTATCAGTTGTACTCACTTCTTTGTGCTTCACATACAGTGTATTTGACTCGAAACTTCACAGGCTGAAGCACCTGGATCGTTTTGGTGCCTTTAGCCCTCTCTCCCTGTTGGAGTGTGGGCTTCTGCAGAGCAGGCACTATGCCCAGCCCACTGGATCCAGGCAGAGCCACCCTGGCATCTGGTCTAGTGCAGAGGGGGCCTTCAGAGCATGTTTGCTGACTGAATGAGTAAATATAGAAAGGTAATGCTATTTAGGGTAAAGATGAGACTGTTCTGTGAGTCTGTTACTTAATCCCTTATGCTGCATGCTCTTTCCTCCCACTCAGAGGCAGCTGTTTGAGGAGCACAGATCTCTCTGTCTTCTACAAGCCGAGAAGCAAATGGGAATTGTTGACGAAGCCCTGGTCTGGAGTTAGGAGGTCAGGCGTCTAGTCCAACCTTGCCTCTAACTAGCTGTATGCCATCAGGTCTGTAAAGTGCCTCCCGATCATTACTTACAGATAGACACTCAGATGGACATATGTCCTCTGAATGCAGAAACAGTCACATGGACAAACTCCTTGACCCCTGGCTTATGAGAAATGCTCAAGCACCAGGGTGATGAATTTGATGTGAGAAAGGCTTTTATTTTACACTCCAGAGGCAGGACAATTTTAAAATACCATCCACCATGGGCCTATATTCTTTAGGTGATATTGAGTGATCATTGAGAAGCAAAACAAGATACAGAGAGGGACTGAGAAACTAGAATGTGTCTCACCTTGCCCTCAATCAATGAGATTCACGCATTCATTTCTCAAATATGTATTGCTCACTATGTGCCCATGTACCAAGATTGGTGTGGGACTTGGGTGATCACAGTGTGATCAGGTTATGCGGGGTCCTCGCCCTTTCTGGGGCTCAGTTTCCTTGTTTCTAAAATTAAAACTTAGAAAAGATGTTCTTTAAGAGCCTTTCCAGATTGGAACCTCTGTGATTTTCCTCAGCCGTGGAAGCAGTCCCTTGCTTCTTGTTTATGTATCTATTAAAATCTTGGGTAACAGAATTTAACCATTTTTTGAGATTTAACCACATTTAAGCCCTTCAAAACTTCATGCTTTCCCAGAAGATGAATCGTGAGATACTCCAGTGTATCTGGATGGGGGAAAAAGAACAAATGTCTTGGGAAATTTGAAGATCTCTGTGTCTGTGCACAAGTCTCTTTCACTCAGCATTAAACCGTCTCTAAGTAGGAAACATCAAATTTCTCCCATCTCGGAAACTCATCCGTGTCTCCACATGTGGCTTCGTTTTTGAGAGACTGATTAATTTTTCATGCCTGTGATTCCCTGGCTTAGCCCCATGCAAGGACATGACTGCTAAAGGCCTGTCATAAATCTAATTATTTTTTACAAGTTCTATTATATGAGCAGCTGTGATGCTGTGGATGGGGCTGCTCACTAGTTCTGATGGCAAAGCGCAGGACACTCTCTGTCCTCTTCAGGGCCCTTTTCTCCCCTTTTCTTTTCCATGGCTTTGCCATGTTCTACCCTTCTTAGCACGGTCGATATAATCCAAGGTCACCTATTCCTGAAACAGCATAGAGATTTATGAAGCAGGAAAAGATAGCAAAGGGCTCCTGATTTGATACATCTCAGGAAAGAATCCAGTTGCAAAAAATGAGTTTAGTTTCACCTTAAAAGAAAAAGAAATGTTTAATATAAGGAAAGTTGATTCCCAGGGTTTGATTCAAGTCTGTCAGCTACAGTAGCTGAGACTTCAAGGTCTCAGGAGGAAGGAGAGCTCTAGAGATCTGAGCTGCATCACTATGCTTTCAAAGGAAGATGCAAACCCCTAAGGCCGGAACATGTCAAGATAAATTTTCTCTGCTTTGAAAAGAGAAACAGTTTCTCTTTTCAGTGAATGTTTGATACTCTCGAGGCCCCGATTCCCTTAGTTCAATGCCAACATTTTTCTTGTATTAATCTTATTTTCTCTCTCACATTTAGGTTGTAAGTCCCTTGTTCTTAGCCCAGTACATAGCACAGAGAAAGCCCTTAAATGAAGAATGAATGTCTGGCTCTGTTCTCTAATATGGGGTCCTATGTCATGCTAGCAGGAAATGCTTGTTTTTACAGTGCTCAATTTAGGCATATTTATTCTCCTACTGGTAGTTTCTAGGGATTAACCAAAGACCAAAACCTGCCTACTCAAGCCAAAGGGCCTGACAGTCACATCTTGAAGCTCTGACACTGCCCAATGGGGGGACCAATCGCCTTTCGTGGAAATATTTCCTCTTCACCCACTTATCAAAGATTTATTAATGACCTATTGTGGGCAAGGAACTCTACAGGTCTCCAGGGATATAATGTTAGGTAAGCCATGGTCCTTCTCCCATGAAGTGGGGGTGATAAAGTAGAGTTACCTGCTTTAAAAAAAAAAGTGTGCTGAATTGTGTTTTTATTTCAGATAAGCTAGGAATAATTTTTTTAGTATATTTATAGTAGAATCATGCTCCTTGCAATATGTGGGCCATACTTATACTACAGAATTATTCCTAGTCTATCTGAAATTCAAATTTAACTGGGTATCCTGTATTTTATTCATGTGTTACAGTGGCACCCACTGTCGTAGTCAGACTGTTGTCTGAGTTCAGGAGAGATAACCTAATTCTGCCTGAGCAAGGCAGGGCAAATTTCTCAGTGCTATTGGAAGAGTAGGGATTAGCTCATTTAATCTCTTGCAATTGTTGTCACTATTACACCCTTGTTTTTTTTTTTTTGTTTTTTTTTTGAGATGGAGTCTCACTCTGTCACCAGGCTAGAGTGCAGTGGCATGATCTCAGCTCCCTGCAACCTCCGCCTCCCAGGTTCAAGCAATTCGCCTGCCTCAGCCTCCTGAATAGCTGGGACTACAGGCGTGCGCCACCACGCCCAGCTAATTTTCGTATTTTTAGTAAAGACGGGGTTTCACCGTGTTGGCCAGGATGGTCTTGACCTTTCGACCTCGTGATCCACCCACCTCGGCCTCCCAAAGTGCTAGGATTACAGGCATAAGCCACCGCACCTGGCCTATGCCATTTTTAAGCTGGGAAAACTGAGAGCCAGAGGTTAAGTAGCTTGCCTAAGGTCAGTTAGCTAGTAAGTGTCTGTGCTGGCATTTGAACCTAGGCAGACTAAGCTATTAGCACACATGTAACCACTATGCTATCCTTATATTGCTACTTCTAATAATTTATTTATGTGATTTGCTGTACAAACCGTTTTCATATTTCTTGGCTTAAGTCTTTCACGTGATCCACACAGGGACTGAGAAACTCAGTAATGAATGCCACTTTGCCTTCAGTCAATGCGATTTATGTATTCATTCAGCACATGTTTATTAAGCATTCTGGGCTTTATGACCATATTGTCAGATTTGGTATCATGCTCTCTTTGGTATAAATTGGGACACATAGATTAGGTAAATTGCCTTTAATATTAAATATGTCATCTGGGCCAGCCCTGGAACTCCTAGACCACCTCCTGGGTCTATGACAGAACCCAGTTCTGCTTGGTGGGTATCTATTTCTCATTCAATAAAATGAGGAAAAATGAAAATAAATTCATACTATGACATGATGATCTTATCATCCATGTCAAGTATAGAAATACCATCCTTTTAGGTCTTTGAAAACAAAAGTGACCTTCCTATTGGGAGAATGTGTTATAGTATGTGGGTCTCACCCTTGAGTGGCCATCAGAGTCCCTTAGGGGCTTGTGGAACACAGACGGCCCGGCCCCACCCCCGAGTTTCTGATGCAGCAGGTCTGGGGTGACCCTGAACATTTGCATTTCTAGCTAGTTCCCAGGAGATGCTAATGCTGCTGGTCCAGGGACCACCTGCGGAGAACCTCTGGCACAGCAATGGGAAGGGTGAAATCAGAAAGCCTGGGGTCAGTGTCCAGCTTCCAGCCTTGAACAAGGCCAAGTTATAGAGCCTGACGGAGTCTGTTTCTTCATCCAGTTAGGCTCTTGGAGCCCTTCTGAGAATGAAATGGCATAAGGTAAAATAATAGTTATTTTTCTTGCTCTTCTGCTTTGGAGATACTACAATTGTGCTTCAGTGACACACACAGCATCATGGATTGCCTGTCTTGATTGCTTCTGCAGGTCTCAGCTGAGAAAAGGCTCCTGACTGATGGATGATGTGGGGGAGTGCAGGAATCCTATTTAGCTTGATGCTCAGCCCAGAGATGCCCGTGGTGAGGTGAGATGCACATTGGGGTCCTGCAGGCTGTCCCTGGGCCGTAGGACTACACCCTTGTCTTTACTTGGTTTTCCCGGAAGCAGAGCCTGAGACAAGGTGCAGTTTGTTTAGGAGGCGATCCCAGAAAATGCTGGCGGGAGAGCGGGAAGGGAAGCCAGGAGGGAAAAGAGGCATTAAGAACTCCTCCATAAGGCCAGTTATCACAGTGGGCATGGTGGCCTGGTCCGGCTGGGGGAGCTCTGGCTTTCTTTGGAGGCTTCTCTGGGGATCTTTATCTGTCACTCCTGCTGCCTGAGAAAGCTCTCAGGTGGGAGGTAGTTTAGCTAATGCAGGCAGCCCCAGGGCCTGGGGTCCAGAGATGCCCATGGCAATCTCCTCCATCCTCAGGCCTCTAGCCAAAGCTCTAAGGCACCCACTGTTAGTGGCCATATGCCATGCGCTTCACGTGCTCCAGGCAGAGACGAGCTCAAGAGCCTCTGGTCTCTGCTGCGGGTGGCGAGGGGCGGCTGGAACAGCATACTTCAGTCGTTCCGTGTCAGCCTCCACCCCTGGTAGCACCAGAGCCTCCCAGGCGTCCCCGCAGTCCGAGCCAGCCTTAGCACCCAGCGCTTTCTTGCTGTCGCCTGGTTGTTCCCGCGGCGGCCGAGCTCAGCACCTCTCACACTCCCTGCCTCTCGAGGACTCTGCTTGTTCCTCATCACAGCACGGTTGCTCTCGCACCCAAGGCGGTGTCCCCCCAGCGCCTCACCACGATCGCGGCAGAGATCTCCTGCAGGGCGTCCGGGCCTTGGGAAGGCATCGCCATCTCCCGCAGCGCCCTCCCGGACTAGCGCAGCAGGCTGGCATCGCTTCCTGAGGTTTGGCCCCAAGTTTTACGGCTTAATGAGGCACATAAATAGATAAATTGTCTTCATCACGTCAGCGATTGCTTTCACTTGGCAGGAGACCCACATATTATTGCACCTTTGGGATTCCCCTTCCTAATTCGGAGGCAATCACCATTATTCACATTTTATGAAATAAGAAGCACAAGCTCAGAGGGGGTTCAGAGAAGTTTAAACATGTACACAGTGGTTAAATGGTTAGGTTAAGATGACCATTGAACATTTAAGTTTAATGATTTATAAAACCATATAGACAGCGTGGGCATGTGATCTGTGAGCCGTGGTCCCCACGGAAGCGGTGAGAACGCACCTGGCCGGCTCAGCCACACGGCACGGTGGCCTAGGCCCTGCTGCGGGCTCTGGATCCAGCGGTCACGGTTTCACTGAGAGGGCGCCTCCCAGGGGCTGCTCCGGCCCAGGGCAGGGCATTGCAGGGGTGATGGGACAGCCCTGCTTTTGAGAGGCGCGGCACTCTGCCAAGGGCCACCCCTGGTAGCCCTGCCCAGCCTCCCTGGGAGCACACAGCTGTCTAGGATGCTTCTGGGCATCCTTTCCCTCCGTTCCACTCAGGGTCTGTGGTGCTCCACAGGGAGTCTCCAAAATGGCCCTAATGACCTAAAGACCCCCACCTCCTGCTCTCCACATCCTGAGTGGGCCCCTCCTATTTTTTACCGGAGCAAATCTGTGTGAGTGTGAATAAATTATCTGTGTGAATGGAATTCAGAAGAAGTAATGATTCGTGACTTTTGAGATTAGGTTTATAAGGGACTACAGCTTTCATGTTGGGCTGTCTCTCTGTCTATCTCTGTCTCTCTCTTTCTCACCTCTTTCTCTTCTCTCTCTCTTTCTTCCTGTCTATGTCTCAGATCACTTGCTCAGGGGCAAGCAAGTGGCCATGTTTGAAGTGCACTCAAGCAGCTCTGTGGAGATGCTCACATAGTAAGAACTAAATAAGGCTTTCAGTGCCACTGAGACCAGCCAGCAATCACATGAATGAGTTTGGAAGGGGTACAGGAGCCTTCAAATGAGGCTTGATTGCAAATTATAATTATTGTTTTTATTTATTTATTTTTTTAGCAATTGTATGTTACCATATGGGTAGAATTGGGTTTTGCGTTGTTATATAATCTAAACATCTTTTTTATTTAATAGGTGAATTAACTTGATAAGTGTTTAACAGGTGAATTAACTTGATAATTAACTTGATAAGGTGAATTAACTTGATAATGTGTTTGCTTTTGGAGAGGCGAGAGGCGGTGGAGCTAGAGGGGTGGGGGTGGGGAGAGGGAGTGGCAGAGTGACCTTACCCCTATGAGACTGAGAGAGGCCCCGGGCCTACCTCAAAGGAGTGGGGTCACAATGCTAGCTAGCAGCCAGCCCCCTCCTGGTCCCCGGGCCTGGCAGCACGGTGGCAGCTCGGTTGTGAAGAGGCGAGGAAACAGCTGTCCAGCTCCCTGCCATGGAGGGCATGGACGTGGACCGGGACCTGGAGCTGATGCAGAATTTCAACTACCTGAGCACCACCAACAAAGACGTGCTCATCTCCAAGTTCCAGAGGCTGCTCGGCTTCCAGCTCAACCCTGCCAGTTGCGCCTTCTTCCTGGACAGGACCAACTGGAACCTACAAGCAGCAATTGGTGCCTCTTATGCCTTTGAGAGCTCAAACATCAGTGTGCCCTCTGTGTCCTTTGTTGAAGATGTCACCCTAGAGGAAGGGTAGTCAATACCTCCTGATACTCAGTTTGTAAAAACTTGGTGGATCCAGAATTCTGTGGCAGAGGCCTGGCCTCCAGGGGTTTGTCCTAAATATGTCGGGGGAGACCAAGTTGGACATGTGAGCATGCTGATGGTGAGATTGCTAGAGCCGCAAGAGATTACAGATGTTATTGTCCAGATGTGCAGCCCCAGCAGAGCAGGAATGTATCAGGGATGGTGACGGATGTGCACTGCTACAGGACTCTACTATGGAGATGTCATCTGGGTGATTCTCAGTGTAGAGGTGGGTGGACTTTTAGAAGTAACACAGCAGCTGTCATCTTTTGAAACGGAGTTCAACACAACCGCATAGCAAGGTAGAAGGAAACTTCAACCCTTTTGCCTCTCCCAAAAGAACCAACAATCAGATGAAAACAACTTATAAGACCCTGGGGGTTCCGAGTTCTACTCGATCAGCAAAAACACATGGGCTGCTGCTCCTGACCAAGCTGAGCAAGACCAGAGCAGACTGTCACAGAACTCTGTAAATCTGTCTCCCAGCAGTCATGCAAACAACTTATCAGTAGTGACTTACAGTAAGGGGCTCCGTGGGCCTTACCCCTTCGGCCAGTCTTTTTTTTGGAGATGGAGTCTTGCTCTGTTGCCCAGGCTGGAGTGCAGTGGCGTGATCTCGGCTCACTTCAACCTCTGCCTCCCAGGTTCAAGCAATTCTCCTGCCTCAGCCTCCTGAATAGTTGGGACTTACAGGCACGCACCACCACGCGCAGCTAATTTTTGTATTTTTAGTCAAGATGGAGCTTCACCATGTTGGCCAGGATGGTCTTGATCTCTTGACCTTGAGATCCTCCTGCCTCGGCCTCCCAAAGTGCTGGGATTACAGGCGTGAGCCACTGCGCCCTGCCCCCTTCGGCCAGTCTTAAATGGGTGTCAGCAAGAAGAAAAATTAACAAAAGACAGAAGGCCTGACTTTGGGGGTGGGGCAAGGGGTTTGTCTGGATTGCAGATCGCATTGCACAGACCCCTGGCTCTGACCCCCTCTCATCCCGGAAGAAGAGGAAGAAGCAGAACAGACTAGTTTTGAGTAAACTTAGTATGTATGTGTGAAAAAAAAATACTGGCTCTTAGTTCTGTCCTTTCATTTGATACTAGCTACTTTGATAGTTATTCTTCAGGTTGTTCACTATATTGTTGGTTTTCTCTCTTTTGTGTGTGTGTGTGTGTGCGTTTGATGTTCAGGAATGCTTGTGTTTGTGTTGTGGTGTCTAGCCTTATATTTATACCGTTATGTAATAACTTTAATCCTCTTTTCCTTTAGTGGTACCTTATTCCCACCTAAAATGTGCAATATAATTACTGTTTTCTCTTTCCTTCTATCTCTCCTCTACTACCAAATATTACCCAGTACTACCTTTCTTAGTATTTATTTTTGTACTGTTAAATATGCTTAGACTTTTATTACATGGTTTGTTGGCTTTAAATAAAATCCTCTGACTCTCAGCTATTACTTATAAATCCCGCAATACATTTCTTTCTCTTCTGCATTGGCGCCCATCCACACCCACTTTTTTCCCCCTTTTCCCCCAAGTTTTTGTCAGCATGTATAATATTTACATATTATTTTCTCACTTCAACTTCTGAAACCCAGAGGTTTCAGCCTCAGTAGTAAAGTTAAATATATTTGATACTGATCGCCAGTCCTTTTGCCCAAATCTCCCCCATCAGCTCTTGCTTGACTACTGTTCGGTCTTCTGGAAGAGTCTTTAAAAAGGCTCGTGGGAATATTGTTTGAGCTTTTTCATGTTTAAAACAATTTATCTGTAGCTTTTATTTTTGAGAGCAGCTTAGATGGCTCTTGGGTCACATTTTCTTCCTTTGGGTATCTTATAGGTGTTGTTTTACTATCATTTAGCATTCAGTCTTTTTGTGACCAGACACATGTGTTCCTTTATAAGTGATTTGTGTGTGTGTGTGTGTGTATGTGTGTGTGCCTTTTACTATGACATGCTTCAGTGTTGACTATTCTGGATTAATATTTTCCTAGCAAACCATGATCCTTACATAGATATTAGTTTTCTTTAATTGCAGGAACCTTTCTTGAATTATATATTTAAATTGTGTGTTTCTGTGTGTGTTTTTTAAAGTAATTTCAACTTTTATTTCAGGTTCAGGACGTGCTTTGTTACATGGGTATATTGCGTGATGCTGAGGCTTGGGGTATGATTAATCCCATCATCATCTAGATAGTACCCAATAGTTTTTGTTTGTTTGTTTGTTTTTGAGACAAAGTCTTGCTCTTCTCCCCCAGGCTGGAGTGCAATGGCGTGAACTTGGTTCACTGCAACCTCCGCCTCCCGGGCTTAAGCGATTCTCCTGCCCCAGCCTCCCGAGTAGCTGGGATTACAGGTGTGCACCATCATGCCCAGCTAATTTTTGTATTTTTAGTAGAGATGGGGTTTCGCCTTGTTGGCCAGGTTGATCTCGAACTCCTGACCTCAAGTGATCCACCCACCTTGACCTCCCAAAGTGCTGGGATTACAGGTGTGAGCCACCGCGCCTGGCCAGTACCCAATGGTTTTTCAATCACTGCTGACTTTCCTTCCTCCCACCCCCATCTAGTAGTCCCCAGTGTCTGTTATTCCCATTAATGTATCTATGTGTTCCCAATGCTTAGCTCCCAGTTATAAGTGAGAACATGTGGTCTTCAGTTCACTTAGGATAATGGCCTCCAGCTGCATCCGTGTTACTTCAAAGTGTATGATTTTATTCATTTTTATGGTTGTGTAGCAGTCCGTGGTGCATATGTACCACATTTTCTTTATCTAATCTACTGTTGATGGGAACTTAGGTTGATTCCATGGCATTGATATTGTGAATAGCTCTGTGATGAACATACAAGTACATGTGTCTTTTTGGTAGAACAATTTATTTTCCTTTGGATATATACCCTGTAATAGGATTGCTGGGTCGAATGGCAGTTCTAAGTTCTTTGAGAAATCTCCAGACACTGCTTTCTACAATGGCTGCACTAATTTACATTCCCATCAACAGGGTATATGTGTTCCATTTTCTCCACAGCCTTGCTTGCCAGCATCTACTATTTTTTGACATTTTAAATAATAGCATTCTGACTGGTGTGAGATGTTATCTCAATGTGGTTTTGATGTGCTTTTCTCTGATGATTTAGTGATATTGATCATTTTCTCATGTTTGTTGACTACTTGTATGTCTTTTAAGAAGTGTCTGTTTATATCTTTAGTTCACTTTTTAACAGGATTTTTTTTTTTGCTTGTTGAATTGTTTACATTCCTTATAGATTTGGATATTAGACCTTTGTCAGATGCATGGTTTGTGAATATTTTCCTCTCATTCTGTAGGTTGTCTGTTTACTCTGTTGATAGTTTCTTAGGCTGTGCAGAAGCTCTTTAGTTTAATTAGGTCCCACTTGTCAATTTTTGTTTTTGTTACAATTGTTTTCGAGGACTTAGTGATAAATTCTTTCCCAAGGCTGATGTCCAGAATGGTGCTTCCTAGGTTTTCTTCTAAGATTCTTATAGTTTAAGTCATATATTTATGTCTTTAATCCATCTTTAATTTTTGTATATGGTGAAAGGTACAGATAGAGCTTCATTCTTCTGCATATGGCTAGCCAGCTATCCCAGCACCATTTATTGAATAGGGAGTCCTTTCCCACTGCTTGTTTTTGTCAATTTTGTCAAAGATCAGGTGTGCAGCTTTACTTTCGGGTTGTCTTTTCTGTTCCATTGGTCTACATGTCTGTTTTTGTATCAGTACCACGGTGTTCTGGTTATATAGTTTGAAGTCAGGTAATGTGATGTTTCCAGCTTTGTTCTTTGCTTAGGATTGCTTTGGCTATTTGGGCTCTTTTTTAGTTTCATATGAATTTTAGCATAGTTTTCTCTAGTTCTGTGGAAATGATGCTGGTAGTTTGATAGGAATAGCATTGAATCTATAGATTGCTTTAGGTAGTATGGCAATTTTAACAATATCAATTCTTCCAATCTGTGAGCATGAATGTTTTTCCATTTCTGTAATCTCTTTCAGCAGTGTTTTGTAGTTCTTCTTGTAGAGATATGCTTCAATGTTGACCACTCTGGGCTCATTTTTTCCCAGTGAACAATAAGCCTTATACAGATGCCAGTCCTCTTGAATTTCAGGAACATTTCTTGATTTCAATATTTAAATTTTTCTGTGGTTTATTGTTTTGGTTTTCTTCTTTGGGAAAAAAATAAATTTCTTTAGTCATCTTCATGTGTCTTCCAGTTATTCTATTTTTCTCTGTAATTCGTTTAATTTTCTGACATATCCATTTCATTGTATTCTCTTTTCTCATTTGTAACCATATATATATACATTTCTAATGTTTTTTCTTAAAATGTCTGATCTCCTTATGTGTCATTTAATTTTGTGTTTAAATTTGTAGCAAGTCTTTTCTTTTACTACTTTGTGGATATCTTCCCTGAAATCTTGCATTTCTGTTTCTGGTTTTTCTTTCTAAAGTTAATTGCTTTGATACATTTTTAAAATATTTATTCTTTTGTCGTTGTTGTTGTTGAGATGGAGTCTCGCTCTGTCACCCAGGCCGGAGTGCAGTGGCGCGATCTCGGCTCACTGCAACCTTTACCTCCCAGGTTCAAGTGAGTCTCCAGCCTCAGCCTCCTGAGTAGCTGGGACTACAGGCACACGCCACCATGCCCGGCTAGTTTTTGTATTTTTAGTGGAGACCGGGTTTCACCATAATGGCCAGGCTGGTCACGAACTCCTAATCTCAGGTGATCTGCCCACCTTGGCCTCCCAAAGTGCTGGGATTACAGACATGAGCCACCGCGCTCCGCCTAAAATATTTATTCTTATAATATCTTTATATCGGTGTTATGTAGTTCTTTTGAAAAATTTTATTTTTCTACATATCCATAAAACTATTGAACTAATTGGCTTTTTATGAGCCAGCTATTTGCAGGAGATGTGTGTGTGTGTGTGTGTGTGTGTGTGTGTGTGTGTGTGTGTATAGAGCGTTGAGAACTGGAGGGAGGGAAGGGGAAGACCAGGTTGGTTTCCTAAGCTTCACAATTCAAAGGCTCTCTCACTTCTCCCACCAAAAACAAAGATTGCTTCTGCATCTATTGATCGGGCATATGATTCTTTCCTCTGCTTCTATGAATCAAACATAGTCTAGCAATGTTTCTTCTACTGGCTGTACTTACTCCAATATCTCCAGCCATTGCTACAAAGGATGAATATAGTCTTTCCCTTCTAGAGTGAGCCACTTACATCTATAGCATAGCATATATTTTTAATGGTACATTCTGAGTTGTGCCTTTGCAGGGTCCCTTATCACCTGCTCATTATTTTTCTGTCTCCTTCCACATGACATGTGTTTTGATATTTTAGCATCTGGAAATTATTTCTATTTTTCATTCTCCATTTGCTTTTGTTTAATTTCCAAGCAGAGAGGAAAAGTATGCAGACTTATGTATCTATGTAGTGGAAGTGCTCACTGACATCTCCTGAGTAGTCTTCTTTGTAATTAACAACATAGGTTAGCAAGATGACTAAGTGAGATGAGACTAAGGTACAATTTCTGTTCCGTGTTTAATTTCTTTTTTCTTTTTTTTTTTTTTTGAGACGGAGTCTTGCTGTGTCGCCCAGGCTGGAGTGCAGTGGTATAATCTCAGTTTACTGCAACCTCTGCCTCCCGGGTTCAAGCAATTCTCCTGCCTCAGCTTCCTGAGTAGCTGAGACTACAGGCACTTACCACCATGCCTGGCTAATTTTTTGTATTTTTAGTAGACAGGGTTTCACCGCATTAGCCAGGATGGTCTCAATCTCTTGACCTCGTGATCCGCCTGCCTCAGCCTCCCAAAGTGCTGGGATTACAGGTGTGAGCCACTGCGCCCGGCCCTGTGCGTTTAATTTCTTGCGACTAGCTGGTTGGTCAGTGAGACCACTTAGCTAGCAAAAATAAGTAAACTAGTCTGACAAAATTGTTCTAATATGCACAATCCAAAAATATTTCCACAAAAATGAGTATTTTTATTTACTAATTCAGTTGAACAGCAGCAACAACAATAATAATAAAACACCAGGGGCAATTGACAAAATTACAATCTGAGGATTTTACTTTTGAATTTATGACCATAGTCATCCTTCTGCATTTTGTCATAATTTCTTACATTCATGAAAGATGATAAAAACCGATTTGAATGCAGTTTGTTAATGTCATGAAATATTATTTTAGAGAAACATTAAATCACATCTAGTGCCACTGCTATGGTTGGAATGTGTCCCCTTCAAAATTCAAGTGTTGAAACTTACTGGCCAATGTGATAGTATTAAGAGGTGAGGCCTTCAAGAGGTGATTAGGCCATGAGGGCTTTTCCTTTGTGAAAAGGATTAAGGTCCTTATAAAAGAGACTTCGTGTAGCATTTGGCTCTCTTGCCTTCTTGCCTTCAGCCTCCAGAACTTTGAGAAAATAAATTTGTTCTTTCATTTTTTGATGTTATGACTTTGGATTTCTATTCTTTATAAATTACCTAGTCAGTGGTGTTCTTTTTTTTATTTTTTTAAAGAGGCACAGAGTCTTACTCTGTTGCCTAGGCTGGAATGCAGCAACATGATCATAGCTCACTATAGCCTCAAATTCCTGGTTTCAAGTGACCCTCCCACCTCAGCCTCCCGTGAAGCTGGGACTACAGACATATGCCACTGCACCCAGCTAATCTTGTAAGTTGTTGTTGTTTAGTAGAGGTGGAGTCTCACTAAGTTGCCCAGGCTGGTCTCAAACTCCTGGGCTCAAGTAATGCTCTTGCCTTGGCCTCCCAAAGTGTGAGGATTGTAGACATGAACACCTAGCCTAGGTCTGTGGTATTCTATTATAGCAGCACAAACAGACTAAGACAGAAGCTCACTAAACATACTTCTATTAAGGCTGTTTTGGCTAATCTTTTGCCATTTTTTTTTAAGTAGTGCAACTTGGCTAAAAACATTGTCAAAGTGCTTTGAGGGTATTAGATTCAAATTCTGTTTGCATAGTTTTATTGTGTTTGGGCCCTAGAAGTAAAGCTTACTCAGTAGAAGGATGTTTTCCAGTACAAAGAGTTGAATTTTGGGCTCCATGGTAGCATGGTAATAAAAAGTTATGGCATTAAATACAGTCCTAGGAGTTGCTTTTCGATTTTTGGCCAAACCCAAAGATGCAGATTATAACTTATGTCTTCATCACTTCTTTGGAAGCTCGTGAGTCCCTTCCACAAATATTTCCACAGTAAATGGAAATCTGTCCTCCATAATAGCATACCTGTGGTCAGATCTTATGGTATTTGGAAGATAATTTTTTTAAAATTCTTTGCAAACTAAAAGAGACAGACCTTTTGGGTAAATTTTTATGTCTTCTTAGAAATAGGTATCATAATTTTTGGTCCAGGAATGTAGATAATGTCAACTTTCTAGAACCCAGATTCTTTGTTTTTCAAATGACAGAGACTAGATGAATTGCTTTTTAATGCCTCTCAAGTTGTTAACTGAAAGGTGGGTGTAGAGCTATCTCAGAACACAATAGTTTTGAGGAATAACTTTTGAAAGTCATTGGGTAGGATGACCACCTATGCCCCATTTGCTTGTGCTAACTTTTTCTTTTGAACACTTATTCAGGGATGAGCAATATTGGGGCAAAATAGAGATTATTAGGCAGATATTATTATCTACTCTCAGATAACTCTACTATTTGTGATTACATGATTTTAATTTTATTCATTTAGGTAGTTAAAAAAAAATTAAAGTTTTTTCTACTTAAACTACAATTACTCCCAGAAGGGATTATGCCTTAAGCTTCTGTTACTGAAGGCTTTTATTATAATTTAGTACTTTAGACCAAAATTATTGGCATTCAATTTTACAAGACTGTTGTGGTTCAGAGATTGTGTCTTATAAATATAGGGAGTGGGGTGGGGAGGAATAGGGAGTTGAAAGTCCCAGTTTTTTTTTTTTTGTTTTTTTTTTGTTTTTTTTTTTTTGAGACAGAGTCTCACTCTGTCGCCCAGGCTGGAGTGCAGTGGCACAATCTTGGCTCACTGCAACCTCCGCCTCCCGGGTTCAAGTGATTCTCCTGCCTCAGCCTCCCGAGTAGCTGGGATTATAGGTGCCCGCCACCACGCCTGGCTAATTTTTGTATTTTTAGTAGAAACAGGGTTTTGTATTTTTAGTAAAAACAGGGTTTTGCCATATTGGCCAGGATGGTCTCGAACTCTTGACCTCATGATCCGCCCGCCTTGGCCTCCCAAAGTGCTGGGATTATAGGCATGAGCCACTGCGCCTGGCCTATAAATATTCTTTACCAAGTTAAGAAAGTTTGTTTTTATTTCTAGTTTGCTGATGATTTTTAATTGATATGTAACATTTGTACATCTGATATTCTGTTACATGCATAAAATATGTAATGATCCAGTCAGGGTATTTGGGGTGTTCATCACCCTGAGTATTTATCATTTCTATGTGCTGGGAACATTTCAGGTCTTCTCTTCTAGCTATTTTGAAATATACAATAAATTGTTATTAATCATAGTCACCCTACTCTGCTATTTAACATTAGAACTTATTCCTTCTAACTATGTGTTTGTACCCATTAACCAATCTCTCTCTATTTCCCTCCACACCCCCTGCCACTACCCACACACCCTTCCCAGCCTCTGGTATCTATCATTCTACTCTTTACCTTCATGAGAGCAACTGTTTTAGCTCCTACATATGAATAAGAACATGCGATGTTTGTCTTTATGTGCCTGACTTATTTCACTTAACATAATGACCTCCAGTTCCACTCATGTTATTGCAAATGACATGATTTTATTCTTTTTAAGGCTGAATAGTATTCCATTGTGTATATGTACCACATCTTCTTTATTCATTCATCCACTAATGGACATCTAAGTTGATTCTACGTCTTCGTTATTATGAATAGTGCTGCAATAAACACGGGAGTGCAGATATCCGTTTTATATGCTGATTTCCTCTCCTGTGGATAAATACCCAGTAGTGGGATTGCTGAATCATACAATAGTTCTCCTTTTAGTTTTTTGAGAAATCTCTGTACTGTTTTTCATAGTGGCTGTACTAATTTACATTCTCATCAACAGTGTTTGAGTTCCCTTTTCTTTGCATTCTTGGAGCATCTGTAAATTATTTTGTCTTTTTAATAATAGCCATCCTAATTGGGGTGAGATGCTTTCTCGTTTTAGTCTCGATTTGCATTTCCCTGATGATTAGTGATGTTGAACATTTTATCATAAACTTTCATAAACTCATTGCTGGCCATTTGTGTGCTTTCTTTTGAGAAATGTCTACTTATGTCTTTTGTCCCCTTTTTAATGGGATTTTCTTTCCCCACTGTTGAGTTGAGTTCCTTGTATAATCTGGATATTAGTCCCTTGTTGGATGAAAGGTTTGCAAATATTTTCTCCCGTTCAACTGGCTGTTTCTTCACTCTGTTGATTGTTTCCTTTGTTGTGCAGAAGTTTTTAGTTTAATGAAGTCCCATCATTCTATTGTCATTTTTGTTGCCTGTGCTTTTGAGGTCCTAGCCATAACATGTTTGCCTAGACTCAAGTCCTGAAGTGTTTCCCCTACGTTTTCTTCTAATCATTTTATAGTTTCGAGTCTTACATTTAAGTCTTTAATCCATTTTGAGTTGATTTTTGTATATGGTGAGAGAAAGGGGTCCAGTTTCATTCTTCTGCTTATGAATATCCAATTTTTACAGCACTGTTTATTGAAGAGTGTCCTTTCCCTGAGGTATGTTCATGGTGCTTTTAAAAAAGGTGTTTGTTTTTACCAAGTGTTTTTGCTGCACTACTGATATGATCATGTCTTTTTCTTCTTTATTGTATTAATGTGGTAAGATACATTGTTTTATTTGCAAACGTCAAACCAACCTTACATTCCTTGAAAACTCCAACTGGTTGTGATTTTTAAAATTATTGCTAGGCTATATTTTCTAATATTTTCTTTGAGGTTTTTGCATCAATGTTCATGAAAAAGCTTGGTTGATAATTTTCATTTCATTTGATGTCCACAGATTTTGATATTCAAGTTTTCTCCTCATTTAATGAGTGGAATGCAGTCTTTCTTTTTATATTTTCTGGGAAATTTATGTAATATTTTTGTTATTTCTTTCATAAACATTTATAGGAATTCACAGGTAGAGCCATCTAGGCCTAGGATTCCTTTGTTAGCAGGATTTAAATTCCATATTTGATTATCTATCTTTTTGTGTCCCTGATTATTTTATATAAATGCCAGATGAGTATGTATGCTATATATAACTGTTGTGTGAAGGAGTTACATATACAAAGTGACTCTCAAATGTGGAAAGATCCAAGAAACCAAAGAACTAAGCAGACAAATCTAGTTTGTCGATGGAGGGCAATTTATTAGGGAACTTATGGATGGAAGCATGGTCTCAAGCAGCTGCAAGACAGGTAGATTTCCACACTATTACTTCCTAGACTCAGGGCTTACATACCATAGGGAAAGGGGTATGCGCTCTACAGAAACAATTGAAGGCAACCCTCTAGAACAGGCAAGGATGCTGTGTGCGTCATGGCCTATAATCTTGGTGACCACATCAAGGGTGCTTGGATCTAAAGGCAGGATTTATGTTGAGTACATGTTCTCACACTAAGAACAGCAAATAAAGTAGGAACCAGGAGGCATTCACGGGACTGGAACTAATCAGAAGTCAACATGGCAGATTAGCATCCAAGATGGAGTCACTTTTGTCTCCACAATAATTGTAGTTAATTTGAATCTCTGTGTGATGTTATCTTCCTCAAGAGAGGATTTACTATTGTTTCTCACAGAAGGGTGGGTCCTTTAATCTAATCAGAGAGTGAGATGACTTGAACCTGGGCCTCATTCTTTGGGAGGATACTCTATTTCTGGCACCCCTGTCTCTAGGGTTTACCCCTTCCAAGGTCCAAACTGGAAGCTTGGGTATCTATTAGGGTCCCTTGTTTTTGCTGAAAGAAAATAGCCTTCTTTGCTTTTCCCGCCAGTTCCTTGGAATTGTTTCAAGTTACACTTAGTTTCTCAGCGGCTGCTGTCTGTCCTGACTGTGTGCTTCTCAGTCTATGTTGTCTGAGTGGCAAATGTCTCCAGGAGAAAAAGTCAGATCACATGTTGGGCTGACTTCCCTGGGTTTCCCATCTCTCTGGGATCTTCACAGTGATATTTATTTTATTATCTCTAGCTTTTCTAGTTATTAACAATGAGGAGGTTGGCCTGAAACAAGTTAATTCCACCAAAGTCAGAAGTAAACATTACACATTATCCTTGAATGAAAGCATAAAGGAAAGGTGGCTTTTAAAAAGTAAGTACTCCTGTTATTAATACTTATCAGTGCAAGTCCAACAGTCTTAGGGAAAGACAATTAAATAAACTTTGAGTTTTGAAATTTTAATTTGCACTTTGGGTAATGCATATTCTAAACTGAGAAAAGTAATATCCATTAGTAGAATGTGTTTATCCAAGAATAGAGACTCCTCGTTCTTTCTAGCAGGATAAGTAGTGATTGCTGAACTTTGAACTGGGTAATAACAAGTTGATACTAAGTATTGTACTTATTATTTACTCTTTACTCTTGTGCACTTTCATTTCTCAAATTGTACCATGGAACAGTTGGAGCACAAGTCGAAACAAATCTAAAAATATTCTTGTGAAAAATGAATCATACACCAGCTGGTTGCTATGTTTTTGTTGACAGGAACCTGAGGACATGTATTGTGGCTTTATTTTCTAAATAATGATGTGCTCTTTTTTTCAATATAAAAATAACACCACCAGACAGCAACTTTAAAGCATGGACTTTAGGCTGTTTTTAGCAGTACTGATAGGTTTACCTTTACCCACTTGCCCTCACCTTTCCCATCTGATAGAGTCCTGCCCATATCTTGCATTTATGGGATGAGTCCTCAGGTTATATATCGAGTCTACTCCCTTAACTAGAAATCTTAGACTCCTAAACATAGCGTTTTCTCTACTGAGCTAATAGGCCCAGCTCGAGTAAAACCAGGTGCTTAATGTCATTAGTAAAGACTGAAATCTTATTAAGATAAATTATTTATGATGGGTGATGCAAAGATTCAATTCAAAGTGGTATAAACTATCAACATACAGGAGCCTGAGTTACTTTTTGTGCACTTATAATTTCCTTAACAGAATGAACTTCAGTGAAAGGGGGGAAAATAAACTTAATTTATATTCTGGGGGAATTAAACACATTGATCTTTAACTAGTATAAGCCCAACAATTGTTTAAAGGGAGAAAAAATCATGCTGCATGTAGCTCTTATTCAACTGTCATAAACAAATTAATGATCAGTGGTGATTCCAAAAGTAAATGTGAACCAGGCACGGTGGCTCACCTCTGTAATCCCAGCACTTGGGGAGGCCGAGGCAGGTGGATCACCCGAGGTAACGAGCTCCAGACCAGCCTGGCCAACATGGCAAAACCCCGTCTCTACTAAAAATAAAAAAAATCAGCCAGGCATGGTGGCAGGCTTCTGTAGTCCCAGCTACTACTCAGAAGGCTGAGGCATGAAAATTGCTTGAACCCAGGAGGCAGAGGTTGCAGTGAGCTGAGATTGTGCCACTGCACTGCAGCCTGGGTGACAGAGCAAGACTCCATCTAAAAAAAAAAAAAGAAAAAAAAAAAAGCAATTGTACATTAAATATAATGCTGTTTAAATTTTGAGCCCTTCTGAATTATGTAAAGTGTTTGTTTAATAAAAGTGAAGTACCCTTTAAAACTGTGCTCTCCGATACAGTGGCCAATTGTCATCTGAGTGACTTTGAGCACTTATAATGCAAAGAATGTGCATTGAGGTGGGCTGTAGGTGTAAACCTCATACCTGATTGTTATTCACCTGAGTGAATAACAAAAACAGGAATATAAAATATCTCATTAACTATTTTAAATATTTATATGTTGAGGTGATGTTGCTTGTACATTAAATTAAATGCAAAATATTATTAAATTTAATTCTACCTGTATTTCTTTTTACTTTTTAATGTGGTGACTAGACAATTTTTAGTTTCATATGTGGTTTACATTATATTTCTATTGGTCAGAACTGCTTGAGAAGCTCAAAAATGTTGGACAACATTTAGGAATGTAAGAGTAAATCTCTCCACATCCAGTATTATTATGAAAAGTGGAATATTTCTAAACACAGATGCTCCCTTCCTGCAGAGGGGCTGCAGACACCCTAACTCCAGCCCACAGAGACCTACTGCGGCTCCTCACCTTCAGAACTGTCGGATAATGAATCTGGGTTATTTTAAGCTACTGAGCTTGCAAAAATTTGTGACAACAGCTAGAGGAAACTCATACAAACACAGAGGATGAAACTGAGACTCTAAGAATTAAGAAACTTAACCAAATCACAGGTGTTTGAGGAGCGTCTGTGGTCAGACCTAGGGCTTCTAATTCCCAGTGTAGTGATATTGATCTCACACCACTGATGCAGTGAAAGTAATAAACCGAGAGACCGCTATAAACTGAGGTCACAGCTGTCCCTTCTTCTCAATGCACTGAAGAAAGCCTCCTTAGAGAAAAAGCAATCAAATATTAGATCAGTAAATTGCTTTTGAAATTTAAGATGTTATGGTCTCCTTTAAAAGTATTCTTGTAATAAGACACTTAGGAAACGTGTCTTTCCTTTAGTCAGTGGGTGGGAGGAGAGTGAAGTTTGAAACAGACTGTAAAAGAGATGAATTTTAATATTAATCATTTATGCACTCATGACTATGAGCTCAGAAATGAAGGTTATTTGGGGAAATATCCTTGAAGAATTGGTGCAAAGATTGCTGGAAACCATCGCGGACATCATTATGCGGAATTCGTGCCACATTCTTTTAACTCTTCATGAAGCAGAGAAAAATGCCTGATTCTCAGCCCTCACAGGGTTTATGGCTCAGTCAGTTACAGTGTTGCAGGAATGGGGCCACTGTGGAGGAATCGCAGAGTACTCTGTGGTTCTAGGTCACAAACTCACTCCCACATTCTGGGAACCTACTTGACAATGGCAAGCTGGTAGTCAAAAGCCAGGTTGAGGGCAGCTTTTCTTCTTCCCAGCTCTCTCCTTTTCCTGTCCTTGCGGGTCCTTCTGTTCTTCCCTCCTGCCTCTGGCCCTTCTCTCCTGCATCCCATCCGTTAGGCCATCCCATCTGTTCCCCTGGCCAGTTTTCTCCTGATATCGCTGGAAGTTCCTGCTGGCCTTTGTGACAGGGTCAACTTACCCAGGACTCTACAGGTCCTAGTCTCCACCCACCTTCTCTTCTGTCGCATTCGTCAGCTCAGTAACGCTTCCCAGGTGATCAGTCGCTCAGGTCAGACACCGGGGCCCTCGCCTCTGCCCTGTCACCTAGCCACTGGCCTTGTCCCTTCCAGGCCCTTCCCCAGGGATCCTTGAGGGGCCCTCGGCTCGGCATGCCTGTCCAGCCCTGCAATGTGACACTCTCTTTTTGGTCCATGCCCACCTCCTGCCCTGCCTCTGTCGTCCTGCTTTCCTGCTTGGAAGATTTATTCTTGCTTCAGGGCCCTTGCTCATGCCTGTACCTTTTACTAAGAATGACTTTCCTTCAAGTATAGGACCTGGCAAGGAACTTCCCACTGATCTTTAAGACTCATTGCAAGCTTTATGTTTCCTAGAAAGCTGGCCCTGACCTACAGCCCTCCCACTGAGGGAACTGAGGCCCCTGCCACTGGGTGTTGGCACTGCCTCTGCAGACACCTACTGATGCCTGTGGCCTGGGCCGATGCTGGCCACACTGCCTCCACTCTGCTGAGTGCTCGCCTCTGCACAGAGTCTCTGCTACACTTCATGGCTAGAACATGTGTCTCCTTATAGCCGGATCGCGTCTCAGCCTCATGCCTCTGGGGACTGACGCACCTGTTAGGTGGGAGCTGCTCAGTGGAAGATGAGCAAAATCATCCCAGTCACATGTCAAGAGATTCGTCACTAAAAGAACAGATCATGTAGGCATGAATGTTTGGAATATTTATCTCATCATTACATTTCTGTAGAAATACAGGAGCACGTGAATAGCATACTTTTTTTGTTTTACAGAGAACTATTGCTTTCTTTAAAATGGCAAAACAGGCTGGGCGTGGTGGCTCACTCCTTTAATTCCAGGACTTTGGGAGGCTGAGGCGGGCGGATCACCTGAGGCCAGGAGTTCAAGACCAGCCTGGCCAACATTGTGAAACCCTGTCTATACGAAAAATAAAAAAATTAGCTGTGTGTGGTGGCTCATGTCTGTAGTTCCAGCTCTTCGGGAGGCTAAAGCATGAGAATCGCTTGAACCCAGGAGGCAGAGGCTGCAGTGAGCTGAGATCATGCCACTGCACTCCAGCCTAGGCGATAAAGTGAGACTTGATCTCAAATAATAACAATAATAAATACATACAATAAGATAAAATAAAATGGCAAAACAGAGTTGAAGAGAAAAATGACAAAAACTGGATTGCTAATCATTTTACATAAAGTCATCCAGCAGGGAAATATTTCAGGAAGGTATTTTTCTTTTTCTTTTTAACTTCTAAAAAGCTTATTATGGAAAAGTGCAAAGATACACAAAAGAAGAGAGAATAGAGTGTAATGAAGCCCTATGTAACCACCACCTTGTTGCAACAATTGCCAACAGCTTGCTGATTTTATTTTATTTTATTTTTATTTTATTTTATTTTATTTTATTTTATTTTATTTTATTTTATTTTATTTTATTTTATTTTATTTTATATTTTATTTTTTGAGATGGAGTCTCACTGTGTCACCCAGGCTGGAGTGCAGTGGCGCGATCTCGGCTCATTGCAAGCTCCACTGCCTAGGTTCACGCCATTCTCCTGCCTCAGCCTCCCGAGTAGCTGGGACTACAGGTGCCTGCCACCATATCCGGCTAATTTATTGCATTTTTAGTAGAGACGGGGTTTCACTGTGTTAGCCAGGATGGTCTTGATCTCCTGACCTCGTGATCAGCCTGCCTCAGCCTCCCAAAGTGCTGGGATTACAGGCGTGAGCCACCACGCCCAGCCAGCTTGCTGATTTTAATGCATTTATCTTCACACATTTTCTTTCCTGGAGTGTTTTTTAAAAATCTAAAGACAAGCAAATCCTAGACAGTATATCATTTCACCTGTCACTATTTCAAGATATACTATTATTAAATATGGACCTTTTTCTTAACATAATTACCTTTGTCACTGCTCCCAAATCAACAATAATTCCTTGGTGTCATATAGTACTGTCCATACGTATGGTCCATGTTCAACCTCTCCTGATTGTGTCCAATATATCTGCTAAGAGTTGGTTTGTTTCATTTGGGATAAAAATAAGTCTACACATTGCATTTGGTTGATTTCTCTCTAAAAGTATTTTTAAAAATATTCATTTTAAAATAATTTCAGACTTACAGAAAAGTTGCAAGGATGGCACAAAGAATACTTGGATCCCTTTCACCTAGATTCATGAATTATTAAACATTTTGCTACATTTGCTTTACCATTCTCTGTGTTTGTCCTATTTTTCTGAATCTTCTGAGATAAGTTGTCCTTTAATGTCTAAATACTTTTGTATATTTCCAAAGAATAACTAACTACAGAATAGATATAATCCTACATTTTACCATCATACAATGACATAATTTAATCCACAGCTCATATTCAAATTCGGTAAAATGTCCCAATAATGTCCTTTATAGTGATTGTGTTTCCTAATCCAAGATCCAATCCAGAATTATGCATTGCATTTGCTGTCCTTTCTCTTTAATCTTCTTGGATCTGGAATAGTCTTCATGCTTTTTGACCTTGACATTGTTTTCAAGTACAGGCCAGTTACATGGTAGAATATCCTGCAATTTGGATTTTTAGGATATATTTGAATAATTAGATTCAGGTTATATGTTTTTGGCAAGAACACTTCAGAAGCGATATGTGATCCTCTCAAAGTATCTTATCAGAAGGCACTTGATGCTAGTGTGTCCTAGTATCGGTGATGCGAGATCTGATTGCTTGGTGAACATGACATCTGCCAGTGTTTTCCAGCTCAAAGTTTTTATTTTTCACTTTAGAATTCATAAGTAATTTCTGGGGTGATACTATGAGACAGTGCCAATATCTGTTTCCTCATTAAACTTTCATCTACTAGTTGTAGCATGCACAGATGATTTTCTAACCACATTATGCCTTCAAGATTTATTAGTTGGCTTTCTGTTGTAAAGGCAAACTTACCCGTCTCCATTGTCTCTTTCTGTCTATGTGCACCTTTCCATTCGTATTTTGTTCGGTGGATTATCACCCACTGTGCTTACCACTCATCTGCCCTGATCTGGCCAGTGGGATTCTCCTGTGTCTCATGCCATGTCCCCATCATCCCTTGAACACTCATACTTTCTGGCACAAGGAGATATTCCAGGATCATCTGTGCTTTCTGTGCTCCATCCCTGCATTTGGCCATTTCTCCAAGGAATCTTGGTGAAAGACCAAATTTTAACCACCACTTCTACAATAATGGATGGTGCATCTAATGTTTTTGAACTCATATTATTTTAAAGTTAAGCAAGAGATTCCACTTCACAACTAAACAAAACAATTTGAGCTGAGTTAAAAAATAAGCTTAAAAAACCCCTTCAGTTTAACATTATTTGTTAATTGATACTATATAAAATGTAAACCTTTTTTAAAACTCTGGATATAGGCTTAATATCATTTACAATATAAGTAATCCAGAGTGACCTTCAAAGCCTTTGAATTCCTGCTTCATTTTCTGAAATGGAATGGGCACTTAGTTGTCTGACTAAATTATTTACCAGCATCACTGAAAGGAACTGATGGACTGTCTCCCGTGGACTGTCTCACTCCAAGGCAGCATGACTGCCCCTTAAATTGAGATGGAAGCTCAAAAATCTTTTGTTTAGATTTCTACCTCTTGTTCTTTGGAAGCTCTCTCCCATGTATCCCTCAATAGAAGATGGAGTTCTGTTGTTCAGATTACACCATAGCAGTGCCTCATCAATTTAAGTGTTCATAGGAGTCACTTGGAGTGCTAATGAAAACTACAGATTCCTGGCTCCCCTTCATAAACATGCAAAGCTGGGGTGGGGCCTAGGGATCTGCATTTTAACAGACTCCATCTGGAGTCACTTGGGGAGAATGACTATCCTAGTGTCAGTTAGCTTGCTATGAATGATGGAGGACCTTTAGCCATGGAAGACGTGAAATAGTAATTTGCAGGTAGAAAGTCTGCATGTGGCTACTTGGAATTAGCTCATTTTATCTGCATCAGCAGCCACATCTGAATAGTCTAAAGAGAAAAGGACTTTTCACATGAAAAAAGCTAGAGATTTTCTACAACTTGATTTTAAAAGGGTGTGAAACTGTGTGGTTTGAGAATAGAGTGAAAACATTTATCACAATGACACTGATATCAGAATGCAGAATGAATTGTAGTGACATCAATGTTCTCAAACGAAAAGTTTGGTAAATATCAAAAGGAGATGAAGAGAAGACAGCTCCAGAACTCTGTTCAGCAAACTGAAAAAGGTAAGCTCTTTTCACTGCGTTGCTTGCTTCAGTTTTCAACTACTGGTCTCTGTCTGAGATCTGAGATGAAGTGCACATTGGAGAGGATTCTGAGGATTTGGGTTTTTTTTTTTTTTTTGGTGGAAAAATAATATGTGGTATAAAACATAGTGGAGGAAAGTGAGTCATTAAAACTGAAATGTTTAAGAACTACTAGATTACATAGGAGTATTAATTATAAAATTCTTCCTCCAGCATCCTGCAATCTACCTTTGGAAAGTCCTGGTGTCCCCTGTCCTACAACCACAGTGCAAGAGTTAATATGGTTGTGGTGAGCCACTAATGTGCTCACCAGAATGTCCCTGCCTTTCTGGCACATGGTAGGATTGTACTTTCCTGTCCTCTTGGTGTTAGTGGTGGCCACGTAACTCGCTTTGGCAAATGCTAAAGTATGAGTTGAATTGACAGGTGCCAATTCCAGGCAGACCTTTAAGAATCAGTGCATAATTTATCATGCTCACTTCCTCTGCCATGGTAAATGGAAATGGTCCAGATGGTAGTAGCTGATCTATTAGTCAGCCCTGGTGCAGGAGGAAGCTGTGGAGTAGAGGTCCCAGCCAACCCACAATGAGTGAGAAATGGGCCACACTGTTTTACATCACAGATTTGGGGGTTGTTTTCTACTGCACTTGACCTAGCACATCCTGAATGATTCAGTAATTAATGGCAATGGTTCATAACCTTTCCACAATGAGGACCTCTTTTTATTTCAATATCCATTGACTAAGAAATCATGTGTTGTGTGAAAGCTACTCTGAATGCAATAACATTTTAAAATACATTTTTATTTTGCTAACCATACATAATCTTTACATATGTTTGAAAATCCGTGAGTGGTAGACATCAGTGATACACAATTCTTGGTGGACATATAGACTTGGGAGCTCTTTGCAATGATTTCTTGGTTTCCCAGTGGTCAGGTAAAATAAGCTTCACCTTGGGAGACAAAAGTTAGAGGGTTTTAGAAATAGAACTCTGCCATTATATACTGTATGGTTTGGGGTTGGGTAATTTCCTTCCCTTATGGACTTCAATTGTCTTATATACAAAGCAATGATATGCCAGCCCTCCACTGCCTTTTATAGGGTGATTAAATGATAATGTGACAATAAGAAATTGTTTTAAAAGAGTACAAGAGACATTTTAAAGTTCATAGTATTATTTACTGTATCAAGTCTGTGTGTACTCAAATGTCATTTAATCCTTGTCTTTAAAAAATGTAGGAAGCAGGTGGTTTAATGGAAATGTTATAGACTATCTGTTTGAGGACAATTGATTCAGGTTCATCTGTCCTTTAAAAATATTACCTCATAAATATAAAATAAATATCCAGACTTTTGAAATATAAGTAGATAAGCAAAGACTAAAAATCATTTCAAAAAATCAAGGAAGACATGACAAAATACAGGATGTGCTTCCAGAATTAAAGCAAAATAATCAAAACATAAACATAAGTGAATTCACTTATATGGGTGTGTATGTATATGTATACACATATAAACATCAAATTCACTTTCTCTTCTTTTCAGAGTATTGTTACTGAAATAGCAGGGGTTCTGTGTAAGTCCTGCTGCTCACTGCACAGAAAGCCAAGAACTAAGACATGTTTTGCCAGGGAAGAAGGCTTTAATTGGGTGCTGCAGCTGAGGAGATGGGAGATCATTCTGCAATCCATCTCCTCAACCCACTAAAATTAGGGATCTGTATAATGAGTAAGAAATGTAACCATGTGTGGAAAAATAGGAATTAGGGAGGGGCAAGAAAGAGGAGCTGGTCAACAGGAAGGAGGTGGTCTTATAGGCAATCATGAAGGGTGAGCGGTCTGACATCCCATTGTCCAGATGCAGTGATTGGTAAGTTTCAGTTTCTTGATAGTATTTGGGAAGGCTGATGGTTGGTTTCCTGAGAGAGGAAAGCTCAAATAAGACAAATGTACCTTTCTCAAGTTTTAAGACTGGGAAGGTCAGTTTCTATGTTTATTCAAAAAAAACCATAAATATCAGTTGACATCAGTTCTATGGGACAATTGGGCCAGTTTCGGTATTTTCGTATATATATATGTGTGTATCATTCACACACACAAACACACGTACACAGGGTTGACCCTTTGTATCTGCAGATTCCGCATCCATAGATTTAGCCAACTGCAAATCAAAAATATTTTTAAAAAACAATAAAAAATAATACATATTAAAAAACCAATACAGTGTAACAACTGTTTACATAGCATTTACATTATATTATTAGATATCATAAGTAATCTAGAGATGCTTAAAGTATCAGAGGATGTGCAAAGTATCAAAGGATATGCATAGATTATATGCAAATACTATGTCATTTTACAACAGGGACTTGAACATCTGTAGATTTTGTTACCCATGGGGGTTCCTGGAACCAATCCCCCACGAATAGTGAGGGAGGGCTATCTATATTTTTTGATATATGTAACAGATATATATTTTTTTCTGATACATATATATTTCTGATATATATTTTCTGGTATATATATTTTATATGTGTGTGGATACACACATCGAATTCACTTTCTCTTTTCATTGCTTGGAAAAGAAAAGAAAGTGAATTTTGATAGCAGTTGATTAAATAAATTTTAAAGGCAAAAATTTAGGATTTGAGCTTTACATTTTTACAATGGAAATTGTAAATTGGAAATGTTAACACATTAACACAATGTAAGAAATTAAACTAAATTAAATTTCTACAGGGAGAAATGATCTAGGAAAAGCCAACTTTCCCTAGAGCACATTTGGAATTTTAAGTTCTTGGGACTTTCAGTCCTCGACACCCTGAGGCTGCAGCAGAGCACGGCCAAGACGCTGTGCAGAGCTCAGGTTGCTGGGGAAGGCCTGGCCCCTTCTGACCACATTCCCCATCCTTTTTCTTTCAAGAAGCTTATCTGTCCTGCGTCCTAAGTCTTAGGGACTTGCTGACGACAACATGATAAGCTCAGCGTGCAGTTGACATTTCATCACATTTCGTCCAACCCACACCTGGACACACACTAGGTAGTGTGTGGGAATTAGTGAGAAAAACAAAAGGTGAGTGAAAAGCCAAAGCTCAAAATTTGGAGAACAGGGCTGAGAAAAGCAAGGGTCTCTCACCCATGTTCTCCAGGCCTGCACCCCATGTTCAGCTGTGTCCAGCTGTGTCCAGCTGTTCTGCTCTCTGGTTCAGCGTTCAGTGAGCCCCCAGGACTCCCGCTTTCTCTCTCAGTGCAGCAATAAAACCAAGAGTGCAAATGGCCTGACACGAGGTCCCCTTATGATGTTTTCCCAGAGCTAAGCTCTAATAGGTGTGAGTGGCTGCCACCCAAATTGCAAATACTTTTTGGGAAGTCTGCACCTCAGATATTTTGGCTGAAGAAACGCATTGATTCCTGGACCCAGTCCCTTTCGGCATGCTGATTTGGGTTGACCTGAGGGTGGATGGGATTATCTAACATGGGCCATATGTTTATTCTTTAGTGTAACCTTTTGGGGTCACAAAAATAATCCTTTGTATCTAGGAGGCATCGTTCCCTCGCTACTCTTGCAGAGCTTCCCCCTTAATCCCTCAGTAATCCCCAAGAGGCAGTTAGCTCACCCACTGTCCTCATTTCCACCCCAAAAATAGGAATTTTACTTCTCTCTAAGGATGGCATTTCTATTTCCAGCCCCTGGGACACGCACAGCCAACAGATGGCCCTGCCAGGTACATGATGTGTACAGGAGGCTTCCTACTCACCTCTGCCCCGGGGGTGAACCGACTGCTTCTCTCAAATACAAACACCATGTGGCAAGGATCACTAAAGTGTCAGCCTTGACTTTGTCAAAATAAAAGTGTCTTTTATTTTATTTTTTTGAGACAGAGTCTCGCTCTGTCGCCCAGGCTGGGGTGCAGTGGCAGGATCTCGGCCCCCTGCAACCTTCACCTCCTTGGTTCAAATGATTCTCCAGCCTCAGCCTCCTGAGTAGCTGGGATTACAGGTGTGTGCCACCACGCCCGGCTAATATTTGTATTTTTTTGTAGAGACGGGGTTTCACCGTGTTGGCCAGGCTGGTCTTGAACTCCTGACCTCAGGTGATCCACCCACCTCGGCCTCCCAAAGTGCTGGGATTACATCGTGAGCCACCGCACCCAACATAAGAATGGTTTTTACCTTTTAAAG
Organism: Homo sapiens; assembly: GCF_000001405.40. Lineage (NCBI taxonomy): Eukaryota > Metazoa > Chordata > Mammalia > Primates > Hominidae > Homo > Homo sapiens. The sequence goes on from NC_000002.12 coordinate 106,367,637, forward strand.
GGTTGTAGGAAATAACAAAGATTATGTGATAGAGTCAGTATGTGGACAGCAAACTGCACTATTTAGTCTTTGATCTTTTACAGCAAAAGTTCAAATTTTATGTTGTTACTAATTGCAGACAACCCGAATAAACATACTACGGCCTGGGATTAAATGGCATGCAGCCTTTTTTTTTTTTTTTTTTTAAGTACAATTTCCATTTTATTTTTTCTCTGGAGAATAGTCTGTCTTCAATCTTTTTATTTTCATTTTGTTTTTTTTGAGACGGAGTCTCGCTTTGTTACCCAGGCTGCAGTGCAATGGCACGATCTCGGCTCACTGCAGCCTCCGCCTCCCAGGTTCAAGCGATTCTCCTGTCTCAGCCTCCCTAGTAGCTGGGATTAGGGGTGTGCCATCACGCCCAGCTAATTTTTTGTATTTTAGTAGAGATGGGGTTTCACCCTGTTGCCCAGGCTGATCTCGAACTCCTGAGCTCAGGCAATCCACCCACCTCGGCCTCCCAAAGTGCTAGGATTACAGACATGAGCCACCACGCCTGGCCTTGTCTTCAGTGTTGAAGGACTCAGCTCCTTACATGGGCTTTGGTGGGGGTTGTGGGGCAGCACTCCTCGAAGGTCTAAATCGGGGTGGGTGTGTTTGGTCCTTGTGGGCTTTACAAGGTGGATTCCTGACGACTTTTCTGTGAATTGCACATCTCACACAGTAATTTAGCTTCCCATACAGCTTGGGAAGCACATAGGCATTGAAGACACTCGCTTCACAAATGTCCCTGACTGCTGCAGCCTCCACCACATTTCGAATGATGAATTAATTTCTTTTTTTTTTTTTTTTTTTGAGACAGAGTCTCACTCTGTTGCCCAGGCTGGAGTGCAGTGGCGGGATCTGGACTCACTGCAAGCTCCACCTCCCAGGTTCACACCATTCTCCTCCCTCAGCCTCCCGAGTAGCTGGGACTACAGGGGCCCGCCACCACGACCCGCTAATTTTTTTTATTTTAGTAGAGACGGGGTTTCACTGTGTTAGTCAGGATGGTCTCGATCTCCTGACCTCGTGATCCGCCTGCCTCAGCCTCCCAAAGTGCTGGGATTACAGGCCTTAGCTACCGTGCCCAGCCTCGAATGATGAATTTCTTAATGGCCTTGTCCTTGGGCACACGTCGGGCACAGTTTGTGCAACGAATAGGCTGCATGTGGCTGTGCCCCTTTTAGGCACGATTGTTGTTCCTTCTTTTCTTTGTCATCTTGGAGGCACGGACTGGAGGGAGGAGTGCAGCCATTATTGATCATATTTTTGAATAATATTTAGTGAACTAGAAGTTGCTTATTTGTAATGTCAAGTAGGATACAAAACTTTAACACAGTATGATTATAATTTTGTAAAAATGTATAAAGTGTGTATGTATGTATGAAAAACCCAAAAATTCTCTAATGTATTAATAGTAGATAGTTTGAGATGGTGGCATGATTTTTATTTATAAAGTATTTCTTATGATTATAAAATCATTTAAAAATTTTTCAATATTTTAGCTGAGTGGGAAACATTTCCTGTCAAATAAGGATATGGAGACCAGTCCATGGTACTTTAGATTAAAAGCTGAACTCACTGGGAAAAACCTTATTTTGCATGTGTAACTAGTAAAGCAGAAACAACAGTGTACTGTTCGGCACTGTCTGAATAGTAATTATAGAGTACAGCTTTCATACAGAAGAACAGAACCAATAAGGAAGTCAAACTTGGCAGAATAGTTGAGTGCAATTTATAAATAAGTCAGTTGAAGAAATCATCGACCTTTTACCTGTGGCTGATTCGTGTAATGGTGAGAGTCAGCACAAATGTTAACATTTAGCAACAGCATGTATGTGAAGCTAAAACTTGTAATGCTCTCATCTTTAATGTATTTTAAGGAAGTTGATGCCTAAAGTAAATTTATTAAAAATTCAGAGTTAATTATTTAAGATAGTAATAGATTTTGTGCTCTCTTTGGCTGGGTTGTTCTTTATCTTTAACAATTTTAAGAGCTCCGTTCATAAATATCAGTCTTGTAAAGCCCATTGTTCTATACCTGATTTTTCTATTTTATTTTTAAGGTCTTTTTGGTTCATCACGGGTACAATATGTTGTAGATCATGCAATGAAAATTGTTTTCCTCAATACTGACCCCTCTATTGTAACGACTTATGATGCTGTTCAAAATGTGCATTCTGTGTGGACTCTCCGGAGAGTCAAATCAGAGGTAAGGAGAAAGGCAAGTCACTTCTCCTTAATAGGAAAGGGTAGGCTGGGTGCACTGGCTCACACCTGTAATCCTAGCACTTTGGGAGGCCAAGGCAGGCGGATCACTTGAGGTCAGGACGTTCAAGACCAGCCTGGCCAACGTGGTGAAACCCCATCTATACCAAAAGTATAAAAAATTAGCCAGGTGTGGTGGCTTCTGTAATCCTATCTACTCGGGAGGCTGAGGCAGGAGAATCACTTGAACCTGGAAGGTGTAGGTTGCAATGAGCCAAGATCGTGCCACTGTACTCCAGCCTGGGTGACAGAATGAGACTCCATCTCAAAAAAAAAAAAATGTGTGTGTGTGTATGTATATATATATATATGTATGTATATATGTGTATATATATATGTATGTATATATGTATATATGTGTGTATATATATGTATGTATATATATGTATATATGTGTATATATGTATGTATATATGTATATAGGTATGTATATATGTATGTATATGTGTGTGTGTGTGTGTGTATATATATATATATATATATATATATGAAAGAGTAGTTAATACTTCATACCCTCACATTTTTTTTTTTGGAAGAATCACTTGTGAATAGTTGTTTTATTATTATCATCATCATCATCATCTCTAGAGACAGGGCCTCACTCTGTCACCCAGGCTGAAGTATAATGGCACAATTACAGTTCACTGCAGCCTTGAACTCCTGGGCTCAAGTGATCCTCCTGCCTCAGCCTTCCGAGTAGCTAGGACTACAAGTGTGTACCACCACTCCCAGCTAATTTTTAATTTTTTGTAGAGATGGGATCTTGCTATGTTGCCCAGGCTGGTCTTGAATTCCTTGGCTCAAGCTATCCTCTCTCTTCACCCTCCCAAAGTGCTGGGATTATAGATGTAAGCCATGGCACCTGGCCTCATTTGAGAAATAGATTGAGCTTCTTAGGAAAGAAGAAATACTGTGTCTTTAGTAACTGACTTCAACTTGCATTCTTACAAGGAAATTGCTATTTTATTCTAATTATTGTTTTTTTTTCCTCTTTCTTTTTATTTTGACTTAAGGAAGAGAATGTTGTTTTAAAGTTCTCTGAACAGGGGGGAACCCCACAGAATGTGGCCACTAGCAGCTCCCTCACAGCACATCTCAGAAGCCTCTCCAAAGGAGATTCCCCTGTGATTTCACCTTTCCGGAATTACTCCTCCATTCACAGCCAGAGTCGCTCAACCTCATCACCCAGTCTACATTCTCGCTCACCTTCTATTTCCAACATGGCAGCTCTAAGGTAGAAGGGTTTCCTGGTTTTTCTTTCTAAGCTTTCTGTTTTGTTTTGAAGGATTTAGAATTGCTGTTGACAGCTGTTTTTAGGGGAAATATATTTAGGGGAGTTTTTTTTAGGGGAAATAGCCATTATCCCAATTGAGACTTTTTTTTTTTTTTTTTTTTTGAGACGGAGTCTTGCTGTGTCACCCAGGCTGGAGTGCAGTGGCACAATCTTGGCTCACTGCAAACTCCGCCTCCCGGGTTCACGCCATTCTCCTGCCTCAGCCTCCAGCTGGGACTACAGGCGCCTGCCACCACGCCTGGCTAATTTTTTTTTTTTTTTTGTATTTTTAGTAGAGATGGGGTTTCACCGTGTTAGCCAGGATGGTCTCCATCTCCTGACCTTGTGATCCGCCCACCTCGGCCTCCCAAAGTGTGGGGATTACAGGCGTGAGCCACCGTGCTCAGCCCTGAGCCACTTTTACTAAGATTTCTAAGTTTACCATGTCACATTCTTTCCTGAGTCATATTTTGAAGCTGCCTATGCTTGTCCTAAGGTTAGTTGCCTCATTTCTACCACTATGTGGGCAACGGTTTGATGAATATTAATTCCCAAAATATTGTGGCACTATTTTATTTTTGCCTTAATTTATGTTAGTTTTTCTTTTTTTTCTTGTTATTTGATATCTAAATGTATCTATTTCTCTATATAGATATATACTTAAATCACCAGATATGTATATCTGGTGCTGCAGGGACATTGTTTTGTTGATATATATATATGTCTGACTATACAGGGACATAGTTTAGAGCTTTTTGAATAATCAGTTCATTTTCCGAAAAAGAAGATGATCTAAGTTTTAGTTGTAAAAGATGAGTTCTTCTAACAATAATTCTAAATCTTTAGAATATAGTAAAGCACATTGACATGAAGCATTTAAATAGCTACTCCTTTTTGAAAAATTTTAATTTCTGACCTGGATTATGCCATGAATGCTCTTCTGTCTGTGGAATTTTGGGAAGTGTCATTGGAGTGTGTGTCATATAAGCCTGCCCTGCTAACTGCGATGTACTCTCTCCTCTGTTTATTTTGCAGTCGTGCTCATTCTCCTGCGTTAGGAGTGCACTCTTTTTCAGGGGTGCAAAGGTTCAACATTTCAAGCCATAATCAGTCTCCAAAGAGACATAGTATTTCTCATTCTCCAAATAGTAATTCTAATGACTCCTTTCTTGCACCAGAAACGGAGCCAATTGTTCCTGAACTGTGTATTGACCATTTGTGGACAGAAATGATTACTAATATAAGGTTTGTTATATATATTATTATATTCAAAGAAAAATGTTGCTGAAAGTCTTGGGAAATATATGGCATTTTGTTTAAAGTTTCCTTTTAATGTGATCAGTTATTAATATATGTAAAAATATATAGAGATATGTATTAAGGCCACCTCAGTTTCAGTAGAGGATATTAATGAGATTAAAGTGATCATAGGCTGGACGCGGTGGTTCATGCCTGTAATCCCAGCACTTTGGGAGGCTGAAGCTGGTAGATCACTTGAGCCTAGGGGTTCGAGACCAGCCTGGCCAACATTGTGAAACCCCGTCTCTACTAAAAATACAAAAATTAACTGGGTGTGGTGGTGCATACTTGTAATCCCAGCTACTCAGGTGGCTGAGGCAGAATTGCTTGAACCCAGGAGGCTGAGCTTGCAGTGAGCTGAGATCGTGCCACTGCACTCCAGCCTGGGTGACAGAGTGAGACTATCTCAAAAAAAAAAAGTCGTCATAAAAATATTATTTTGTCATCTGATATTTCTTCCTTTATAGTAATAATCTCTCATTTTTCGGGTGTTTTTTGTTCTGGGGAGAAACAGTTAATTTCCATCCGTGAGGAAATGTGGGGTTTTAGCACGTTTCCTAAGTTTTATGTTCATGTTAGTTGAGTGCCAGCTTTACTTTTTGGGAAACATAGCTTAGATCTCTGTTCTGGGTGACCTTTCTTCTTTTATATTCTCTTTAATAATTCACGTGTTAATTTATATGCCAATGTGTGTGCTAGTTAACAGTCTAATAAGTCACTGTCCCTGTCCTCAAAAGAGGCAGATAGCTGAAGGATGGTGACACAGGAGGGACTACTTTTGCTGGTAGGGCTTTGAAAGACGAATAGGTATTCGCTAGGCAGGGAAGTTGAGAAAGACCACAGACGGCAGCTGGGATCAGAACAAAAGTTCTGGTGAGTGCGTGGTGTATTTAGGGAATTATAAGTACTCCCACTCTGGTTTTTGCAGAGGGGAGGGAAAAGGCTAATGAAGAGGAGGCTTCCTAGGTGCAGTGGCTCACACCTGTAATCACTCACTTTGGGAGGCTGAGGCAGATGGATCACTTGAGCTCAGGAGTTCAAGACCAACCTGCCCAACGTGGTGAAACCCCATGTCTACTACAAATACAAAAATTAGCCAGGCATGATGGCGTGCATCTGTGGTCCCAGCTACTCTGGAGGCTGAGGTGAGAGAGTCATTTGAACCTGGGAGTTGGAGGTTGCAGTGAGCCAAGAGCACACCACTGTACTCCAGCTTGGGCAACAGAGTGAGACTGTCTCAAAAAAAAAAAAAAAAAAAGGAGGCTTGAGCGATTACTGATTGCCCTTTAGGCCTCTGGTCTGTTTGATGACAGCGGTAAGAAGGCACTTTATAAGTGTGTTGGAAGTTTGGGAAAGAGCAGAACAATAAATGTGGAATTGTCAGCTTATAAGTGGTGATTGAGGTAAGAGAATTAGATTAGAATTGAAGAAATATTGTATTCAATAATTGTGTGTACATGTAGCATATAAGCCTTTTCCCAAGGAGAGGGTTTTAACATTCCTTAGATTCTCAAAGGGATTTGTGGCCTCCAAATAGTTAAAATCCAGTGGTGTAGAATGAGAAGAGGGCTAGGAACTGAAGTCCTGGAAACTTAAGATTTGGGGAATGGAAAGAGACAAAGCTGGCGCAGAGAGACAAAGCAAAAGAGGTCAGATGGGAGAAGCAGCAGGAAATACAGAATACAAAAAAGAACATTTCAAGAATACAGAGATGCCAGTATTGCCAGGTACTGGTGAAGTGTGGCCCTGAGAGTTGAACCCAGAGAGGAGGTACCTGGGTGGCAGTGGGTTCCTTGGTGACCTTGGCCAGAGCATTTTAAGCTGGGAGGGTGGCGGGGGAAAGTGGGGTAGAAAAAGTAAATGGGGACTGAGGAAATGAACATAGGCATACAGACTCTTTAAGGAGTTTGCCTTTGAATAGGAATGAAGATACAAAATTAGAGGGAGTCTTGGTCAAGGAGAGTTTTGTTTTTGCTGGACTATAATAAAATTAGTTTTCATGACATCTTGCCCCAGTATTTTCTTTTTCTTTTTTTTTTGAGACAGGGTCTCACTCTGTCACCCAGGTTGGAGTACAGTGAGTGACTCAATCACAGCTCACTGCAGCCTTGGCCTTCTGGGCTCAGGTGATTCCCCAACCTCAGCCTCCCAGGTAGCTGGGACTATAGGCACACACCGCCACGCCTGACTAATTTTTGTAGAGAAAGGATTTTGCCGTGATGCCCAGGCTGGTCTCAAACTCCTGGGCTCAAGCAACCTGCTTGCCTCTGCCTCCCAAAGTAATGGGATTACAGGTGTGAGCCACTGTGCCTGGCCCCCAATATTTTCTTACCTAACCACAATACAAGTTTTATATCCAGTCGAATTGAGAAGGTCTTTTATATACTCTAATGTTGAGTCCATTTTATATTAAGACTTTTAATGTGAAATAGTAGGCTATACGGACTATACTCAAGGGAAAGTATTGAAAATACAGAAGAGAGGAAACGATTGATGGAACAAGTAACCAGAAAGGTGCACAAGTGGTGAGATTAGCCTTGGGATAAAGAAGTGAAGGTTGATCGGATATGTAAGGCAGGAGGTTGAGCTCAAGCCTTAGAGCCTCGTTTTATCTGAAATGGAAGGCAAATGCATAATCTTAGAGAGAATGAAATGGGGATAGGTAGTCTGAAGAAAGTAAAGATGTGGATACAATGTTGAAGTAGTCTCTCTGGCTTGTTTCTCATATATCAAATAAAAGTATCCTACAATTATAGATCATTTTTCTTTAAATAACTTATTTGTAAGTTGAATATATTATAGATTCTTATTTTTTAGATTTATGGGTCTTCTGTAGCACTTTATTTATTTATTTATTTATTTATTTATTTATTTATTTATTTTTTGAGATAGAGTTTCGCTCTTGTTGCCCGGGCTGGAGTGCAATGGCCCGATCTCGGCTCACCGCAACCTCTGCCTCCCAGGTTCAATTGATTCTTCTGCCTCAGCCTCCTGAGTAGCTGGGATTACAGGATTACTGGCTAATTTTGTATTTTTGGTAGAGACAGTGTTTCTCCATGTTGGTCAGGCTGGTCTTGAACTCCTGACCTCAGGTGATCTGCCGGCCTCGGCCTCCCAAAGTGCTGGGATTACAGGCGTGAGCCACCACACCCGGCCTTCTGTAGCACTTTAGAAGGAAGGGTTTGGGAATTAGAGATACGATTTCAAAAAGAGATGTGAATGAGGCCTAATCTGAGAAGGAGAGGGGGTAGAGAGGAGAAATAGCATTATGAAAGATCTGGCCCTTTGCGGGATAGGAATTCAAGTTTGCATGCATCACTTTACAAGTAGGTGGCTTAGTTTGCATTACAAGTAGGGAGCTTACATAGTATGTAATTTAAAAGTTCATCAGTAATTGTTAAATTTATTGTAGCTTTCCCCAACAAAGCTGTGTAATGAGCTCATAATCAAAGAACTGAAAGGATCTTAGAGATCATGAAGTTTAATTCTTAGAAATGTTTGTGTCTTTGAGATTATTGCTTGACCTAAGTAGCTTTTAGATTTCTTGCAGAATATTTTCAAAGACTTTTTTTTTTCTCTCTCTCTCTCTTTTTGAGACGGAGTCTGGCTCTGTCGCCCAGGCTGGAGTGCACTGGCGCGATCTTGGCTTACTGCAAGCCCCTCCTCCTGGGTTCATGCCATTCTCCCGCCTCAGCCTCCAGAGTAGCTGTGACCACAGGCGCCCGCCATCATGCCTGGCTAATTTATTTTGTATTTTTAGTAGAGACGGGATTTCACCGTGTTAGCCAGGATAGTCTGGATCTCCTGACCTCGTGATCTGCCCGCCTCGGCCTCCCAAAGTGTTGGGATTACAGGTGTGAGCCACCGCGCCCGGCCTCAAAGACTTTTAATAGTTACTGTGGTAGATTCTTGGACCAGTGCTGACAGTTACTTTATTAATGTATCTATTATAGAGAGAAAAATTCACAAGCCTCAAAAGTGTTTATTACATCTGACCTATGTGGGCAAAATTCCTGTGCTTTTTAGTAGAGTCCCAGCTCCACTTACGGTAGGTGGATGTATTTCCCATTGTTTCTGTATAAATAACTCAGCACTGCTTTTTCTTTTTCTTTTCTTTCCTTTTTTTTGGCTTAAGTAGTTTTATTTAGAAATAATTTACATGTCATAAAATTAACATGTTTTAACTGTACAATTAAATGATTTTTAGTAAATTACAGTGTTCTACAACCATCACCATGACCCAATTTTACAAGATTTATATCACCATAAAAAGATTTCCTTGTGCTTGTTAGTAGTCAGTCTTGTTCCCATTTCCAGCCTCAGGCAACCATGCTAGGCTTCTGCCTTTATAGATTAGTTTTTCTGGACATTTATATATATATAATGTATGTACACACAGTGTAGCTTTTTGTGTTTAGCTTTCACTTAGCGTGATGTTTTTAGGATCCACCATTTTGTAACATGTATCATTATTTCATACCTATTGCTATGTAATAGTCCATTGTATAGATCTACCACCATGTTTTGTTTATCTGTTCATCAGCTGACGGACTTTTGATTTATTTCCACCTCTTGACTGCTGAGAATTAGGACAGTATGAACATTTGAACAAAGGTCTTGAGCAAAAATGTGGACATATGTGATTTTATTTTTCTTGAGTAAATGCCTAGGATTGGGTCGTTGGGTTGAATGGTAAATTCATGTTTAACTTTTTAAGAAATCACCAAACTGTTTTCCAAATAGCCTGTATCATTTTATATTCCCACCAGCAAAATATGAAGGTTAATGTCTCTTTATCCTTGACAGGATTGGATATCATCACACTCTTTGATTGTAGCTATTTTCCAGTGGTTGTGAAGTGGCTTTAATTTGCTTTTCTCTAATGCATTCTGATGTTGATCATCTCATGAAGTTATTAGCCATTCATTTATCTTCTTAGGTAAAATATCTATTCAGATCTTTTGCCCGTTTATTTCCCTTCATATTTTGAAATACGATAGATCACAGGAAGTTACAAAATAGTAAACAAGTCCTGTGTACCTTGCATTCTTTTTCCCTCACAGGTAACCTCTTATATAACTATAATACATTATCATAACCAGGAAATAGATGATCTACACACGTTATTTCAAATTTCATCAATTTGACATGTACTCATTTATGTGTATGTATGGTTCTATGCAGTTTTTTCACATATGTAGATGTGTGTAAATACCACCACAATCAAGATACAAAACATCTTTATCTGTCTTACGTTAACTCCTTATAGTCACATACACCGTTACCCACTGATCCTGGTAACCACTAATTCTCCATCTTGATAATTTGGCATTTGTGAAGGTTTTATAAATGGGCTCATACAGTATGTAAACTTTTGAGATTGTCTTTTTCTGTTCAGCATAATACTTTTAATACAACCATACAGGTTATTGCATGTATCAAGTTTCTTTTTTATTTTATTATTTAGCTGTGTAAAGTTTCAAGAGAGTAATGATAAAACCCAGCTCATCTTTGATTCAGTGACCAACATACCAGCAAAGGATGCAGCACCAGTGGAGGTAATGTAGGCACATTTGAGAAGTTGACAATTACGCTTCATCAGATTTTTCAGTCAAAAAAATCTGTTAATTTGCTCAGATTGGGAAATAAATTTTTTGTCTTTTTTTTTTTTTTTTTTTTAAGAAAATAGACACCATGCTGGTCTTGGAAGGCAGTGGAAACCTGGTGCTATACACAGGAGTGGTTCGGGTAAGCAATAAGTAGCACTTCATGCCTTTAGTAGGACTTCAGGCTGCCTGCATGAATATTCGTAATGTTACTTTAGATTGATATTTTAAATTTGTTATGTTCCTGTCTGCACAATTTGGCAGAAGAATTTTGTTAATAATTCTCAGTGAAGCTTCCCATTTAGGTGGGTCCTAATTTGGAGGGCTATGGCTCACTGCTATTAAATGCATTGGTACTCTAAACCTGTCACAGATGGGAAACCTTCAATGAGTATAGGTAGATTTTTTTTAAAGTTAAACTAGTTTTGAAATTGAAGCATGGGTCCCTTTGGTAAGTACTAAAGTTTTGGTAAAGTTTCACTATATTAAATGTGGTATATGTTAGCTGTATTTTTTTTTTTTGAGATGGAGTCTCGCTCTGTTGCCCAGGGTGATGTCGGCTCACTGCAAGCTCCGCCTCCCGGGTTCACACTATTTTCCTGCCTCAGCCTCCCGGGTAGCTGGGACTACAGGCGCCCGCCACCAAGCCTGGCTAATTTTTTGTATTTTTAGTAGAGATGGGGTTTCACCATGCTGGCCAGGCTGGTCTCGACCTCCTGACCTCGTGATCCACCCGCCTTGGCCTCCCAAAATGCTGGGATTACGGGCATTAGCCACCGCGCCTGGCCTATTTGAACGTTCTTATGCCTGTTACAAGTGCAGCAGCGGAATCTCCACACATCTTGCGTGCGAAAGTTTCCTGTAGTTCCTTTAGCATGGAGAGGCTGGGGAAGGTTACAGACTGATTTGTACTCTTTAGACATATAGTTGATCATTGAACAACACACGTCTGAACTGTTACACACAGATTTTTTTTCAATAAATGTGTTAGAAAATGTTTTGGAGTTTTGCAACAATTTGAAAAAACTCAAAGACAAACCATGCAGCTAGAAATATCAACAAAAATAGAAAAAGTTAAGTATGTCATGAATGCATAAAATGTATGTAGATACCTAGTCTATTTTATTATTTACTGCCATAAAATATAACAAAACTATTGCAAAAGTTAAAATTTAGTAAAGCTTATGTACACACTCACAGATCGTATATGGTGCTATTCTCAGTTGAGAGAAGTGTATACAAACATCAAGATGCAGTATTAAATTGTAACTGCATAAATTTAACCGTAGTGCATACCACAGTACGGTAATAATTTCATAGCCTCCTCCTGTTGCTGTTGCAATGAGCTTAGGTGTTGCAAGTATCCACTTAAAACGTTCTGTGATACTCAACATTCCATCATGAGCAGGTCATCCCCAGTGAATTGCGCATCACAGTAAAAAGTGCCCTCTCCCTGTTCACATGTATTTTTCGTCCTGTTTCATGCTGTACTGTAAACCTTGAATAACACCATGGGATCCACATGAAGTGGCACTAGTGATGCTGGAAGTGCTCCCAAGAAGCAGAGAAAAGTCATGACATTTGACATTACAAGAAAAACTTGATTTGCTTGATATGTAACAGAGACTGAGGTCTGTAGCTGGGGTTGCTTCCATTTCAGACAGATGATTCATCTTGTAAACAGGCGGTGTAAACTTACTGTATGGATAAATACATAACAGTACCATAGATGTATTTTCTCTTTAGAAACGTTTCCTTTTCTCTAGCTTACTTTATTGTAAGAATACAGTATATAATACATATAACATACAAAATACATGTTATTAACTGTTGCTGGTCAACAGCAGGCTATCAGTAGTTAAGTTTGGGGGAATCAGAGTTATACCTGGATTTTCTACTGTGTATGGTCAGTGTGCCAAGCCCCCAAGTTGTTCAAGGGTCAACTGTAATCCTAAAAGAATCTAATACAATATTGTACACAGTAAGTGGTCAGTAAATAAGGAATTGAACTAAATAAGAATACATAAATCTCAGAATATGTGCAACCTGATCGTAGTACACAGAGATCTCTCTATATATCTCTTTTCTCAGTTCATGCCATTCTTTCAGGTAGAAAGCACCTTATTTTGAATTAGTTGTCTTTAGAGCAAAAATCCCTCTAAGAGTGCAGTGTGGTTTCCTATGCACAATCTGGAATAGTCCATTGCTTCATGCCTACCCTGGACATGAAGGGCCGTGCCACAGCGGAAGTCTCTATGCACCCACCCCCGTCTATACCTGAGCAACTCATTCCTCTTTGCTGCTCTCTTACAGGCTACAGAGTGCGGTGGCGCCAGCACAGAACTCTGCTCAGTGTCCCTCTGTGCTTTCACGATGCTGATGGATTATGAAGGTAGGGAAGAATGTACAGCCAGGAGGCCATTAGGAGGGCAACTAATTTATAAAATCACATTTGTAGAATTTAATGCATCCAACAACTACCAGGGGAAAGGTGGGCAAAAGCTATACCAACACCACCCAACTCAAAACCAAAACAACAGGAAAAGAAAATTATGTGGATGTAGAATTTCTGATAACATCATTCCCAAGGTGCCTTATCCAAGAGGAACTGCTACAATAATATTTTAAGTGGAAATAAATACAGGCTGGAAGCATTATATATTAGTAGAGTTTGTTTTTTTTTTTTCCCGAAGTACTTTCTCAAGCACATCAACATAAGCCCCCTAAGAGACATTTCACATTAAAAATAAAACATCTGCCCACTGCTGGTTTCTCAATTTGCCTCCACCTTCTGTCCCCTTTAATGAACTGGGCCATGAGGTGAGTCAGAGAGGATAAAGGGAGTGGTAAGAATTTGAGGAGAGAAGAGAGTGAGGCTAAAATAGGAAATCAGGAAATGCGATTCGGTCCCCCTGTCCCTCACGTGGGGCCACCCTCTTGTTGCCCAGTGTGGTTTCTTCTTGAGGGTTCTGCATGGTTCCTCAATCCCAGGGAATTCCGCAGGACGTTCCACCCAAGACCACTGGGCTCCCACCTCTACTCTTTTGCCAGTTAATGAATAGGCAGGAATTTCACTGCCTGGAAAGAGGAACAATGCTTTCTGGTCCTTATTTCACATCTGACATAGAGAGGTCAATTGATTTATTCCTAAATATCTTTGAACACTAAAATAGAAGTTTTACAGCATATATACTACCTGGTTGCTCTAGACTTAAGCCAGGGAAAAGTACAGATTCAACATTTAAAATTGAGATAGACGCTTTCCACTTAGTGCTACCAGTCTTGCTTTATTTCATGAGAATGAGAATATAATAATATGCCATACGTTCATTTGGGGGAAAGATTGATGTCTTATAACATAAGTTATAATTACAGAAAACATGTGAGTTCACTGGGAATAAAGAAATTTTGAAGATAATAAGATACTTTCACTTATGTCATAATTTCTATGTCATTTGATGTAGGATGTGGAGATATTAACATTTATACCTAACTTAAGTTTGTCATCCAAGACCTGAAAGGGTTTTGTCTATCAGCTGCACCCCTGGGTAGCGACACAACCTTGGGGAAGGCCTCAACCCCATCCCTCGTACAGCAGGAATGAGAACAGCACTGCCTGTTGGGAAGCTTGAGGGAGGCTATGGACGTGCAGTGCTTGGCAGAGGGTCTTGTCATGGAAGGTTCCAGCAAATGTGAGATACTTTTATGAGTTCATTTTCTCCAAAAGAAAGGGAATAAAAGAAGAGGGGAGGAAATAAGACTAATTGTGAGAGATGAAGTACAAGGGTGAGGGAAGGAGTAAGGAGACATGAAGGCAGCGTGGAGCAGCTGAGGCGGGAGATTGCTTTCACCACTTCCCAGCATCTATTGCAGATTCCACCCTCAATCATTTTGTAAGGACCCTTTATTCAAGGTTATGTTTGAACCCTGCTGAGCCAGTGGCGTGGGTGTCTGAGAGAATCATTAACTTAATTTGACTATCTGGTTTGTGGATGCGTTTACTCTCATGTAAGTCAACAACATCCTGGGACTGGGACACACTTTCTGGGCACTGCTGGCCAGTCCCAAAATGGAACATAAGGAAGTGGTTCTTCTACTTCTTTTATTTCTGAAATCAGGTAAGACATAGTTTTTTTAAATTATAATAATTATTTTTTCTCCCACAATGCAGTACAAATACATATGCCATGGCTTTATGTGCAATTCATTTAATTTTTGATTCATGAAACTCCCAGTTGAAAATCTTGTATAAGATTGAGGAATTCTTCAAGAAATAAGTTTAGTTTTCCTGTGAAGATTGTCAGGGTGCTGGAATGAATACACAGAGAAAATAATGGGTGACTTTTCAAATCTAAATGAGTGCACCCACATAATGGCCAGTCTAATTGAAAAAGAGCCAATGTAGCTAACTATGCAAAGGACGGCTAAGCTCTTCGCCTGGTTCTCAGTTTGACTAATTTATATAATCTCTGTTAACGGTGTCATGCTCCCCTCACTTGCAAGTTAAAACAATGAAATTTCTCTTTGAATATATTCTGTTCTCTCACCAGTTCATGGTGGCGGCAGGGTCAGGGACTCAGCATTTCTCCCTTTGTTATGGCCTGAGGAAGGCTTTCCATCAGTATACGTTTGCCTCTAATCCCCAGAAAAATCACACGCATCCATTTGCCAGATGCTGTGTGCAGATAGTGATTCAACAAATACTCAGTGCTTGGGTTAGGTCACTACAGTTTTACACATACATACATACCTGTGTGTGAATGTGAGTGTGAGTGTGTGTCCTTTACAAATACTAGCTTATTTAGCTCGCGGTATAGGTAGGGTAGCATATTCATCCTCATTTTATAAACAAAGAAATCTAGACTTAGGAAAATCATGTTATTTGCTCAGTGACCAAATTCTCATATCTGGGAAATAAAGAAAACTGGATTTAAGCCAGGTTTCCCAGAAGGAATCTAGGGCTCTTCTCACTTCTCAGCTTTGTTTAAGCCTTTGAAATAATATTCTAAACATGTCCTAGTAGTTCTTTTTCTTTTTTTTTAAAAAAAAAAGCTTTATTGAGATATAATTAATGTATAGAATTCACCCATTTAGGCATACAATCCAATGGATTTCAATACGTTGAGAGTTGTGCAGCCACCATCAGAATAAACTTTAAAACTATTCATACCCCCCAAAACGCACTCCACTCTCCTTAGCTGTTACCCCTGATCTGCAGCTTCTGGCAACCACTAATCTACTTTCTGTATTTATATCTTTGCCATTTTGAACATTTCATACAAACAGAATCATACGATTTGCTAGTAGTTCTTCATGTAAATAATGTATACTTGAAATTCAATCTATAAATTACCAGATAAAATTTTACAAGTTGCACTTTAGAGTCAAATACATTTGAATTTAGTGGAAGCCATTCAAGGAGCTATCAAACAAAATACAGAGCAGGAGAAAATTAGAGAAATTTTTGTAAGAAATTGATGTACGTTGGGGGGTATGAATATTATATTTCAATGCATGGAAACTATGACATAGATCACTGTGAACTTATTCAGTGGGCTACACCCAAAGGCTAGAACAAACTTCTCTGCCACAGGATTAACATATGTTTTAACCAACCTGGGGGGAACATTCTCTCATAAGCTCTTTCGGAAAGCCAGGCTTTCTGTGGATGTATCATCTTTCCAGTGTGCTGCAATGCCCGGGGAGAGGAAAAAGTTTCTTTTACAGCCATGCTTAGTGGGAAGTGGAGAAACATCTTCCATTTCACAAATTAAGTCTTTTACGCATGCAAATATGCATACACATTCACACACCACAGTGAGGAAGAAATTCTCACACCATTAGTAAAATACATTTGCATCAGTAGCAATATACATCTGCATTTTGCCTATAATATAAATGTATTTTTCCACTAAAAGATTTGTTTGATGTTTCCTTGCCAGCAAATAAGCCCTGTCAAATCCTATTGCCATATGAGTCCTAGAGGTGAATAAGAGAAAAAAAAATGGGGGAAAATTATTTCAAATTAAAAAGAAAAAAGTTTGATTCTGTTTTGGGATATTTCCTAGGGACAGGAGCTGGGGAGGGGATCTCAGCAGCGATGCGCTATGAAGCATAATAACATGACACAGAGAACTTAATTGAAGGGGGAAATAAATGGAAGTTTTCTTTTTTTGAATATCAATTGTAGCCTGCTCTGCTATACTTCAAAAAAACTCTTCAGAAAGTTTAACTGAACTCACCGTAGGACACACTTTGTGGATTTATTGTGTGTTTTGAAGTCACGCTGTGAGCTATAGAATTAACCAAAACACAACTCCTCTTGGAAATGAGAGTTCAAGTTGGCAGAAAGTGCGGGGTAAAGACATGGATATGGGCCTAAAGCATCTATTTCTTTGTGATCTTTTGATACATCTCTCAAGTGCTTTTTAGTGGATTAGGTTTAGAATGCATCAGCCAACTCCTGCTCAATAATCCATTTTTCCAGCCTGGAATGTCTTAAATTGAGGAAGGACAAAGTCCAAGAGGTGGGGAACAGGGGGACTTTGGCCGAGGACTTTGCATGAATCGATGAGCATGCATCCTCCTCCCTGTCCTGCCCCTTGTGCTCTGTGTACCCTCAGGAGGTCAGGACGGGCCTTTCTGAGAATGAGAATCTGTTCATTTGCCTTCCTACTGGATATTTGTCATCAGCATACAAACCAATGCGCTCTGCAGTGTGTCGTCTTTCAGAACCTCCCCTGACCGCATGTTCCCTGGAGGGCTCGCTGTCTTCAGAGCCAGGCTTGTCTCCTGCTGCCGCCTCCACTGCTCTCCTAGTCACTCTATAACCCACTCCCTCTGCCTGCGGCCCCCACCACGCCCCTCAAAGTGGTCAAGGTTGTCCTGTTGTCTAATTCCATGGAGCTTGGATATCTTCATTTTATTAGCCTCTTTTGGCCTCTTACCCCTGTGAAAGTCACTAGCATTCTGTGCAAAGGATGGCGCTGGCATCTCCAGGCTTGGAATAGACCTGCCAAAGCTCAGCCAGATGTCCGGAAGAGCCTCAGGACAAGGGAACACCCTGTAGCCTTGTGGTGGGAGCACAGCTGAGGCCCCCTTGGCCACCCTCTGCCACGACCAGGCAGAAAGCAGCTTTCGGACAGATTCGTTGTCTCAGATTTGATCTCAAAGAAAAACCAAAACCAGTATTTGTCCCAGGTTCTGCTTTTTTACAATTTCCTCCGAAATCCAGATACCTATCAACACCTTGGAAAAACTGATTTCTCCCCAGTTAGTAGTGTTGTGTGACTGTCATCAGCCCAGTACAAAAATGGCCTTCTTTGTTGGGGAGCTTCTTACCCTCCAGTGTTTTGCCCAATTTTTGTCCAAGGTGGCAGCATAATTTAGTTCAGTTCTTGTTTATTTCCACCATCATCTATGCACCAAAATTTATGTGTCTCAAGGAGGGACCATTCAGAGGATGCTTCCCACCAGTTCAAGTGACAGTGTCAGAACCAAAGCGCATATTGTAGGAAATCAAACAATGGCCTCCAAGTTCCATTTCTACCCAGGGATGAACAAATCAACATCAATCTTGGTAACACAACTGCCACTGATGGTGCCTTACTCTTCTCTCATGACATGGAACAATTGATAGCAAACATAAAATTTGTTCTTGTTTAAGGATTTATATCCACTAATATGGTAACATAGTAGTGGTTCCATAGTTCTAACCTGTTTATCAATCCAGTTAATCTTTTACTATCTTGCAATCTGTTAATGAAACTGTTTTTCTTTGTTTTATAATTTCAACTTTTAGAGTCAGGGGTACATGTGCAGGTTTGTTACATCACTAAATTGCGTGACACTGAGCTTTGGGGTACAAATGATTCCCATCACCCAGGTAGTGAGCTAAATACCTACTAAATAGGTAGTTTTTCAGCCCTTGCCTCGCTCCCTCTCTCCCTTCTCTGGTAGTCCCCAGTGTCTTTAGTTGCCATCTTTATTTATGTCCACATGCCCAACTGTGTGTTCTTAACTAAACATTTTGATTCATAGCTACCCATTCTACTTCCAGTAAACAGCAAGTTTTATTTGGTTAATGGAAACCAAATAGATTAAAAGGAAGTCATGACAATTAGACATCGGCATTGATTTACTGACCATTTATTCCACTTGGATCTCCCACCTCTAGGTCAAGGAGAGCCTCTGGATGACTATGTAAATGCCCAGGGGGCTTCACTGTTCAGTGTCACTAAGAAGCAGCTGGGGGCAGGAAGCAGAGAAGAATGTGCAGCAAAATGTGAGGAGGACAAAGAATTCACCTGCAGGTATTTTCATCGTCGTTGCACCTACCCAGAAATCTGTAATTCAGATGGCAAGTAATTTACTCACAAATTTATTAACGATTTAAGAGGAAAGAGAAATGTATGGAGCCAGAGTTTGGAACTATATTTGCTCATAGTATGTGAAGCCATACTAACAGCTTCTTGTTAAGGTTTATTGGAGTCTTCGTTAGAAAAATACCCTAAAAGGAAGTTATTTGTTTTTACACCGGACATAAACATTAGCAGTTATTATTCTGAGCTCCAGTTTTTAACATCATCATCAGTAAATGTTTGTTGAGGATCATATGAATGAAAGTGTCCTAGATAGATCTGAGCAATGACTTATAGCTACAAGATCCAGTGCCTGCCCTTCAGTATTTAAGGTGACTGGATATAATGTTAAAAAAAAAAAGACAGCCTAAGTGAGGTACAGGCATAATCAATGCATGCTCTACCCAGATCCAGAAGAAAGAACAGTGCCTAAGGTTGAGGCAGCTAGAGAAGGCTCAGGGAGGAGGTGGGAACCGAGCTGGGTTTGGAGTTGAGAGAGCTCTTGAAAAGCACCAGGAAGGCAGGGGAAGATGCGGCCCTGCACTTTCTGAGGGGGACCATTAAGAGATCGAGTTGACTAAAGCAGAGACTTTGTGTAGGTGATGAGCCTGGGAAAGTAGCTATGGATGCCAGACTGAGCACCCATAGCAGGACCACGGGATGGAGATGGGAGGGGTCAGGGGCCAGGGCAGGGTGGAATGTGGAGCAGAGGTTCAGGGGAACTGATCAGAGTTGGGAGGTCATGGAGATGGACTATCTTGGGGAATGGGTTCAAAGCAACCAGAGTTGCTTCTTTCTGACCCAAAAACAAAAATTAAGAAGATGAGTGAAGAAGAAGTAAAGCAGTTGAAACAGAAAGAAAGAGAAAATTATGAGGGAGGGAAGGTAAGGGCAGATAAGATTTACTGCCACGTTGGTGTATTTTGTTCAGTACTTCATCAATGCCATGCCCAAATAACTGAAAGAGGCAGCAATTCTGAGCTCTCTGGTCCCCCAAGATATTCAATGATCTTTAGCATTTCTCACTTATTAATAAACATTTGTTTTCTTTAAATAAAGAAAAATACTTATTGGATTTCCTGCTTCGTTCTGCAGGGCATTCCAATATCACAGTAAAGAGCAACAATGTGTGATAATGGCTGAAAACAAGAAGTCCTCCATAATCATTAGGATGAGAGATGTAGTTTTATTTGAAAAGTAAAGTGAGTACATTTTCTTCCTCCTCCTCCTACTGTCCTCCCCATCCTCCCACTCTTCCTCTTTCTCTATTCTATCTTTAATTTATGAGACCAGAGGAGGAAGGCGCTATGGTGTTGTAAAATTGAATTCTGAGTTAGGACAGGATTTGATTACTAACTAACCATGTCAGCTTGAGTATATTACTTCACCTCCTAGATTTAATTTTTTTGTTGTTCAAAAAATGAAAGGATTAGATTTACAAAATCACTTCTACCTCTATGACCCTGAAAATAAGATTTTTAAAATATTATTTTATATTTAACAAGGAGATGGGAAGTCTAAGCATTCCTTTTGGTCTTGGCTTCTTATTCTGCAGGGTGACCATGGTCCTTGGGCCCTAACGTCTGGATGAAGCCTTGTAAAACAGAAATACTGAGGTGTTTTAATCCTCAGAAACATTTAGATTGGGACACAAATCTTATTTTTTACTCTTAAATTTTTCACATTTTGGGGGACATGGTCTATATTTTTCTCAGATTTCTGAAATGTTGTCTTTTAAAAATGTGTAAAAGTTACAGTCCCTTTTCTATAGTTTATTTTAAAATGTGGGTCAATAGTCCCACTGCTTAGAATAAGGGGCACACAGGATTTCAATAGAAATTGCATGCCTTTTTAGATGTGCAAATGTTTCATTAAGCGTATGAATATTTGAAGAGATGTATGACACTTTGAAAACTGTTTCCTCTACTGTGTTGGTGGCCAGGTATTAAGACCGTTAATAATAACAATTTAGCTCTCCAAATATTCTGCATCACAGGTGTTAAAGAGGACTGGAAACACCTTAGTTCTTGTATTCTTGAGGATGATTTGCCATATTGTGTCTAGTATCACGGCAAAACTCTAAGTAGCATTTTAAATAGTATTTATTTGGGTTGGAATTATTTATATGCATTGACTCATCTTCCTGGGTTTCATTAGCTGTACGCATTGTACTTTCTTCCTTACCACTATTTATCTCGAATTCTTGAGATTAAAGTACAGATTAAATCTAAACTTTATCTGGTGCAGTTATTAGTTCTTACAAGTAGCAAGCAAATGGTAAACTGAATAGGATCACCTAATTGTACCAGATTTAAAAAAAAAAAAACAAAAACAAAAATCCCTGATTCCCCTGATTCTCTCTACAAAATGCTAACATTTAAATATGTCATTTGTAAATTGTTAACCAGAAGGAACATGGGAATGACTGTAGGTTGAGTTTGAAGTCTGAAGTTTGAAGGCTTAGTTTGCTTGTTTTCAAAGTGACAGAAGGGAGCAAAAGTTTATATAAACTCTGGTGGGTACATACAAACGAAAAAGAAGTGAAAAGTCAAAAGTCAGTCATTTTTTGGTCCTTGTTTCTTTGCTGTGGGATATTGACCTGCTGCTAACTTACCTGCCAGGGTTTTGCCAGGAACAGTCAGTGTTAGATCACATTTACTTCTGCCACTTGCCACCAGCCACACTGCCTTCACCGAGTCCAAGAACCTATCACCACTGGTTAGGGCTACTTGTAGCTGTACACCTGATCTCGAAGAAATGTAACTTCGCTGTTTAAAGCCCTTCCTAGTGCCCTTAAAATAAGACCCAAAGACTTCCCAAATGTGCCAGGGCCCGGCATTATTTACATAACCCCCGGCTGCTGTTTGCTTGGCTTGCTAAACTTTTCTACAAAGTTTCTGGCCTTACTTCTGTTCCTTCACCACCCCAAGCACACGCCCTCCTGCCTGGGACCCTCTTCACCTTTGTCCTGCTGTGCCAGCTCCTTCTTATCACCTAGGTGTCAGCTCAATCATCACCTCCTTTGCAAATCTTCCTTGACCCCTAGACCTCCCTTTCACAAAGTACCTTGAGTTTACACTTTGATGAGTGTCTTATGTCTACTGTAATACTATGTCCCAATGAAGATATACTGGAAATCATAATACGTAGTATTGGGTTAAAAGCATTAGTTTGCTGCAGGTATGTTAGGAGTACTTTCCCCATGTGATTGATCAGTGAATTTAAAAATGGCTAAAGTGGGTAACCTTAAATGATGGTGCAAATATACCTTAAACATTTTATATTTTCATTGAAAACACAAGTGTACTTGACACCTTTTGATGTAGAGCAGAGGCTTTTTTTCTTCGAATATGGGGTCACCAGTAGAAGGTCTCTGGTGCATTTCCTGCATAAACTATGCTCTAGTGCAACATCTACAATAATTACTTTCCTTATTTTTGAAGTGGACCATATCTCGACATTTATTAATCAATCTGCATGTGTAAAACCTTTAGATTTTTATGAATTCCTCCTCAAGCTTTACAGTCAACTATATGAGTGGATTGCCCTCTGTGGATCTGATAGCAATTTTTTAAATGATTCACGTTTCAACTTGTTAAAAACATTTAATTTAGTTAAAAACCAAACAAAAAAGAGCTTTGTTCCTTTTCACATTCATTTCTCAGTTTAGATCATCTTTAATTAAATATAAATGTAAGAAAGTTGGAAAATGCAAAGAAATGACTCGTTGTAAGCACATAACTCACGTGGGGGGAACAGACATGGGTGGGCACACTAGCAAACACCTGCCAGCTGCATGTGGACCCAGGTGGGCACCAGACTGTTTTAAACACAGGAGAGGGCCCATTGTCTAACTGGTGAGTTGGTTGAGTGGAAGCTGGTTGAGAACTTTTACTGCAAACCATTTACAGTAGACCACAATTTTATAGCCCTGTTTGGCACTTTTTCATATCACTGGGAGCCTGAAGAAATAGAAGTGGGTTGGATCTCTTTCAGCCTCGGAAAAGCCTGCCATTCCCCCATCTAAAAACCCTTTCCCCATTCTCTTACTCTGTCTCATCATGTATGTAACATGTATCATCATTAAGTGATCTCATTTTATATTGTTTCCTTGAATATTTCCTGTAACCCCCCTGCCTGATTCCACTAGAATGTGAGCTCTATGACGGCCAAGCCTCTGGCTGCACTGTGCCCCGTGTGTCCCCAGCATCCTGGTGGGGCTCAATACACAGAGAGCTCATAAGTAGCATTTGAATACATGAATCAAAGTATGGAATGGCCCAGTTTACTGCAGCCTTTTTGCAGATGCAAAAGATGATCTTTTAGAAAGCAGAAACAGGGGGTCTGGTGCATGAGATCTTTTTCTCAACGTGACTATGCTGTGCAGACCTTCACGTGGTGTCTTGTGAAAGACTTTGACCGCTGTGTGGACTTTCCTTCAGTGTATCTTTCAGAGTGCAAGACTGGGAATGGAAAGAACTACAGAGGGACGATGTCCAAAACAAAAAATGGCATCACCTGTCAAAAATGGAGTTCCACTTCTCCCCGCAGACCTAGGTAAGACTTTCCCTTTCATCTTTGTGTTCATCTACTGTAAAGTTGTCCCTCTGTGTCTGTGAGGGATTGGTTCCAGGACCCCTGTGGCTACCAAAATCCATGCTTCTCAAGTCCCTTATGTAAAATGGTGCAGTATTTGCATATAACCTACATACCTTCTCTTGTGCAATCCCTAATATAATGTAAATGCTATGTAATCGTTGTTATGCTGTATTGTTTTTATTTGTATTATGTTTTATTGTCATATTGTTATTTTCTCTCATCTTTTTCAAGTCTTTTCCATCCACAGTTGGTTGAATTTGTGGATGTGGAACCCATGGATACAGAGGGCCAACTGTATTTAGGATAATTTCATCACTTTTAATTCAAACCAGAATATGTGAATAAGCAGACAGAAAGAATCTTTTTGATGTCGATGTTCAACTATTTTTGGCACCATAGTAGAACATCGTTGCTTTCTATTTTTTCTTGGGTATGGAGGTTTCTTGAAGACCTAGAACATAGAAGAATGCCTAGTTAAAAAAAAAAATCAATGAAACTACGAGTTTTAGGCCAAATCTGAGAAAAGACCAAAGATGACTATGTTTGGGACTGAAGTAAACATATCAAGTTAGAACTCTCATCACATGTTTGACTCAAATTGTGGAGCAAAATAGTAAATAAAATATAAAAATGACAATGAAGATACGTGAAATTCAAATGTCGCAACTTGCCTATTATTTATTTTAGTGCATTTTTTTGTGCTTTTCCCAGTTTGGTGTTAGGTGGCATTAAGTTCTCAGTAATGACACTTATCAAATAGGAACTTAGTGCCTGTTACTCACCTTTATCCATTCCCCCAACACTCAACAAATTGCCTTTGCTATATCCCTATGAGATGAGCAGATCAAATATTCCCCGTGAGTTAATGAAAACTGATTCAACCAAATGGCGAAGTCAGAGACTATCGGGGGCCATGGAGACACTCTGGGCCATTTTTATGAGGTAGTCTAGGCTCATCTTCATGAGGGAACTGAGGTCTTGGGGGGTGGGGGTTACCCCAAATAGGTTCACAGAAGAACCAGAAATAAAACCTGCCTTTCTAGACTGTAAGTCTTGTGATTGTCATCTAAATGGTTGTCTCTATACAGCAACTCATCTCTAGAACTGAAAATAAGTTTAAATCCCTCCTCCATCCCCAATAATTCAAGCTGCATTTCAGAGAAAACCAGGACTTTGGAATCAGACAGATCAACTTTGAATTCTTGATCTGCTTCTTCATAGCTATTTACGCTTAGGCAAGTTTTGTTTTGTTTTGTTTTACGTTGCCATTCAGTCTTCTCATCTGTAAAATAGGGATAATAACACCTTCCTCAAATGGTTTTTTTTATTAGGACTAAAAGAGAGAATGTGTGGAAAGATGTTAGTGGAATTCCTGGCACATAGTTCACATGGACAAAATGGTGTTAACTATGAAAATTTTTACAGAGAAAAGGGCAACTGACAAAAGCAGGTGTTTGGAATGAATTAAGACCATGGCAGGCTTTTGAGGCCTTTCTATTTCTCCTGACTGTGCAATAAAAATATTTTGGCTCTCTGTCTAAGACTTGGCTGTCACAGTAGCAATGGTAATATTAGCTACTGTGCCAGAAGCAGCCTATCAATAGAGAAATTGAAAATCTGACCACACAAATGCTGCAGCACCCAGCTGAAATGCATTTGGATGACGATCTCAGATGGGAATCGAGAGCATCTCCTTCTGCCTTGCTAATAGCAAGCTGATTTTTAGAATATAGTCTAAGTGCTTCTCTTCCATCCTCCCCAGATTCTCACCTGCTACACACCCCTCAGAGGGACTGGAGGAATCCAGACAACGATGCGCAGGGGCCCTGGTGTTATACTACTGATCCAGAACAGAGATATGACTACTGCGACATTCCTGAGTGTGAAGGGCAGGAGTGGCTCTAGAAAATGTTTTCATTTCTGCTCTTCACCTGTAAAATAATTTGTTGTAAAGCCCCTTCCCACAGGGATATTATTAATAATTGCGTAACGTGTTCACCTCTCGGAAAGGAGCAAAACTTTGCTCAGATCCCAGAATTAACCTGATTTTTTTTTTTTTTTCTGAGACAGAATTTTGCTCTCATTGCCCAGGCTAGAGTGCAATGGTGCGATCTCGGCTCACCACAACCTCCGCCTCCGGGTTCAAGCGATTCTCCTACCTCAGCCTCCCAAGTAGCTGGAATTACATGCATGTGCCACCATGCCTGGCTAATTTTACATTTTTAGTAGAGACAGGGTTTCTCCATGTTGGTCAGGCTGGTCTTGAACTCTCGACCTCAGGTGAGCCGCCCGCCTCAGCCTCCCAAAGTGCTGGGATTACAGGCGTGAGCCACCATGCCCAGCAGACCTGAATTATTATTATTATTAAAATGTTACATCAACATGTACAAATATAAAACTACATCTAAACTCTAAGTACAAACTTCTTATGCTTAAAACTCTTACACAGTGTTAACCCCAAGACAGATTTGCAATTAAGTAGTTAAAATAAAACAACAAAGTCAATAAAAATCAAATAAACAATATACATTTAATGTGGTAGACTTTGCTGTTTTGCTGAAGCTAAGCAAGGAACCAGTTTTTAAATCAGCAATCCGTTATTTTAATGGACTGAGCAATTTAATAGTGCACCTCAAAGGTCAATGCTAAAAACTAAAAAAAAAATTCCTACTGAAAAAACTGTCATCATTTCACATTTCTGGCTACGTTAGTGCAAAAGGGAATAAATAAAGGTGAGATTTCTGTGACAGTGTGGATATGGTACTGTGTGACAACTCAGTTCTCCCATCACTTCCACCTGTTTGAATCATCGGGCTCCTTTATTTGTACACCATGTTATCGGTATTTGCCCTTAAGCACCACCAATGCATCACTTTTATATTAAGTCTGCCCATTTTCCTTAGTACTCCGTAAAATTTAAGTCACATATTACTCTGCCTCACCATGTTACTTCAATAATTCTGAATCAAAGTTTAAGTTTGTGAATAATTTTGCAAAAAAAGAGCCAATCATGCTTCTCAACAACATAAAAAGAGAAGCACCGTCACTTCAGGTGAATATTGTTCTCCGTGAGGCCATGAGCATAAACAAAAACTCCAGACTAAAACCCTGAGACGGTGCCAGGTCATTCAGCAGTCAGCAGAATGATCAGTATAATTTCAAACAAAGTTTTAAAGATCATTATTGAAATGATGTATTTTGAGCTTCCTGGATCTGTTCCTTTATGTCTACCTTAGTTCATTTGGGCTGCTGTGACAAAAATATCATAAACTGGAGAGTTTATAAACAACAGAAATTTATTTCTCACCGTTCTAGGGGCTGTGATGTCCAAGACCAAGGCACTAGCAGTGTCTGGTGAGGCCCTACTTCCTCATAGATGACACATTCTGGCTTTGTCCTCACATGGTGTCAGGGGCTAGCTAATTCCCTGGGGCTTCTTTCATAAGTGCACTAATCTCTGTCCTGAGGGTAGAGCCCTCGTAACCTGATTGACTCCCAAAAGCCCCACCTCAGTACTATCACATTGAGGATTAAGTTTCAATATAACTTTTGAGGAGACACAAACATTCAGACCATAGCTTTATCTATCATGAATTTGGGGAAATTTTCAGTCACTGTTGCTTCAAATGTTTCTTCTGTTTCTTTCTCTTTTTTTTTTTTTTTTTTTTTGAGACAGAGTCTTGCTCTGTTGCCCAGGCTGGAGTGCAGTGGCACGATCTCAGCTCACTGCAAGCTCCTCCTCCCAGGTTCATGCCATTCTCCTGCCTCAGTCTCCCAAGTAGCTGGGACTACAGGCGCCTGCCACCATGCCCTGCTAATTTTTTGTATTTTTAGTAGAGACAGGGTTTCACCGTGTTAGCCAGGATGGTCTCGATCTCCTGACCTTGCGATCTGCCCGCCTCGGCCTCCCAAATTGCTGGGATTATAGGTGTAAGCCACCACGCCTGGCTTTCTTTCTCTTTTTCTTCTCTTTCTGGTATTTCCAAAAAGTCTCCATGTTCCACCTTTTGTAATTGTCTCACAGTTCTTGACTCTTGTTCTGTTTTTTCTTTTTCATTCTTTTTTCTCATTGTGTGTCAGCTTTTGAAGTATCTATTGACATCTCTTTGAGCTCACTGATTCTTTCATTGGCCATATCCATTCTTTTGATGAACCCATCAAAGGCATTCTTCATTTCTGTTATGGTGTTTTTTATTTCTAGTATTTCATTTTTATTTCTTCTTAGTGTTTTTATCTCTTTGCTTACATTACCCATCTGTTCTTGCATGTTATGCCATTTTTACATTAGAGCCCCTAGCATGTTAATCTTAGTTATTTTAAATTCCTGGTTGGATACTTCCAATATTTCTTTCATATCTGAGTCTGGTTCTGATGCTTGCTTTGTCTCTTCAAAGTGTGGGGTTTCTTGTCTTTTAGTATGCTTTGTAATTTTTTGTTTGAGGCTGTATATGATGTACTGGGTGAAAGGAACTGAGTTAAATAAGGCTTCAGTATGAGATTTTGTGTTTCTCTGGCTAGGAGTTAGGCTTTGTTTACTCTTTGCTATATAGTCATGGATGTCAGAGGCTAAAATTTCCTCTAGTGTCCTTGTGTTGTCTCCCCTGTCTTCTCTGGGGAGCTCCCTAGAGGCTTCTTTGTAAAGTAGCTCTGAGTCTTGCAGTGTCTATCCCTAATCATGGGAAAACATCAAACAAACCCATACAGCGGGACATCTGACAAAGTACCAAGTGTCAAGGATCATGGATTGAATCCTGAAACAGAGGAAGGACACTGAAGGAAAGACTGGGAAAACCTGACTGAGGTCTGGAGTTTAGTTAGTGATACTATACCAAGACGAATTTCTTAGTTTTGATAATTTGTTAACAGTTATGTTAACATTGGGGGTAGCTGTGCAAGGGGTGTGAGAATGCTGTTATATCTTTAACCTTGGCCCATGGTTAAGGTGTTTCCAGTGTAAGGTCACTGTTATTCCTTGTAGTTAACATATATTTGGCACCACAGGATTCATTCTGGAATTCTCTTTGGCTTATTTATAACTTTTTTTCTTTTTCTAGTAGTGAGAAACCTGGCTTTCATGCAGAGTTTACAAACGCCAATTTAAACTTTTGTTTTGTCATATGCAATGATTTTATTACCTGTCTTTATTTCAGAGCTTATGAATTTTTAATTATTCTAAGGGCTAACATAGAACTTTTTCATGTTTTCTACTCTTCAAGAGTAGGTAAGACTTTAGTTTGTAATACATTACAAAAGGAATCCTGTGGTTCTCTAAGAGCTAATTTGTCTTGGCAAAAGGCCTTAGTGAGCTGTGAGTGGTGGCTCATGCCTGTAATCCCAGCACTTTGATCTGAGACGGCTGGATCACCTGAGGCCAGAAGTTTGAGACCAGTTTTGCCAGCATGGCGAAACCCCATCTCTGCTAAAAATACAAAAAATTAGCCAGGCATAATGCCATGCACCTGTAGTCCCAGCTACTTGGGAGGCTGAGGCAGGAGAATCGCTTGAACCTCGGAAGTGGAGGTTGCAGTGAGCCGAGATCGTGCCACTGCACTCCAGCCTGGGAAATAGTGAGACTGTCTCAAAACAAACAAAAAAACCAAAAAACAAAAAAATTAGACGGGCGTGGTGGCATGCACCTACAGTCCCAGCTACTCAGGATGCTGAGGCAGGAGAATCGCTTGAACCCAGGAGTTGGAGGTTGCACTGAGCAGAGATCATGCCGCTGCACTCTAGCCTGGGTGACACAGTGAGTATCCATCTCAAAACAACAACAACAACAACAAAAACAAATTAAAAAACCCAACAACAACAAAACCAGCAAACAAGAAAACTAAACAGGCTTTAAGGAAAGAGCAATCTAATTATCTGATTATATGACTGGCACTAAGATGGGAATGACTCTGGCCTAATTTCTTCAATTTACATTTTAAAATAGGAGCTTAGTTAGCCCCCAAATAATATGTAATTGATGTATTAGCGTTGGGGAGTGAATATTTTTCAAAGCAGAAGATATTTCTCAATTCTTGCTTACTTTTAGAGGTTGAAGTTCAAGGAAGCCCCTTCCTTGGCACTGTATCCCAGGGAGGTATTTGGAGTTAATTTCAGGGCTTAGCAGTGACTCTTTAGAAAAGCAGTATACGATTGAAATGTAATGTGGTACAAATGAGATCACTACAAGTAATTTAAAAATGTGCTAGTAGTGTTTTTTTTTCTGAGACGGAGTCTTGCTCTGAAGCCCAGACTGGAGTGCAGTGGCACGATCTCAGCTCACTGCAAGCTCCGCCTCCCGGGTTCACGCCATTCTCCTGCCTCAGCCTCCCTAGTAGCTGGGACTACAGGCGCCTGCCAACACGCCTGGCTAATTTTTTGTGTTTTTAGTAGAGACGGGGTTTCACCGTGTTAGCCAGGAAGGTCTCGGTCTCCTGACCTCGTGATCCTCCCACCTCAGCCTCCCAAAGTGCTGGGATTACAGGAGTGAGCCACCACACCCAGCCTCTAGTAGTACTTTTATCAAAAGTAAATGGAAACATGAAATTAATTTTCACAATACATTTTATTTAAACTAATATGTTCACAATGTTAAAATTTCAACATGTAATCACTATAAAAACTACTAGTGAGATATTTCACATTACTTTTTTCATGTAAGCCTTTGAAATCTGGTGGGTATTTTATATTTACTGTACATCCTGATTTGGAATAACCACATTTCAATATTTCAATAGCCACATGTGGCTAGTGGCTACTGTGTTAGAGCAGTTCTAGAACAAAGGAGTCCCTTTAAAACTATTTTGAAGTCATCGTCTATAAGGCAATATGAAAGCTGATCTGAATGATTTCTCCTTTTCCAGGAAAGGAAACAAAAATGAAATCACGTTAGGGCTGCATATTTTATGGATCCCAGGAAAAATACACATAGTCTGAAAGAATGATCTCAGTCAGAAACTCAGAATGAATCATATGAATTAAACATTGGACAATGTCCAATGCTCAGCATGTGTTTTTGGTTTATACTAAGAGCATATTATGCCACCAAATACAGATATTTACTATTATACTTCGTGTAGGAGGTATATTGAGACATTGTTCTAGACTACCACAGTTCCATATTTTGTGAAAAGTTATATTGCACTTTTTTTTTTTTTTGAGAGTGTGCCCAGGCTGGAGTGCAATGGCATGATCTCAGCTCACTCCAGCCTCCACACCCCAGGTTCAAGGGATTCTCCTGCCTCAGCCTCCCTAGTAGCTGGGATTACAGGTGGGCACCACCATGTCTGGCTAATTGTTGTATTTTTAGTAGAGATGGGGTTTCGTCATGTTGGCCAGGCTGGTCTCGAACTCCTGATCTCAGGTGCTCCACCCGCCTCAGCCTCCCAAAGTGTTAGGATTACAGGCGTGATCCACCACGCCCAGCCTTATATTTCACTCTTTGGGAATTGCATCTTACTGTAATCTTAAACTACACTAAAATAAATAATGTAAACCTTTTGTCAAATTGCTCAGAGTAGGTTTCTACTTTGGTTATAAGGAATAAAATTCATGCTTTTGTCTACACACTAGACATCTAAAGCAACCAACCATAGTTAACAAGCAGTGCTCTTACCAAAAGGTAACTCTTTCTAGAATCTGGCACACCATTTAATATCAGTATGAGCATATGGTGGGTTTAATAATTGTTTTCCATGTTTATAAGTTTTCTTTAGTTTTATAAGCAGTTAAAATGAATCCCTTTCACTGAAATACAATCTGTGGTGGGACTTCTAGCTTTTCTCGATCTTACGCTGCTAGATTTATGTCACTGCCATAGCTATGCAATGGGTGATATTTACACTATGCTCAAACAAAGCAACCAGAAAAACACATCACTGAATAATACAGATATTCTGAAGTCAAGCAAGCCAACTTTCATTAACAGATCAATTTCCTTAGAAAAGTTGATGAAACTAAAGACTGAAGTTCAAACAAAAAGCCCTCTCAAGGGGTTATGAATTTCTGGTAACTTATGGGGTAAGAAAAAGAGCAAGAAACTTGAAAGTAGGGAAGAGAAAAAAGAAAAGGAGCAAGAGGGAGTAGCCAGCTCTCAAAAGAGTCTCCAATAGGAAAGCAAAATCTGTATCTAGCCAATACCAACAAGTGAAGAAAGAGTGAGCATAGCAAAATTGAGAAAGGTTGCTTGAAAACCAAACAAAAAACCAAATACCTGTAATCCTAGCACTTTGGGAGGGTGAGGTGGGTGGATTGCCTGCACTCAGGAGTTCAAGACCAGCTGGGCAACATGGTGAAAACTTGTCTCTACTAAAATCCAAAAAAAAAAAAAAAAAATTAGCCAGGCATGGGCTGGGCGCAGTGGCTCACGCCTGTAATCTCAGCACTTTGGGAGGCCAAGGTGGGCAGATCACGAGGTCAGGAGATCGAGACCATCCTGGCTAACACAGTGAAACTCCATCTCTACTAAACATACAAAAAATTAGCCGGGCGTGGTGACGCGTGCCTGTAGTCCCAGCTACTCGGGAGGCTGAGGCAGGGGAATCACTTGAACCCAGGAGGTGGAGGTTGCAGTGAGCTGAGACCATGCCACTGTACTCCAGCCTGGCAACAGAGCGACACTCGTCTCAAAAAAAAAAAAAAAAAAAAAAAGTCTCTTTTGGCCAGGTGTGGTGGCTCACACCTGAAATCTCAGCACTTTGGGAAGCCGAGGTGGGTGGATCACTTGAGTCCAGGAGTTCAAGATCAGCCTAGGTAACATGGCAAAACCTCGTCTCTACCAAAAACGAACAAACAAAAATCAGCCGGATGTGGTGGTACACACCTGTAGTCCCAGCTACTTGGGAGGCTGAGGCAGGAGAATCACCTGAGACCGGGAGGCAGAGATTGCAGAGAACTGAGACTATGCCAAGGCACTCCAGCCTGGGCGACAGAGCAAGACTCTCTCTCTCTCAAAAAAGAAAAAACAAAAAGCCTCCTTTAAAAAATGCAGTTTGATGCTATAAATTTATCAGTTAATGGTTTTTGGGGCAAAAAATGTTTTCTGACATTTCGATAAGAGCTATAGACGAAGTCCAGCATTAGTCATGACTCTGGACTAAGTCTGGAAATCTGGAATCTCTTCCCAGCTCTGGGAGGTACAAAGTTTTAAAAAATAAGGTCAAAATGCTGGAAAACATTCAATTTATTTCCTTATTAACACAATTGTTCACTCATAAACGACAGTAACACTTGGTGCTATGGGTCATGCACTGAGGTCAGAACAAGGAACAGAAGAAAATGAGGTAAATTGGTAAATCTTTTTGCAGGCTGAGAAGTGAGAGAATGCTGGCATGCCTACTCTGTGCTGGGTTTTTTGTTTTTGTTTTTGTTTTTTTTTTGAGATGGGGTCTTGCTCTATCGCCCAGGCTGGAGTGCAGTGGCGCAATCTCGGCTCACTGCAAGCTCCACCTCCTGGGTTCACGCCATTCTTCTGCTCTTCTGCCTCAGCCTCCCAAGTAGCTGGGACTACAGGCATCCGCCACCATGCCTGGCTGATTTTTTGTATTTTTAGTAGAGACGGGGCTTCACCGTGTTAGCCAGGATGCTCCCGATCTCCTGACCTTGTGATACGCCCACCTTGGCCTCCCAAAGTGCTGGGATTACAGGCGTGAGCCACTGCATCCAGCCCTCTGTGCTGGGTTTTATGTCGTCCAATAACTCACAACTATGTAATTTATTTCCTTTTTACAGATAAAGAAATGGGGGCTCAGAGCAGTCAAGAACATGCCCCAAGTTATTCGTCAGTGAGGCGGAAATTGTGGTGTCCTTGTGTAAGTTCACAGTTTATACTTTACCATTATACTGTGCTCCAAATTATCTGATATTTACTTTCAAAGCATGTGTAGAAAGTTTACTATGATGATGCAGAGACATTGTACAGAATCCAGTCCCTTGACTCTCAGGTCCCCAGAACACTCACTTCACGATTTTGTTGACCTCTTCTGTCAACTTAAACCTGGCACTCTCTTGGCTGGCTTTCTCTGCTCTTTCTGGGCACTCCAAAGCTTCTGTACTTACATGCTACAATTCCAGTCACAGGAAGATGCTGAGTTCTTTAGTCCCAGATCCATATTCCTGAGAAAACCTAATTGCCTAGGCTCAGGTCATAACTCTGTATCTGTTTCAGTTGATTATGGCTGGGCCTACTGCCCCTCTGTATGGTGGTGGGGCAAAAGTTCCCAGAGAGAGGCAGGGGTGACAGGTTGTCTCAAATGCTAGGCAGACATCTGGAGTGGTAACCACTACATCTGTTCACAGTGAGCACATCCTTGCAGGGAAACTGGGTTAATCATCTCTATTATTGAAACTCAGACGTATAGTGTTTCTTCATAGGAGTTTTCTTTCCTTATTTGAGATGGGGGTCTCACTTTGTTGCCCAGGCTGGAGTGCAGTGGTGTGTGATCTTGGCTCACTGCAGCCTCCCCTCCCGAGTTCAAGCGATTCTCCTACCTCAGCCTGCTGAGTAACTGGGACTACAGGCATGGGCCAACATGCCTGGCTAATTTTTGTATTTTTCGTAGAGACAAGTTTTCACCATATTGGCCAGGCTGGTCTTGGACTCCTGACCTCAGGTGATCTGCCCACCCTGGCCTCCCTAAGTGCCAGGATGACAGGTGTGAGCCATCACGCCCAGCCTATTTATAGGAATTTTCTGTAGGTATATAAGTAATAATTTGAAGTTCACAACTAGATGCCTTTTCGTGTAACCGTATCTTGAATGGAACAAACATTTTCTTTCTACGTAATTATACATAAATAACCCAATGCTTTTTAATACCCACGAAAAACCATTAGCTCAAAGACACTTGCAAACTTGTATCAGGTTGTTTTCCTTGGTCTGTATTAAGTTTGAAGCAAAGGGGATTTTCACATACCAAGACGAAGCAGAAGTCTTCCACCAAGTTGAAATCATCACGTTGAAATTTAATCATATGATACAACCAATTTTTTGATGTGTTATGCCATTCGCCAAATACCAACAATTTTTTAGGGGAAACTTTACATCCTCAATACTATACACTTCCAGCTACACCACCACCTAACAGGGACTTTAAAAAGAATACAAAGTACGGTATGCCTTCTCAGTGCCTTGTTAGTAATTCAGTTACAGTTCTGCCAAACTTTCTTTAAAGGAATACAATTCTCAATCTTACACTGTTCAGAGCACAAGCATAGCTTATTGTATACAAGAGATGTGCATCAGTTCCCACTCCTCAGGGACTGTATGAATTTGGCTTTATTTTTATTTATTTTTTTGACGGAGTCTCACTCTGTCACCAGGCTGGAGTGCAGTAGTGTGATCTCGGCTCACTGGACTCTGCCACCCGGGTTCAAGTGATTCTCCTGCCTCAGCCTCCCAAGTAGCTGGGACTACAGGTGCACACCACCATGCCCAGCTGATTTTTTGTGTGTTTTTAGTAGAGACGGGGTTTCACCACGTTGGCCAGGATGGTCTCGATCTCTTGACCTCATGATCTACCCGCTTTGGCCTCCCAAGGTGCTGGGATTACAGGCATGAGCCACTGTGCTGGGCCAAATTTGGTTCTTAGAAACCAAGGAGTGATGTGTGCACCAGGCCCAGGGCTGAAGAGCTGCTTCTCACTAGATGCCTCTCTTGGTCTGGCTGCTGTGTCCAGTCCTATCCAGGGTTAGCTCTGTTCCTCCTTCTTGTGGCATCTGTGTTTCTCTTTCTGCTCTGCCTCTCCCCATCTCCTAGTCCAAACATCCAAAGAAATTAATTACCTCCAGGAGATCGAGACCATCCTGGCTAACACGGTGAAACCCCGTCTCTACTAAAAATACAAAAAATTAGCTGGGCATGGTGGCGGGCGCCTGTAGTCCCAGCTACTTAGGAGGCTGAGGCAGGAGAATGGCATGAACCTGGGAGGCAGAGCTTGCAGTGAGCCGAGATTGCGCCATTGCACTCACGCCTGGGCGACAGAGCAAGACTCTGTCTCAAAAAAAAAAAAAAAAAAAAAAAATTAATGACCTCTGCCCCTAACTGAACAAAGCCCTTCATCTAAGGCCACCCTTTGGTTGGCAGCCTTAGCCAGACATCTGCTTCTGGTCAAATCAATGTCTTGTCCACAGGGAGGCCCAGCGCTGTTTCTGGTTTTAGCTGGATGCAGGGTGTCAGACATGGCAGGTACTACGGTCTACCTGGCGGGTATCAAAGAGTTGGTCGACGTTCTCTCAACAACCTAATAGGGACCAACCATGGAAGGCCAGTAGTAAAGGAGTTTGAAGTTCCCTTTCAGAAACCAATTAACAACCCCAAAGAGACAGTGTGTAACATAAAAGAGCTGCCATAAAAATATACAGTTAAACATATTTAATAGAAATATTAAAATAATCATTACACTTCCTCTCATTGCAGAAACCATGAAAGAATATGCCTTTTGTAATCAATTTTTTATCATGCAAAAAAGTATTTTGTTATGACATTTGTAAGTGGAGACTATATTTCAAAACAAGTTTATACAGACTTCAAAAGGTCTCAAGTCAAAGAGAAAGTGAAATATATTTAAATATGATTAGTTACATCGTATGCAGCTGGCATACTCATATTCACAGTTTATAAAGTAAAAAAACTAAACTCTTCATGTCGGCTCTGAAATAGATGCATTTTCATTCATACATTCGCTAGTTAGGTCTGTTCTTCTAAGGAGGAAAGACGAGATATATGAGATATTTTTTAAAGAACAAACTCAACATATCAGCAGCAAATTTCAGTTAAACTAAATTGGAAACCAATGTTCTGTGTAACCAAAGTGCAAAGTCAGTTCCCCAGCTCAGAAAGAAAATTAAGAGTATAAACTGAAGGCTTAAGAGAACTTCAGAGAGCATACTATGTGATTAATACATAAATATTAAAAATTATCCAATTTTTGATTTAAGAACAACACAGTTTGGATCTAGTCATTAAAACATATGCAGCGGTGTCAAAGGCAAGTAACACTACCACCTAAGGTTATTCAGAGGAACTGTGAAGATGTAGCACGGACCTCTAAGGTGTCTAAAATCCCTTCTGATGGAAAGCTTATGGAACACTATCTGCCAAAAACACTGAAAGCACCACTTTTATATTTAGATTCAATGCTGAGTGATATAGTCACTGTTGGGATAGGTTTTTATTTGGGAAAATGGAGAGGATTCTCAAAACAGATTCATGGCTTGCATGCAGTGACACCCTATCAAGAGCCTGGAAAGACACCATGAAATCACCTCAACTCAAGTGGTGGGCCCACCTATTCATAGTCAGTGTTACACTAGCCAGCTCTAGGGCTCTGACAACATAATGAGTTTTGAGATAGTATACTTTAAAGAAAAAAAGAAGAGTTTATTTTAAAGCAAATAACTAAACTGTATTTTAACTTAGCACAATTAACTGCAGCATATTTACTTCATAGCCCCTTAACATGTCACTTTTACCAACAAAGCTTTTTCCTTCATATTCTAATCACAAAAATTTCTCAACAATTTATAACAATCTGTAAATCTGACCTTGCAATAAATAGTCATAAAATGTTATTTTTATTACTATTATTATTTTTAGAGACAAGGTCTCGCTCTGTTCCCCGAGCTGGAGTGCAGTGATACAATCACAGCTCACTAGCCTCAAACGATTCTCCAGCCTCAGCCTCCCCAAGTAGTGGGATTTCAGGCATGAATCACCACACCTGGCCTTGAAACATTATTTTTAAAGCCTAAATTCCAGTTGGTATGGTACCAAAATTTAGTTTAACTTCAAAATTCACAGTACTGCCGAGAAATGGGCGGGTCCTGAGGTTCCAGAGAAGTGGGGAGTGAATTCATTCCTGGTGGTTTTATTCTGGCAGCATGCATGGGAGATCACATGAGTTAGAGGGCTGTGGCCTGGTATCAACACTTCAAGCTGTTGTACTTTTACTTCAAGTTGAAACTTTTAAAATACATCTGTCATATAGATGTACAAATATATGTAAATGCAAACATATACACACTTTTTGACAAAAGAATGATGGTAATACACATGAACCATTTTTGTAAATAGATTTTATTTGGTTAATAAAAACATTCCTTCCATCAACCTATCGAAGTCCAAACCAACTACGAAGATAGGATGCCCATCCAGAAGAACGGGAAGCATTTTATTCCTCACCTTTGGAAAGTAAAACAAAAAAAAAGAAAAAAGAGAGTATTAAAATTTCTCAATGTAAAATCTATATTTTAGAACCACTCTACAATATAAGCAAATAATGTCTTTTTTACTGATCACATGCCTTTTTTGTTGGGTGGGGGGGGTTCTTTTTTTTTTTTTTTTTTGAGACAGGGTCTTGCTCTGTCACCCAGGCTGGAGTGCAGTGGCGTGATGAGACTTCAGTGCAGCCTTGATCTCCCAGGCTCAAGTGATTCTCCCACCTCAGCCTCCCAAGCAACTGGGACCACAAGGTGTGTGCCACCATGCCTGGGTAATTTTTTGTTTTTTGGTAGAGATGCAGGTCTCACTGTTTTCCAGGCTGGTCTCAAATTCCTGGGCTCAAGTGATCCTCCCACTTCAGCCTCACAGTGTTGGGATTACAGTCACGAGCCACTGTACCCAACCATATGTCATTCTTTAGACACACTGCTTACTAAATTTCTCTTTTTAAAGGATATACTGAATTTCCGGTTGAGCCAACTTAACAGCTAATTTTCTATTTTAGCTTTAAAACATTGATAAGCAACATGAAGCAATCTAGAACTTAACCTTTAAATGGCTTTATTAAAGCAATCCAGCTATGAAAATTATGCAGAAATGATTATCTACAATCTTACCAGCACATAAGAAATTCTTCCTCTATTCTGAAATACCATCTTCTCACAATATACTTTGATGTTATGAATCAATGTCTGTTCTTGAACATTATTTATTGTCTTTCTCTATTAAACAATTCCAAAATAAAATTTCCAGCACAACTAAATATTGTTGACGATAAGAGGATTTTAAAAAAAATTCTTTTAAAACAGAAGCTTATATACAACTTAGAATCTAAAACCAATAGATTTATGGTAAACCTTAAAACTGAACCAAAACAAACAAAAACCAAAGTTTTAATCATTTAAAAATCATGTTTATTGAGGTACAACTTACTTATAGTAAAACCTGCCCTTTTCAGCGTATAGCACTGAGTCTTGACAAATGCACAGTTACGTACCACCACCAACCAAGGCCTGGCACATTTTCACCTCCTCAAAGTTCTCCCTGGCTGCTTCTCCCACTCCTTGGCAACCGCTAACCTGTTTTCTGTCCTTATAGTTCTGCTTTTTTCAGTGTCATATAAGTAGAATCACACTGTACATAGTATTTTGAGTCTGACCTCTGTCAACTGGCATAATGCATTTGAGAATTATCCATGTTGCTGTACTGGCAGTGCATTCTTTTTTATTGCTGAGCAGTATTCAATTGCATGGCTGTACCAGTTTGTTTATTCATTTGCCAGTTGAAGGATAACTGAGATCTTCCTCGTTTTTAGCAATTTTAAAGAAAGTTTCTACGAATAATTGTGTACAGGTTTTTAATTAAATGTTTTGGAGATATAATTCATATACCACATAATTCACCTTTTTAAAGTGCATAATTCACTGGTTTTTAATATATTCACAAGGTTTGTGCATAGGTTTTTGTGTGAATACTGGTTTTCATTCCTCTTGGATAAAGATTTAATTTGGTATTACCCTTCCAGACACCATTCTGTGTTTTCATACGTATATATGTATGACAGTTTGACCTTAGGCAGAGTAGCATTTTCAAACTTTTACATGGGGAAATTTTCTAGAGTTAAAGCCATTTTATTTTTCTGTTCTGTCTGGTTTTATCTGCGTGTTATTTACAATCTGCTGCGTAACAAATTACTACAAACTTAGTACCTTAACACATATTTATTTCACAGTTTCTGTGGGTCAGGAGATCAGAAATGGTTCTATTTCAAGGTCTCTCACAGGGCTGCAATCAAGATGTTGGCATGGCTGGGGTCTCATCTGAAGGCTGGACTGGAGAAGAATCTACTTCCAAACTTATGTGGTAGTTGGAAGAATTTAGTTCCTCAAGGCTGCTAAACTGATGGCCTGTGTTCCTTGCCTCTGGGATGGTAGCTTGCTTCAACAAAGTGTGCAAGCAGAGAAGACAGAGAGAGTCCGCTAGCAAGATAGAAGCCACAATCTCTTGTAATCTATCATTTTTGCTGTATTCTACTGGTTAAAAATAACTCATTAGGTTAGCCTACTGGCTCTCAAGGGGAAGAGATTATACAAAGGCATGAATTTCTGGAGGAGGCAATGAGGGCAAAGAACTCTGAAAAGTCTCTCTTCCACAATCTGAAGAACTTCTAGAAAGTAGAAGGAAGCGATATTGCTTAGGGATGGACAACTTGGCACTGGTTATGTGTTCCAAGTGAGGTAACCTTGTTCCCAGGAATAAAGAGAACCAGATGACTATAAACATTTCCCTAAACTGAAATGCACTGTTGTATGTTCACCTGCAATGAATGGTGTAAGCTGAATATAAGATTTTTGACAAAATAAAAATTTTGCTGTGTTCTCAGATCTGGCAGGCTCCTGCCCTTGTGCAAACAATGTTCCTGGCAACTATTCATCTCCTTAGGTAAATAAGAATTGGAGAAAAGCTGTGCTTAGATAGGGTGCATTTGCTCTTGCCTTGGAAGGCTGTTTTCTGATAAGGTTCTATATCCTCTGCAAATCAAATCAGGCACTTACAGTGTGAGTATGCATTCTCTTCCTGCCAGTCTGGAGATGATCAAAAAGCCTATAACAGGCTTGGCCTATTTTCCTATTGGGTTGCTGGGCTTTTTTTCTTTATTTACTTGTAGAGAGTTTTAGACCTCTGTGTATGTATGGTGTACAAGTGACAATATTCAGATCTGTAAACTGTAACCCAGTCTGGGAGCAAAGAAGATATAGAAAAATGACTTTTACTTCCGGCTTGAGTAGTAAAATTGAGATTCAAATTTTGCATATAGAAGTACTATATGGCTAACTTATTTGGGGAGCAAAGCTGACTTACCATAAGTCTATCTCAAATAGAAATGAAACACTCAATTTGTGAAATATGCTGAGTTTTAATGCGTGTGGGGGCAGGGTGAATTAACATTTGTGATGCAAGGAGAAGAGCAATCTATACTTACCACTGTCTATTTGACATTGTTTGGGGACTACTGCTACACTCTAAGTCATTTTACCTTATAACGCAGAGTTGTAACACGCTACTCTGAGCAGCTCATGACATCTGCTTGAAATTTAAGTTGGGCCCCTAGTATGTGTTTATTATAAAGATTTTGATGCTGCTTTTCAGAGTTGGGTAACCTACTTTACCCCCTAAGCTAATGTTTCCCAAATACACCCAAACCCACAGAAAGGAAAACTATTCCTCATTAACTCACAGCCAACATCATAAACATTTTATATCTAGAGCTGATGATACAGTCAGGTATTTACCAACACTCATGTATATATGTAGAGTGTCAAGAAATAATTGCTTATCCTTAGTAGATTCAACATTAGCCTTACTAGATTCAACATATTCTAATGTTTCACATATTATTTTTATTTCTTAATTTTTTTTTAAAGATGGGGTTTTACTCTGTTGCCCAGGCTGAAATGCAGTGGCGTGACCAGGATTTCGACCAGAAGTTTGACTGCAGCCTCGAACCCCTTATAACAAAGAATCCTGCTGCCTTAGCCTCCCGAGTAGCTAGGACTATGGGCACATGCCACCAGAACGGGCATATTTTAAAATTTTTGTAGACATAGGGTCTCGCCATGTTGCCCAGGCTGATTCTGAACTCCTGTTCTCAAGCAATCCTCCTGCCTGGTCTTCTCAAACTGTTGGGCTTACAGGTGTGAGTCACTGAGCCCAGCTTGTATTCTTTTGATTTTAAAAAAATATTCTGAATGTGATCCACCAAATTAATTTCACCATCCACTAATAGGTAGCAACCTGAATGAAAAATACTATTATAAACTTTACACAAAACCAGAGATTATAAACATTTGCTTCCAAGGACATGAGAGAGGTAAAAGGTACTTGTTTGCTCTGATGGGCCCTGTTTCCTTCAGTGCCAGGAAGAGTGGCTCTCAGACCTTTCTTCTAGCATCCCTCATGTATGCAGTGTTGGTTATTATTTTCAAGGCCTTGGTAACAAAATGCCCCTAGTGTGACCAGTCAGACTGACAGTCCATATCTGTAATATGGTGGTAAGTTTCCTTTGCATGTCTTTCTTTCTGGCATCTTAGACCTTTTACCTAGGAAATTTTCTTTTTGCTTGAAGTACATCATTAAGAATTTTCAGTGAAGGCAGATTCTTAAAGTTTTTGTTTTCCAGAAGAGATCTTGGAAAATATAAAAGGTTGGCAGTTATTTCTTTTAGTACATGAGACAGTATTACACCAATGCTGTTGAGAAGTCTATTGTGAGGCAATGTGTCTTCTTTCTCTGGCTGCTTTTGAGATTTCTCTCTGTCTTTTTTAGGGGCAGTTTTACTCTTATGTGACTAGAAGTAGATTTCTTCTTTTTTTTTAATACTGCTTGAGATTTTATTGGGTTTTTGAATCTGTGGATAGATATCCTTCAACAGTTCTGAAAGATTTCCAGCCATTCTCTTCATATATTATCTGTGCTGTATTCTTGTCTCTCCTTTTAGAACTTCGATTAGTAAAAACATGTTTGATGTCTTTTCCCACTCTTGTTTTTTGTTTCTCCCATGCTGAATTCTGTGTAATTTCTTTTGAACTATCTTGTAGTTTACTTTTTTTTTTTTTTTTTTTTGAGATAAGAGTTTTGATCTTGTTGCTCAGGCTGGAGTGCAATGGCACCATCTCGGCTCACTGCAACCTCTGCCTCCTGGGTTCAAGCAGTTCTCCTACCTCAGCCTCCCAAGTAGCTGGGATTACAGGCATGCACCACCACGCCCAGCTAATTTTTGTATTCTGAGTAGAGAGGGGGTTTCACCATGTTGGCCAGGCTGGTCTTGAACTCCTGACCTCAGGTGATCTACCCTCCTCAGCCTCCCAAAGTGCTGGATTACAGGTGTGAGCCACCGTGCCAGGCCTTACATTCTCTCTCTTAAAGAGAAAATGTAAGGTATCTAAATCTGCTGCTAAACCATCATGGTTTTTAATTATAATAAGGTCTCTTTTATGTACTCACATTGATAAGAGACAAGTAGTAAATAATCTTTAAAGGGCAAACTAATTTAAATGTGTTTTCCTGTCTGTTTACAGGACTTACCAAATGCACATCTTAGAGTTCTGGGTTTCTAATGTGTATCTCCTCTATGAAATTCTTTAAAAATATCTGTTCTTGGTATCCCTTAGGTTAGTCTCTTTTAGAACTTCTAAATCAATGGACCCTTAACTTATAGGAGCCACCTGGACGTTAGCAACATCTACATTAAACATGCTGAGCTTTTAAAAGAGGGCTGTTAGACATGCTGAGTATTTTGAGATAATATCATTGTTGTATTGAAAACTATTGAAAACTTTAATTTTAAAATGCAAACGTTCTTAAAGTCCTGGTTAATTTTATAACTATAAAATTAGTTATAATTTTGAGATTTCTGTCTTGCTTTTTATAGGGGCAGTTTTACTCTTAGGTGACTAGAAGTAGATTTCTTCTTTTTTATAACTATAAAATTAGGTTTACTTTTGTTAGAATAAATTAAAGACAGTGAATTTGTAATCTGAATAACTACTAAAAATATACATGATGTATTCTTATTTGGGCCCTTGTGACAAAAATACTATTGTGGCTATAGAAACCTATCCTATAGTTTGAAGAACTGAGATTACTGTCAGTATTGAGAACATTCCTCCTTCATCATTAGAAAGATTATAAAAAACCAGATTCAAAGAAACTATCAATACTACTTATGAAGTATGTCTGTAAAAAAAATTAAGCCTGAATCTTATCAGGCCTCTAGACCAGGGGTTTTCAAGGTATGGGCCCCAGACCAGAAGTATCAGCAACAAAATGCTAAAACTGCAGAATCTTGGGTCAGAAATTGGGGACCAGCAATTGGAATTTTAGTAAGTATACCAGATGATTCAGATGCCTGCTCAATTTTGAGGATGACTCTTATCAGTTTAGTTATTAGGGTTTACAGGGGATGGGGAACATGTTAAAGAACACCAACTAGATAAGGTCAATCAGTCAAAAGTAAGATGTCTGGACATTCTGGGCCTCCTGATGTCTTAGAAAGCACACAATACCATCTATGATGTATTTTTGTCCACCATCCCACCTAATTGCACCTGGATCTTCCTATTTATAGGCAATTGGAACAAGCTCAGTGTTACCCTGTAATGATTAAAACCCAAATATAGAACTGCTATAGCATAAATGACCACTTTCTTCAATTAATAAGTGGCACATTAAAAATATATTTATATATATAATTGTTATAGATAAAAAAACAACAAAATGGCCGGGCGTGGTGGCTCACACCTGTAATCCCAGCACTTTGGGAGGCCAAGGTGGGCAGAT
Organism: Homo sapiens; assembly: GCF_000001405.40. Classification (NCBI taxonomy): domain Eukaryota; kingdom Metazoa; phylum Chordata; class Mammalia; order Primates; family Hominidae; genus Homo; species Homo sapiens. The sequence goes on from NC_000002.12 coordinate 106,411,608, forward strand.
CAGAAGATCAGGAGATTGAGACCATCCTGGCCAACATGGTGAAACCTCGTCTCTACTAAAAATAGAAAAATTAGCTGGCGTGCATCTGTAGTCTCAGCTACTTGGGAGGCTGAGGCAGGAGAATCGCTTGAATCTGGGAGGAGGAGGTTGCAGTGAGCCATGATCGGACCACTGCACTCCAGCCAGGGTGACAGAGCAACACTACGTCTCAAACAAACAAAAACACAACAACAAAATAAAGCTTAAGGAACATCAACCAAATGCAATATATGAGCTCTATTTAGGATACTATAAAAAGACATTCACAATAACACAGGCAAAATGAACATAAACTAGGTATAGGTGACAGAGAAATCCAATAAACATTGAATTATTCACTGGGGAAAGAAATGATGTGTGGGATTTAAGTCTCTAACTCTCCCCTATTTACGCCAAAAGATTGTCCATGAGTTGAAAACTGTTAGAGATGGGTGACAACTCAAGAGAGATTATAGCGTCTTCCTTGTGCTTGTAAATGTCAAAAATAAAAGTAATTTAAAACTAAAACAAAAACGAAACCATAATTCTTAAGATGCAGCTTGAATTCAGTTAACTATAGCAGTTGTATATGAAGCATTTCAAAGAAGTTAATGACATCACAGTATTAAATCCATCTGACATGGAAACCAACTCTAACTACATCATAGTTTTTTTTTTTTTTTTTTTTTTTTTTTTTTTTTTTTTTGAGATGGAGTCTCGCTCTGCCGTCAGGCTGGAGTACAGTGGTGTGACAGATCACTGCAACCTCCGCCTCGTGAGTTCAAGTGACTCTCCTGCCTCAGCCTCCTGAGTAGCTGGGACTACAGGCGCATGCCACCACGTCCAGCTAATTTTTGTATTTTTAGTAGAGACGAGATTTCACCATGTTGGCCAGGATGGTCTCGGTATCTTGATCTTGTGATCCGCCTGCCTCGGCCTCCCAAAGTGGTGGGATTATAGGTGTGAACCACCGGCGCCTGGCCTATGGCACAGTTTTAAAACTGCATTTGCCTAGAAAGTGGACTGCTGTATATAGACCAAGTGTTGGGCTCTATGGCTCCATTGTCTTAAGCTATTTGGGGTTGGAGGAAGGAAGAGGGGTGAAGTAGAAAAGGAACAAGCTAATAAATGTTTTTTAAAAAGTAGAATTTAAAACAAAACCACGTTCAGCTGAACACCAGAACGCAACACCAGGATAAAAATCCAATTTTCAAAGAGCTAGAAGATCAAGCTAAGCACTTATTGTATTTTGCTGAACGTTAAAATTATATAAATGTACTACATTTGCCTCAAGATGTTAAAAAGTCAGCTTTTCAAATCTAGTCACGGCCTACTCATATGACAGACCCAATTCAAATGAGCAAAATTGAAAAGTTACACATACAGACAACTTCTCAACCACCAGGCTGTTTAGTTTAAGTTAGAAGTCAGAAGTTCTGAGACTCTCCTTTTACCCACCTTGAGCAACCGCAGCAAGTTTTCCCTTTTCTTCAAGGCTGAGCTGCAACATCGTATTTATAACAGGAAGAAGTCTCTCTCTTTCACTACCTGGCTTCAAGAAAATGAACTGCAGCAAGACGTTCTTCAAGTGTTCCACGTTAGCTGCAGACACCTCTTGCTCTTGATTCCTTTCCAATCTTCTTATTTCACTTTTGAGAAGCTGGTGTTAGAGAAATGAGTTAAAAATGGGCTTTAGGAGCTTCTGATTAAATATGGCAGACTGAACTCATGTATTTTTCTTCTCTTCCCCCCAAATTTCCCCCTTCCCTCCATATGGCAATAAAGGAAGGAATTCAGTTAACTACAGCAGCTGCATGTGAAGCATTTCAAAGGAGTTTATGACATCATCGTATAAAATCCATTTGACATGAAAACCGGAACTCCAACTATGAGATAGTTTCAAAGCTGCATTTGCCTAGAAAGTGGATTGCTGCATATGAACCAAGTGTTGGGCTATATGACTCCACTGTCCTAAGCTATTTGGGGTTGGAAGGAAGAGGGGTGAAGTAGAAAGGCAACAAGCTAATACAAGAGGAGAAAAAGTAGATGAGACACATCAAGAAATTCTCACGAGAAACAGATGAAGAGGTGGAAATGAGTCAGTCCAGCAGCTTACCAAGTATCACTGACAAGAGGAGAGGATGCATCCTGTGTAAATACTGGGGTTCTTGTCTCAGAAGCACAGGGTATCATGGAAATGGAGTTGAAAGCTGGGGAACTGATGGAACGTCTCCATGAGGAGCAACTAACTGGAGCCATGGGTTGGTACCAAGATGTTCCCTCTGCCTTCTACTTTTGATAGAAACTAAGCCAGTATGGCATGGGGCTCTGAAAATGGGCTGAGGGGAACATCGGCAGCCTCCACTAACCCCCTGCCCCTACGCTGTTCCTGAAGTCCCAGGCAGTTAAGACGTCCACAGTGAACGGCACTTAATCAAAAGTTCAGACACAGTGAAAATTCAGGAATATAAGACAATGTAAAACACTATCAGAGAAATGAGGCAAAGAATGATATAAAAAAGGTAATATCATGTTCAAGTCTTTGAGGAAGATTTCCAGGTTGAAACCAAGCCATAGCTTTTAGTATATTTTCATTTTAGGTTAGGCAAGAAAGTTAGCGAACTTTGTCCTCAAACCTAGGACCATTTAAAAAAGTGACAATAAAGAAGATGAAGAAATCATGAAGAGAGTATAAATTTATGAAAATATAACATTTGGCCAGGAGTGGTGGCTCATGCCTGTAATCCCAACACTTTGGGAGGCTGAGGCAGGCAGATCACGAGGTCAGGAGATTTAGACCATCCTGGCCAACATGGTGAAACCATGCCTCTAGTAAAATAAAAAAAATTAGCCGGGCATGGTGGTGCGTGCCTGCAGTCTCAGCTACTCAGGAGGCTGAGGCAGGGGAATCGCTTGAACCTGGGAGGCGGAGATTGCAGTGAGCTGAGATTGCACCACTGCACTCCAAACCTAGTGACAGAGCGAGACTATCTCAAAAAAAAAAAAGAAAATATAACATTTAAATAAGTCATTTAGGTTTACTGGGCTAGTTAGTGATTTGTTAGCTATGATAATGTTTTTATTAGTGGGAAAATGTTATTTTATAGAGATGCATACTGAAGTATTTAATGGTGGAATGTCATGATATATACAATTTACTGAAAATAACTGAATTCGGCTTTAAAATAATCTGACAAGGATAGCTAGTGGCCTTGCACAGTGGCAGGACAGATCTATTAGGAGCAGCAAAGTACAGGGGAAAAGCATGTACTTTTCAGACAGCTATGAGTCTGAATTTTGTTCCACCATTTACCAGCTTCAATTTTTCTCTTAACCAGTGATGAGATTAAATAATATACGTAGAGCCCAGGGCCTGGGTCATAAGAACTCGTCAACAAGCAGTATGACTATATTCTGAGGGGTGATTTATCAGTGAGCCAGGGTGGAAATACCTCATTTGAGTAATCCTCAACTGTTCTGCAACATTCCTAGATGTTTCTGGTGTCTACTTTAAACAGGAAAAACTTCCCATGCCACTTTGCCATCTCCACCTGAAAACTGTTTAGTAGTTCAGTACTATAAATATCAGTTGAATAATTTAAATTCACTGGTTATCTTTAGAATTCAAAGACTCACACCCATTTTTTATTTAAGCATATGTGAACAATGATTTGTGAACATCTCTCTAGTTTCTAAATCTATTACGGTTTCTTAGGAAAAGTAGGAATTAAGAAATAATCTTTATGTAATAGGTATAAAAGAAGTATTTTGGCTGGATGCGGTGGCTCACGTCTGTAATACCAGCACTTTGGGAGGCCAAGGCAGGTGGATCATGAGGTCAGGAGATCGAGACCATCCTGGATAACATGGTAAACCCTGTCTCTACTAAAAATACAAAGAAATTAGCCAGGCATGTTGGCGGGCACCTGTAGTCCCAGCTACTTGGGAGGCTGAGGCAGGAGAATGGCGTGAACCTGGGAGGTGGAGCTTGTAGTGAGCCGGGATCGTGCCACTGCACTCCAGCCTGCGTGACAAAGCAAGACTGTCTCAAAAAAAAAAAAAAAAAAAAAAAGGCAATATTTCTCACCATCAGGAATCTAATATAAAGATCAAGACGTTATAGATGCATCTGCAATGTGAATTTTTAAACTTGGGTACATGTGTATGGAGGGTCCAGAAAACCAAACTGGCAGTTTTTATGGTGGCCAGGTTTTCTGATCTCACCTTAATTTGCTCCATAAGGACTGCATTGGTTGCCTCTATTTCCCGAAGCAGGCCGTTTAAGTGATCTGCACTTTTTGTGGTGGAACTGAGCTTCTGAACCAATTCTTCTTTAGTAAATTCAGCATACCATAATGGAGGCTCTGCAACATGTTGTTCCAAGAATTAATTTTCAAAATCATACATTACAGATGAAGATTCTAAATAAGAAAAATCTAAATATAAATATCTTACTATGTGATATTTTATAGCTCTGCTTTCTTTGCCATTCATCTATTCGGCATACCTCAATCAACAGATTATATGTTGTAGGTGACACAAATAAAACAGTATCTCTGTTGTAAAGCATGTCATCTAACTGAATACAAGCCCTATGAGTCCCAGTTCTGAAATTTGTCAGAATTGTGTTTATAGACAGTTTTATTACACATCTTCTTCCCATCTATTAATATTCCAAGATTTTATGTCATTTCACGTATAAGGAAAGCATTAACATTTACTGGTCACGTATCATGTTCCCTCATAAGAATCTTCTATCAGGCGGGGTAGGTATCATTATTCAAACTTTACAGACGATGAAACAGGCTCACAGTTGACAGGTAATTTTTGCAGAAATCACAAAGTCAAATTGGCTTCTGGAGTCTGCTGCTCTATCATGATGCCTCCATGTCACCACTATTAACTTTGCCTGAAGGAACCATGACTTGCAGTTTCTACCCCACGTGGTCAGTGACCATGAATACAAATGACCCTTACTCCAGGTGATTCTGAAGTTTCAGGAAGATGACAGATTTCCCCCTAAATTTTGAACAGTAATATTAATTACAGGTAATAAAATATACCAAAACATCACTACAAAAATTTAGCATTACTTCATCAAGAGGAATAAACTGAAACTGTCAGTTTCTTGGAAGGGTGAGAGGATAGTTTATCCTGCTTTCTAATACCCACCACCTATTTGTGACTATAAACTTCCCACCACTTATTTATGGTTCAAGCCTAGGGCAAGAGCTAGCATTTTATTTTAAAAAAGATTTGTTTAATAATTTTTCCATTTGGACAGTGTGATGGTTAATACTGGGTGTCAACTTGATTGGATTAAAGGATGCAAAGTATTAATCCTGAGTGTTGTCTGTGAGGGTGTTGCCAAAGGAGATTAACATTTGAGTCAGTGGGCTGGGGAAGGCAGACCCACCCTTAACCTGGTAGGTGCCATCTAATCAGCTGCCAGTGAATATAAAGCAGGCAGAAAAACCTGAAAAGGCGAGACTGGCCTAGCCTCCCAACCTACATCTTTCTCCTGTGCTGGATGCTTCCTGCCCTTGAACATCAGACTCCTAGTTCTTCAGTTTTGGAACTTGGACTGGCTCTCGTTGCTCCTCAGTCTGCAGATGGCCTAGTGATCGTGTAAGGTAATACTTAATAAGCATCCATCCATCCATCTCATCCATCCATCCAACCATCCAATTAGCTCTGTCCCTCTAGAGAACCCTAATGCAAACAGGTAGTGGAATATTGAAAGAAATTTTATTGGAGCAGCCCAAAAAAGCATATGTACCTTAGAGTAATAGTAATTAAATAAGACAGTGAAATTAAAGAAGAAGAACATATTTAGACAGAGTAACAGACCAAGTTTAGTTTCGGGAGAATTAAGCAGCTGCTCTAAAGACTGTGTGTATGTGCTGGCGGAAGACACAGACTCCGTATCAGTTGTCTCCATGCCTTCTCCCTCTTCCCGGGTTACAGTGTGCATGTCTAGAAGCGGGAGGTCTGTGTTTCTCCTTTCTCGAAGGTTCTTCAAAGATTGTTGAGAGGAAACTGGGCCTATTAGATTTTTTTTAAAGGTTAAGTATGAGATTGTTCAAAATCTATTGATTCGGCCTTACAGAGGTACACAAAATGAAAATATCAAATGATAAGAGTAGAGGAATTAAGTAACTATAAGATAAGTGAAAGGTGTATGAAGAATTGCTAAAACATTTCTTAAAATTTAGTCATCAAGGCCGGGCGTGGTGGCTCAAATCTGTAATCCTAGCAGTTTGGGAGGCTAAGGTGGGTGGATCACGAGGTCAGCAAGTTCAAGACCAGCCTGGCCAAGATGGTGAAACCCTATCTCTACTAAAAATGCAAAAATTAGCCAGGCACAGTGGCAGGTGCCTGTAATCCCAGCTGCTGGGGAGGCTGAGGCAGAGAACTGCTGGAAGCCAGGAGGCGGAGGTTGTAGTGAGCCAAGATCACGCCACTGCACTTCAGCCTGGTGACAGAGCAAGACTCCAGCTCAAAACAAAAAAACAAACAAAAAAAAACTTAGTCATCAAACTTTTAACTACGTTAGTCATTTTAATAGCAGCTATAAATTAATTGCTACTAGCTAAGACAAACTGTTAGATAACACAGCTCATAATATAGTACTACTTATTTTTTATTAATTTAGAGTAGAGGGCCAAACTACTGCTAAATACTGGCCAAAATTAAAAGACTAGATTCTAGCAATTTTTCAGGATTAGGTATTTCAGATTGCTGCATACTTCTTGAAACACACTTGCTGAAATCTGCTTGGTAGACATCCTCAATCACTGCCCTTATACCTTTACCTCTGCAGCTTCGTAATTGTTGCTGCTCACACCTACAGTGCTCATACAGTTAAGAGCCCAGAATCCAGGGCACGGAACTAATCAATTACATTGCCTAGCAAGACTTTGCTGTTTGCTGATAAACTGTAAAGTGTTATTTTTTCTGAGACAGGGTCTCACTCTGTCACACAGGTTGGAGTGCAGTGGCACGATCTTGGCTCACAGCAACCTCTGCCTCCCAGGCTCAAGCCATCCTCCCACCTCAGCCCCACAAGTAGCTGGGACTTCCAGGTGCATGCCATCCCGCCCAGATAATTTTTGTACTTTTAATAGAGATGGGATTTCACCATGTTGTTCAGACTGGTCTCAAACTCCTGGCCTCATGTGATCCACCCGCCTTGGCCTCCCAAAGTGCTGAGATTGCAGGGGTGAGACACCACGCCTGGTCTAAACTGTAAAGTTTACCAGGCCCTTTGACATGTATTGGTTTATTGACTCCCAAAAATCTGAAGTTCAGAGAAATTTAATGACTTTGCCCAAGGTCTCATAACTGAGTTAGAAACCAGAATTGTAATCTAGATTTTTAAACTTCAGATTTCATTTATTTTGCATTTCATTAAATTGCCTTAGTCCTGACTGACCTTTCTGAAGCATTTTCCTGGGTTTCTGGTAAGCTGACTGCTTATTCCACTGCTGATTGCTAGATTACAATCTCTTGTGCGACCTTTGCCCTGGCTGATTACTTCCTTTGTTGATTCTTTGGCATATATTAAATTCTTCTGAAGTTGCTTTTTTACCCTAATAAGTGACCGATAGCTGCTAATGCTCCAGTGACAATATTTCCCATGGGAAACCAAAACACCATCAACTTGCTACTAAAATACTGCATCATCATGGCTGACATTTTTCCATTTCTTCCTGGAAGCAGAATGGAAGATACTGGGTACGGCTGAACTAAAACTCCAACTAATTGTAAATGTGAAAGCAAAGAAGCTATATTGGTTATGCAGTTCTACACATTCAGTGCCGCTTGAGTGTTTCTAAGTTCCTTGCTCTAGCTAATGTTTCTATTTAAAAAGTAGACAAATTTGATGACTAACAACGGAGAACACGAAACAAATCTGGTGAATACCAGAATTAGGACATGTGTCAGCCAGGCGCAGTGGCTCATGCCTGTAATCCCAGCACTTTGGGAGGCCGAGGCGGGTGGATCACGAGGTCAGGAGACCGAGACTATCTGAGGGAGAATCTTCAGGTTTTTTCTTCTCTTTTGCTGTAACACCAGTCAAAAAAATTGACAAAGATAAGGTATTAAGTATTGACGTTAATACTCTACCTGAAAATAAAAACCATGGAACCTATCTATAGGTTAAAACAGCATACTGATAAAAAACACATATACTTTGATGCAGAGATGTACGATAATCATGAATTAGAATTAGCATCCTGATTTAGTGTTCTACCAAAAACCCTAAGTGAACACAGAATCTATTTAAAACCAAAGAAAACAAAAAAATCTTGTGTTTACTTAATAGTCATTGAAAAGAATTACTACAAATTTCTAGAATTTAAAAAGGTTAAAAATTTTAAAGTGTTGCCTAACTATACTTAGCATACAATAGTTTACCAAAATATCCATGCATTTGCAGCAACTGAAAAAAATCTTAAAACATAAGCAAGTATTAGTATACATATGAAACTAATCCAAAGCCAACTGTGATTAGTTCCTGTAAGGAAAGTTAACAATTGCCAAGAATGGAAGGTGACTAGAGTTGCATCTAGTTTGCCTGTGTTCAAGAATGATACTAGATAAAATTAAATAAAAACTGTTACTCTATGGGTAGCTAACACTATAAAATCTAAGACCATTCATATGGCTGAAAACAACCCATCCCCAGCCACCATTAATGCAAAGGGCAAAAAATTAGAAACAGAAAAAACTTCTATATGCAACCTGTTCTGATCTACTAATGTAAAGAAGAACTTCTGGCTAAAGGAGTTTAATAAAGTAAGCCAGTCATGAAGCATGCCATGTATAGCAACTGGTGACAGGGAAACATTCTGAGAGCTATGGTGTCCAATATGGTAGCCTAGCCACATTCTATTAAAACCTCACAAGGTGGCTAGTCCAAATCAAGACATGCTAACAGTAAGTGTAAACACACACACTGGATTTTGAAGACTTGGTGAAAAACAATAATGTAAAATATCATTAATTTTTATATTAATTAGAAGTTAAAATGATATTCTGGACATAATGAGTTAAATCAAATCTATCGATAAAGTTACTTTCATCTGTTTCCCTTTTTAACTGTTTCTTTTTATTCTTTTTAATATGGCTACTAGAAAATTTATTTATTTATGTATTTATTTGAGATGCGGTCTTCCTTTGTCACCCAGAGCTGGAGTGCAGTGATGTGATCATAGTTCACTGAAGCCTGGAACTTGTGGGCTCAAGTGATCCCTCTGCCTCAGCCTCCCAAGTAACTGGGATTATAGGCACAAGCCATTGCACCAAATGACAATTTTAAATTACATACACAGGTTATATTTTATTTCTATTGGATGTCACTGCTCTGCAGAACCAGTGCCCTTCCTTTTACAATGTTAAATTTGTCCCTCTCCTTCATTATAAACAAAAACTTAGTATCATTTCCTAGCTAGGAGAAATAACAGTACACCGTAAGATACAGATTCTTGTTCCACTTCTGGTATTACTCAGTAAAGACACCTTGGGTAAATCAGATAGCCTCTCTTGGCCTCAGTTTACTCATGTCTAAAGTCTTCATTTCTAAGGTCCCTTGGGACAATGACATTATCAGATTCAAAACAGAATAAGGCTCTATGTTCTACAGTAGTGTATAGGCACATTCGTTCTTAGGTCAGGGATTCCTAACCTAGAGCTCACAGAAACTGTACGCAAGTATACATCCACTTTTAAGTTAACACTTTTCACATTTCTCAAAGACCGTATCTTTAAAATAAAAGATTAAGAGCTACCTTAGCTGGTAATAAAACTGGTATAATTAAAAAAAAATCAGAGATTTTTACTTTATCATTGTACTTGTTTGGCATGGCTAAGATGTGTTACTGGTCACTAAGGGTGAGATTTCACTTCCCTAACCTGTTCTTGAAGGCCTTCAACAGATCCCACTTCTTGTTCCACTCTAGTAGCCACACTTCTAAAAATGATCTGTGCAACATATATAATATGCAAGCTGTAGAATGCTGGCTGTTAAAAACGGGGGTCCATTTTCAAATACAACATTTTTCTAAACCATGCACAAAAGAACAGCCCTACAGGGACACTCTTCCATACTGTATACATGCCGTTGCCACTACATGTGAATACTGGCAGACGTTAGTGGCTAAAGATAAACATTAGATAAAACATAGGTCTTCATTGAGCAGACCTGAAATAGCAGAGCAATGAAGTACATTACAAATCAGCATCCCACTACATTTTAAAAAACAAACCAACAAGGGTGTCATGCCACCAGTCAAAAGGTACTTTGCTTAAACTGGCATTCTTTGACATGCATGTTGTAGTGGTAAGTACTTCATTTCATACAGCCACAGTTATTAATACTTTGCTAAGGGCTACCCAGCTGCTAAAAACTGCTGTTATCTCATACTGAGAATGCTAGTTCTATACCTTTGCTCTCAGGCTGTGAGGAAGGGGTGCTAGTCCAAAAGGCTATGGGATTAGATTTAAAAAGGCTAAAATTAAATCCTAGAAAATAAAGAATATTTCATTTTTTAACATTTTAGGAAACAAAATGAATATGCTTTTAAAACATAAAAAGCCAGAATCCCTCAATTTATACCACCAATCTGACTGTCTTACATATTCATTTATCCCTGTAGTTTCATTCTTTGCTCATTTAATACATGAGCAAGACTGACATACAACACATAAAATGAGAACATCTCAATATCATGTTTTTTTTTGTTTTTTGTTTTTTGTTTTTTTTGGAGACAAAGTCTCACTCAGTCACTCAGTCAGGCTGGAGTGCAGTGGCATGATTTCAGCTCACTGCTACCTCCATCTCCTGTGCTCAAGCGATCCTCCTGCCTCAACCTCCTGAGTAGCTGCTAATTATAGGCACGCACCACCACGCCCGGCTCATTTTTGTATTTTCAGTAGAAACAGGGTTTCACCATGTTGGCCAGGCTGGTCTCGAACTCCTGAGCTCAAGTGATCTGCCCACCTCAACCTCCCAAAGTGCTGGCATTCTAGGAGTGAGCCACCGTGCCCAGCCTCAATATCATGTTTTCTGAGTGACAAAAGAAACAGAACAAATGAAAATGAACACTTTAAAAAAAGACTCACGTTAATGCGCATGATTCAAGCATGAGTCCGTACACTGTACCAAGTTCTTTTGCTCTGCCCTAGCATGATAGAAGTATCTTCCAGTTACTGAAATGTCTTTAACTAAGTTCTCTTGCTCTTTGAAACCTCACCATGAACTTATTAAGGGAGAAAAAAATTGCTCAAATATTTTAGGGGTGTTCACAAAGCATCGTTCATATCCCAACATTAGTATCCCACAAAGAGTCTGCATCAAGCTAAACATTAAAAGAAAGAAAAATTGTGCTTAACTTTAACAACAAAGTACCTACCCTTTTCTGGTGTTTTAAATGTGTAGTTGATTGAAGATTCTTCCGTTGGAAAGGAAGCAGAGAGATTTTTGACTTTGCTATCTGAAGACTGTTCGATATCAGAGTTCTTTGACAGTTCACATTTTTTAGGTTCCACTTTGCTTTCAGATCCACTCTGGGCTACTGAACTAGTTTCACTATTGTTACTTTTCAAAGGTGCATTAAAACTAAATCCAAACAAAGACCCAGTGGCAGAACTGTTGCCAAATGCAAATGGTTTTGATTTTTCACTACTAAAAATTCTTTTAACAGACTCTGAACCAAATACAAACTTTGGAGGAGAAACCACTGCTTTTGTTGTTGTTTCAGATGTGCTAGACACTTCAACTTCTGAAGCTGCATCTGCTACATCATCACCCTGAATAACATCTGTCCTCTCTCTTGTGGTTTCTTCTAATACAGCTACAGCAATTTTGCCACATGGTGACTCTCTGGGAGTGCTTGACCGAGAAACATGAGGTGTTATCAAAGAATCTTTTTCCTGGGCTGTTTTTGCTTCATCAAAAATTTTCTTAAACGAGTCTGCAACATCCTGTAGTTTAAAACGAACAGCTAAATGCTCTACTTTTCTTTCTCCATCTGCAAAATCACATGCAGTCCACACCCATACTCTTTCTGTCCCTTTCATATTTTGCAAACTCATGTCTGGAGTTATTCTGTGATTGGCACAAAGTTTTAATACTTGGTCCCTTCTCATCAGTATACGAACGTGCTTATTATCATAATTCTGTAAAATCTTTATATCACCAATGCCCCTTTCTTTCCATTGACCAACATCTTTATCATATCTGTAGAATTCTGCCCTGTGACTAAAAACAACTTGTTCATTTTCCTCACCACTGGATACTTCAACTAGATCAGGTAAAGGAACAACAGGTTCAAAGTACTGTCCATCTCTCTCTTCTTCTTGAGTAACATCAGATTCTTCATCAGTGCCAACTGAAGTCCCACTCTGATTCAACTTGGCAGGAGACTTAGATAGACTCAAAGCAGATTTAAAACTGAAGTTAGATCCTGTTGTTGACTCATCAAAGTGGAAAAGATTTTTTCTCACAGGGCTACTTGCCAATGGAGAAGCATGTACTGAGCTACTACTGACACTATCATCCAAAGCATCTTCCCTTAAATCATAGTTATCCCATTCTAATGTGGGCCCAGTGTTTTCAGCATTGGGTTTTATTGTTGTGTCTGAGGCACCGGCCGCACCTGTACCTGAACCCTTATTTTCTTCCTCAGCGACTTTTGTTTGATCATTTGTCAAAAATGTTTTGAAATCTTTCAGTCCACTCTTCATTTCTTCAGCTCTCTGTATTAACTTGGCAGCTCTGCCAGTATCTACAAGTTTATGGGGAGTTTGAAGTGGTATGTCTAACAGAAGCCGCTGGCATTCCTCAAATTTCTGCTTGAATTCTTCAGCCAGCTCTGGTGTTTTAAATTTTGCTGCCAATCGCTCTAGTTTGGCATCACCATCAGAGAAATCACTGGCTGACCACATCCATGCTCTATCTGATCCAGAGAGGGGCTTCAGGTTCATTGTAGTCGTTATCCAATGATTAGCACACACTTTTAGTACTTGTTCTCTTTGCATCAGCATTCTTACTTTGCCATTGACCTCGTTTTTGAGAATTTTTAAGTTCCCCAAGCCCCTTTCTTTCCACTGACTTACCTCAGCATCAAATCTAAATAGTTTTACCCCCTGTGAATACAGAACTTTTTCACCTTCTTCTCCTGTTACAAGTTCTACTTTTTCAGGCATTTGAACTACTGGTTCAAAATGGATGTCATCGCTGTCCTCAGTCTTATAGGCATCATCATCTTTCTCAAAGTCACCGGAAGTGTTTGCTTTATTGGCCATTTTACCGTATTGTGATGAGAATAATTTTTCTCCAGCACCTGAAAATCCCTTGAAATTGAGGTCTTTTTTGCCAAACTGAAATCCTTCTCCTGAAGTTGATTTTGCAACATCTGCAAATGTAAAAGTGCTACTTGTTTGGCCAAAAATCACACCACGGCCCTTCTTCCGGCCACTAATATCCTGAGCCTGTAAGCCAGTATCATTTTCAAGAGGCTTTTCACTTTTCTTTTCTTGATTTCCTGGTTCCGAAATGCCAAATTTAAATCCATCAGCAGACACAGGGATGGAAAATCCTTCTTTGGTTGACTTAAATTCTGTATTAGAAGAACCCTGAAACATAAATGAAGGTGAATTTTCTTGATCCACATGCCCAAAATAGTCATGAAATACATACCTTCTTCATTCCTAAACAATTTATCAAATGATGTTAACAATAATGATGATGATGATGATGATAACATTTATTGAGCATTTATTAATGTGCCAGCTGGGCACTGTTCTAAGCACTTTACATTATTATCTCATTTTAATATCCTCAAAAACCCTATGAATTAAGGTATTATTATTATCCTCATTTTACATATGAGGCAACTGATGCATTGAGAGGTTAAGAAACTTGCCTGTGGTCAAAATAAGCAGAAGAGCAAGGGTCTAAATGCACCCCAACACTCTGTCCTCAAAGCTGTCACATTCAACTACCACTGTAATATTGAGTCTTCAATCAATTGTTATATATATAGCTGTATCAGGCCTGAAAGTACTTACCACATAGTGGGTCAGCAAGGGCATTACAGTTCTATTTCTGTTAAAACAGAACGATGAAGGATCCACCACCACCACTCCCATTTTTAAAATATTCTAAATATTCACACTTATTAACACAAAAATAAGGTGACTAAGAAGGATAATTTCTGTATTTGGAGATAAATTTAAAATATCTACATTTTAAGGGACATAAAAGTTTTAATAGTGAACTGCTCTCTTGAATTTATTTGAAGGAACCCTAAACAATTTAAAAAGGAAATAATTATAAATGTATAAATTATTCCTTTGTTACCTTTGTGGGAGTAACATTAGCTGCTGGTCTGAGAAGATACTGGGAATTATATGCTGGTGACTGACTATAATATACTGAAGGGCCAGTAGTTGCAACTAAAAAAAAAAAAGAAAAGAAAGAAAACACTGTTAAAGTCTATACTACAGTTAAGACTATCTAGGCAAGAGCTACAAATACAAAAGCAATAGAAATTAAAGAAAGATTTAACTACATAAATTTTAAATTTCTGTACATCAAAATACACCAATCAAGATTATCAAATGACAAACTAGAAAAAAACTGCTAAATATGACATGAAGAATAAGAGAATAGCATCGCTGTGATCAACAAGAACTACCTCACAAGCATTAAAAAAGGAATAAAGAAGAAAGTAACTGTTGCCTTTTCTAAGAAAGATCAGTATGATGTGGAATTATGGACATTCAGTCACAGAAAGGACGTAAGGAACCAAGATGCCCTCTGATGGTCAATGCATTTGAAGTGGGCCTAGAAAATCTGCAGAAAGACTAGGTTGTATTTTGTAAACTAAAGCTATTACTGAGAATGTTCAGCTCAAAAATCACCTGACAAATTCATGGAAAGGATGTCATAAATAACATAAAATGTGTTCCCTGGCTTAAAATAAAAAGCACATCAACACTCATACAGATGTACAAACTGTCTGCTCCCTCTGTTTGGTCTGTTTTACCAGGAAACAAAACGACTAGAAGGCACCCCTGTTAATGACAAAACTACCAATAGTCATTTGCTTGAACTGTTTTATGATAGTTTTACCAGAAAACAACCAAAAGATCTTTCATGCCTGTACATGGAAGAAGAAACAGAAACTGTGCCAAGAGGTTCCAAACAATTGCCTCTGGAAAGCACTGAAAAATCAAGACCTAGAAAAGGCTAGCCAGAAGCCCAAGTTTGATTTTGGAAACCTTACAGAGGTGAGGATAGCTATTTTGAAATTACTATGGGGAGGAAGCAGGCACAGAACACAGAACAACCTGACAGAAATGGCCCAAGAATCTTAAAGTCTTGCAAGATGTCTGTCTGCATGAAAGCAAAAAGAAAAAATAAAATATTAAATAAAAAAAAAATCTTAGTCTGAAGTTTAAGTAGGGACTTTAATTGACTACTGACTCTAAACTGTGCGGCTCTAATAAATCTACTAAAAGTAATCTAACTTTTAAAAGCACCATATGAATAGACAATTTAGGAAAGAAATGTTAATAGGCCTCAAGGAACATGTTTTTGAAGTGAGCCTTGAAAATCTGCAAAATGACGAGGTTGCATTGTGCAAATTGAAGCTATTATGAGAATGTTCAGGTCAAAAAAATTACCTGACAAATTCATGCACAGGATCTCTCAAGGAACACAAATGTGTTCGTTGGCTTTAAAAAAATCACATTAACATTCATGTTGATATACAAAAACTCTTCTCCATCTGTTTTGTGTGAGTTTTACCAAGAAACCAAACAACTGGAAGGTACCCACGTTGAAGATGGCAAAACTACCAACTGCCATTTGCATGAATTGTTGAGCATGACTAGTATTAAAAAAACTTAAAAATTGATATCACTTTTGTTCCTACAAATTGGCAAAGGATTTTATAAACTAGTAAGTCAGCATTAGCAAAAGTGCGAAAATGGCACTATCAGATACTAGTGGTAAGAGCATAAACTGAATATTTTGAATACCCTACAAAACTAGGACAGTGTCCTAGAATTTGTAATGGCATAAACCAGAAACAACATAAATAAAGGAACAGAATTTACAGTACTTCCATGTGATGGGATACCATGAACTCATTAATATTCAAAAAACATTTAAGTTTAAAAATGCTCAGAACTAAAGTAACATTTAAAAAACAGGCTAGCTCATCTACACACAACATAGTAACATGGTAACAATCTCATAAAAAATACTATATGTATAGAGAAAGAACCAGAAGGAAATGCTCTCAAATATAAGAAATGTTAATAAGGTGGTTAGTTTTTAGTTTTCTTCACCCTGTTCAGTACTTCTGAGTATCTCCTATGAGCTCATTAATCTTTAATTTTAATCATCTTATTTTTAAAAAACAAGGACCATCTTGATATATGTTTACTTTTATTAAGGAAAAAGAATCTATGAACACAGGAACAGAAATCAGGAGATCTTGGCTCTCGCCCTTTCAGTGCCACAAAGCTGTTTTGTGAACCTGTAAATAATCCATTTGGAGTCTCCATGTTTCTCAATTGTAAAATGACGATGTGCTGCTTCTACATATTTCACAGGGTCATTGCAAGAATAAAATGAGACAATGAGAATGTTGGATTTACATGCTTGTATAAGAACAGAAGACCTTTTATGCCTGTACACAGAAGAAATGGAAATCATGACCCAAAAGGCACCAAATAACTGACTGCACACATCACTAAAAAAGCCCCAGGAAAGGCTAGCCGGTTTGTTTATCCTCTTACAAGGACCTATATGATGTGTAAGGTTTTAAGAAAACAAGGTTTGAACGTTAGACATTTCATATACTTATCTATGACTTACGACATTTAATAAGCTTGACTTCACAAAGATTTTCTGTTATTTTGCTTGTGTTGAGAAGATACTATCACAAAAGGCTAGTGGGGTTGCCTTAACTATATGAACCATCACACAAATGTGCTCATCTAAACCAGATTTTATTCTAAATCTTTCCTGGGCTAAAAAGAGAGAGAGAGAAAAAAAAGGGCACTACTACTACCATTTCAGAAGTCTGTCGTACATAAAAGGAACAATTTTGTTATTTCTGGCTGCCTGGGAGCAATGTATTATACTGGCAAGTGCTTTGGAGTTACACCACTGGAGTGTGAATCTCGGCTCTATCAATAACTAGCTGTATAATAATGAGTAAGTTACCTAACCTTTCTTTATCCATTTCCTTATTTATAAAAAAGGGATTAATAATGGTACCGGCCATTCTAAGTTACTGTAATTAAATAAAATTACATTCACAAAGCACTTTTGCACATAGCCAACCCACAGTAAACACTATTAGTAACCTTAGTTCATTAACTGTTTACTGTATACTCTAATAAATGTCTGATACACACCCACACCCACCTGCACATACACAAATGCTCATAGTAATTATGTAAGGCAAGTATTATCTCCACATTTCAGACAGGTTAACTTACACAGCTATTATAGTAAGTGATAGAGCAGAACTTAAAAACCCAGTATGATTCAGGTCCAAACTCCTTTTCTTTCTTTATATAACCATAATATTTCAAATTAAGTAAGATTTCCTATATAACGTCCTGCCTCTCATCATTATCATCAAAATAATTCCCCAGAGGTGTAGGTTCTTAATTAAGCATTTCTTAGTGCATAACTCTATTCAATAACATTTTTCAATTTAAGGAATAATCTAATCTCAGCTCATCTGAGGTGTGGATTAAGTGTTCTTTAAGCCTTTATATACACGTGATCACATACGGCTCGTTTTTTCTGCTTGGGATTATAAAAATCTCCGTAACACCAAATACAGCTTTTGAAGTCACATATAAACAGATGTTGACATGTATATTAACAAACATATATAAACAAGGTGATTTCACACGTTATCTACTTAAAAGAGGGAAGTAAAGTAGTTTTACTAAAATATGCGATTATCCACTTGCCAGCTCACCTGTTAGTGGAGCCCCATGAAATGTCTGTGACCCCTGATATCCATCAGGCACCGAGTCTGGTCCATAATTCTCTGTGGGCCAACGATGATGGGATGCTGACTTACTGCTATTTAGTTTCAACTCCTGCATTTCTTCCTATTGGAAGAAAAAAAAATCAAATAATTTTAATCATTTAATTATATCATGCCAGAAACAGTGCTGGGGAAACTTACTCTTTTAAATTTAAATAACTGATTTTTTCTTTTTTTCTTTTTTGAGATGGTGTCTCGATCTGTCGTCCAGGCTGGAGTGCAATGGCACAATCTTGGCTCACCGCAACCTCCACCTCCTGGGCTCAAGCAATTCTCCCACCTCAGCCTCCCAACTAGCTGGGATTACAGGTGTCAGCCAGCACGCCCGGCTAATTTTTTGTATAATAGTAGAGATGCGGTTTCACCATGTTTGCCAGGCTAGTCTTGAACTCCTGACCTCAAGTGATCCACCACCTCAGCCTCCCAAAGTGCTGGGATTATAGGTGTGACCCACCACGCCCGGACCTGATTATATCTTTTGAAAGTTTCTATTTGCCAATGAGTTCTAGGTACCTGGTGCTGATTTTAAAATATGATTCTTAATTTGTTAAAAATTTATCTGCTCCCATTTTCGTTAATACAAAACTTAATTCATTAACTCTCTCACCTAAACAAATAACCTCCTAAATGATCACACCTTCATTTCCATTCTACACTTGCCTACATTAACCTGACGTTCACCTCCAGCCAAGACAATTCCCTGCTCAAAAAAACAAGTACCTACAAACTAAACTTCTTTCCCCAACTTTCACAGTCCTCTAACATTACACTGACCATCCTTTCAGTGTGTTCTTTCTACACTGCAATCTGGACTACCTGACATTCCAAATCACCTCCCCAAATTAGCTTTTCACTTAACCCTGTGTTCAAACAAAATACAACTAATTCTCAAGGTGATGTTCAAATGCTCCACCAGGAAAGGGAAAAAAGTAGTAGCTGCAGAGAATTTATTATGTATATAATAATATGTCCAATGCACTTAAACTCTTAATTTTTATACTATCTACACTGTTAGGTAAACAATATTAGCTCCTATCTTAAAATGAGAGAAAGGGATGCAGGGAATAACAGCTGGAATTTGAACCACATCTGACTCCAAAAATGTTTTCTTAACACAACTCTGCTGCCTTGACAAGATGGCAGATAGATACAATGCCGTCTAGTGTAGCTATGTGGCTACCTGATCTCTGCTGAAGAAAACTAAATGACAGCACCATACCCAACACCCTAGAACCTACAAAATGTCCCCTTACAAAACAGACACTTAACAGGAAATTCTTTTTCCAAAGAAATTGTAGTGGTATCAGAAAACAGGTAAATTTTGAAAAGTTTCAAACTTCTCTGTATCAGCCCAGGAATCCGACCAGTTCTAACAAGTGAGGTCAGGGACAGATCTAGCATGTCTGCTTTCTTTTTCTACAAGTGTTTCAAATAAAAATTTCCCAGAAAGACCTAACCATGAGGTCCAAAACTATCTCAATTTTCAAGCTAAATAAAATTTCCCCCACTCATCCATCTACAGTGCCTAGTCCAGATGCTACACATACACATCCAAGAAATAAGAAACTAGTGGAATCACCTAGAAAACTTTATGGTCACTGCTGGTATCTGCACCAGAGCTTTGAATTTGCAATCACTGCTGTAACTGTAATTTTTAACATTCAGTGTGATGAGAACTGGCTTCGATAATTCTCTCATTTTAAAGATAAGAAGCCAAACGGTCACAAAGGAAGTGACTGGCCCAAGATCATTAATTAATGGCAGAGTCAGTACTAGTACCAAGCTTTTCAAGCTCATGGACCAGTGCTCCACTATACTTCCACAGAATACAATGTTGGGAGCCTGAAACCTGTATGTTAAGTCAAAATTGTATGTAATTGTCATAGGCCATGACTACACAGAATTAACATTCAAGATTTTTGTGCAAATTCAAAAATGTCTTCCCCACCAAATAGTATTCTCTTAATTTGCAAATACTGCTGATCACACTGTAATAATCGCCACACATCAGCATATCTTTGATGTAACTTTAGCAGTATAATTTAGTTCTTGCCTGATAAACATGAAAGAACCTACTTTTATTTCCAATTCCAAAAAAGTCAAGCTCCTTTGAACCCTATTGTTAAAATACGATATATATACATAACTATTTCCTTACATAATTAAGTCAAATTCATATGGAAGTATTAAAATATAGTAAGACTTTTTGAAGCTCAGACCACTTTTCAATTCCTAGCTATACATTTGAAACACATGTAATCCACAGCTAATCTGGGAATGAACTCATAGACCAGAGTATGATTAGTACATTGTAGCAGTTCAATCACTCGGGAACCTTCTCTGTGTCAGGAACTCTTATATTTTAAATAAAACAGTTTCTACCTTTGAAGGTCTCAAATTTTGTGAAAGATGAGGAGAGAGACACATAAAGTACTTTCAAAAATATAGTAAAGGGCTGGGTGCGGTGGTTTACACCTGTAATCCCAGCACTTTGGGAGGCCAAGGCGGGCAGATCGCCTGAGGTCAGAAGTTCAAAACCAGCTTGGCCAACATGGTGAAACTCTGTGTCTACTAAAAATACAAAAATTAGCTGGGCCTGGTGGCGGGTGCCTGTAATCCCAGCTACTCGGGAGGCTGAGGCAGGAGAGTCGCTTGAACCTGGGAGGTGGAGGTTGCAGTGAGCCAAGATTGCACCACTGCACTCCAGCCTGGGCAACAGAGCGAGCCTCTGTCTCAAAAATAAAATAAAATAAAATATGGAAAAGGGTCAAGACCAAGGTATGTAGGCTGGGCACAGTGGCTCACACCTGCAATCCCAGCACTTTGGGAGGCTGAAGCAGGAGGATTGTTTGAGCCAGGAGTTCAAGGCCACCCTGGGCAACATGGAAAAATCCCATCTCTACAAAAAATACAATTAGCTGGGCCTAGTGGCGTGTGACTGTCTGTAGTCCTGGCTTCGTGGCAGGCTAAGCCAAGAGGCTCTCTTGAGCTAGGAGGTCGAAGCCGCAGTAAGCTGTGATCATACCACTGTACTCCAGCCTGCACAACAAGACCCTGCCTTAAAAAAAAAAAAAAAAAAAAAAGACCAAAATGTCCCCTTGCCATACTATTTGGATGGCAAGGGGACATTCTGACCAGCTTCAGAAAAAAAGTGAGAGAGTGGCCAGGGAAGGAATCTTGGAATAAAAAGTACAGCTAGAGAAATTAAGTGACTTACCTTAATGGCCTTTACTTCTTGGCGAATCATTTTCAGTAAAGAATTCTGATCTTCTGCCCATCGAGGTGGTGTTTTGGGAGAATACTAAAAAAAAAATAAAAATAACAAAAGAGCATTTAAAACACTTAGAAACAATTTCACAATGAAATGATTCCATTCTTTCCTGTTTACCTTGTAACTTTTACTTGGTGATAGTGAATATTTGGTAGGAGATGGTGTAGAATGTTTTATTTCTGAATCCGCATTTCGCAAAGAACCATTTTTATAGAGAGGACCTCCTTCACTATAGTTTTCGAGTTCCTGCATGACTGACTTAAGCATCTCTTTTACAGACTCCAGGGGCACAGGCAACTAAAAATAAAAGACATTAATTAAGGGCTTTCATTTGCAAAAAATTCCAAAAGTAAAAACTCTAAAATGATATATTTTATCTTATTTACATTTTTGTCACTTTAATAAGCACTTTACACTTTAAATAATAATACACGTGAAAGTGTTTTTTAATTATCTTTTTTCTTTGTTTTTCTGCTGTTTTGTATTATTTTTATTTTTTTGTCTTTATTCTATTTTTTCTTTCATGAACACAGAAAAGTGTTGTACAATCTAACATCTTCTGATTCTAAAGTCCATGCTCTTTCTATTACTTCTGTTAACCATGATAATTGTAGAGGAATGTTAACTTGGAAAGCTTTTCCAAGTGAACAAAATAAGTTACTGATGTTTTCTAACTGATTTTCAATGGTGACAGAAATACAGATGCTACAATACACCAGACAACATAAATCCTAATAAAAGAGTAGTAACACAAATTAACCAACAAAACACTCAGAAGACTGAACATAATTTAACATCATCATGACAATCTCAAACAGCTGACAGCAAGAAAACAAGGGCGTTCATAATGGCTGATGACGATGAGAAGAAATGCTCTTAAGTTGTCAGCAACAACTTTCAATTTCAGCAAAGTTCATTAAGAATTAGTCCTGAGGTTATAATATTTGTTTTGATTACACTGCTAAGATAACAAAATCAATGTCTTATCTTAGAAATCTTTTCTAATTCCCCAAGAAGTACTTTTTAAGAGCATATACCTAGATTCCCAAGTTTAAAAAGACACACCAAACCTAAGACAAAGCAAGCAAATCTAAGCATTTAGACACACACATCCCTTCTGTGCATTAATAACAACATATTACTGAGTATTTTTTGAAATTACCAAAATATAAGACCAACGCAAAAACACTGACCAGTGGGTTATCAGTAAGAACGTACATACAACAACCTGCTACTTACTTTCTTGACCACTGAAAGATTTGAATCACTGTCATCTAAAATCTTTATTAGGTAGCCCCTGGTCTTTCTCAGATAATTTTTGCATTCTTCTTGTTCTTCAGGAGAAAGGGCATCATTTGCAATGTCTTCTGCCTTCCTGTGAAAAATCTATACAAATAGTGCTTTTATGAAATCATTAGCTTTTTAAAACAAAAAACTTTCAGCTTGGCCACGCATGGTGGCTCATGCCTGTAATCCCAGCTACTCGGGAGCTGAGGCACAAGAATCGCTTGAGCCTGGGAAGCAGAGGTTGCAGTGAGCCAAGATTGTGCCACTGCACTCTAGCCTGGCCAGCAGAGAAACCCCATCTTTTAAAAGAAATAATAAATAAATAAATAAAACTTTTAGCTCAAGTACTGCATCTACTTACCAGTGCAAGATTCCAATAAGAAACAACACTTTTTATAGATTCAAAAGCAGTCATAGCATCTTCTATATTTCCATTTACTGCATCCAATATAGCAAAAGTTACGTGTGCGTCTTCTTCATATTCAACAATTTCTGATGCCTAAACACACAGAATAGTTTTTAGTCAAATTGTTTATACTCAGAATATAAAACCCAAATGATTTTCCAAAGATTTTATATGATCTTAAGAGACAAACATCTCATTATTCTTCTCTGTCATATCTTATCTGTGAGAGCTAGTGAATTTAGAAAACAAGATTACCGTTAAATAACAAGGCAATTAATTTAAGCAGTGTATAGCTCCATGTCTTTGTTTATAAACTGGAAATTCCCATCTCCAATAAATTCATAAAGGAACTCTGTTACCTGAATGTCTACACTATGAAAATGTTTAAACAGAGGATCAATAGGTTCAGGAATACTGTTCTTCTTTTTTATTATCTTCAACAATGGCAAAACTTTCTTCCAATAATGAACACTTCTCCCTATGTATTCTCGTTGATCATAAAAAGAATTAAGACCGCTGCCCTAAAAAAGAAAGTTAAAAGCACACAACTTTA
Organism: Homo sapiens; assembly: GCF_000001405.40. Lineage (NCBI taxonomy): Eukaryota > Metazoa > Chordata > Mammalia > Primates > Hominidae > Homo > Homo sapiens. Next base: position 106,435,235 of record NC_000002.12, read on the forward strand.
AGGAACACGCATGATTAGATCTAAAGTTCATTTACAAGTTGTAAGAACTGGCTAAAATTTCAAGTCAAAACCAAATGGTACCTCAATAGTCATTTGTTCAACTTCCAAATACTGTAATAACTAAACCACCTTAATACCAGTGAACTCACTGCAACCTCTGCCGTGCAGGTTCAAGCAATTCTCCTGCCTCAGCTTCCCAAGTAGCTGGGATTACAGGCACCTGCCACCATGTCTGGCTAATTTTGTAGTTTTAGTAGAGTTTTTTTTGTATTTTTAGTAGAGACGGGGTTTCACCGTGTTAGCCAGGAATGATCTCGATCTCCTGACCTTGTGATCTGCCCGCCTCGGCCTCCTAACGTGCTGGGATTACAGGTGTGAGCCACCGCACCCGGCCTCTACACTCAACTTTTAAATGCTTCTAATGATACCACCCTAACGTAGCAATCCCAACTGCTTTTTAACAGTTGCCATTTTTAGATAGCTGAAACCTGCCTCTTCTGTAGTGTCAGTTTGTTCAAAAGGCTGACCATCTACACCTAATGGTGACACAAAACACACCTTAAATATTTAGAAAGATCTATAATGGTCTTACCTACAAAGCCTTGTGCTAATTTTTTTTTAATTTTCAGGCTGAATAATTATCAGAACTTAATTATTAAGGAATAACAGTAACAGCTCAGCTAATATGTAACATTCACTGTGTGCCAGGCATTGCTCCTCTAAGTGCTTATATTTAACTACATTAACTATTTTGCAGCAATAAAAAACACATCTGTCATAATATGACAAAGCTGCTGTTTTCAGAACAAAAAAACTTTCAATAAAAAGTTCATGATTTTAAAAAATTAAGGTAATGTTCTTTTAAAATGCTTATACTTTAAAACTCACCATTTTCTGAAGGCATTTTGCCCAATGTACAAGCAGAGCAGGTTGAAGGCCATGTTTTTCCTGGGCTCTTAGAGTGTTTATTTCATGCTGAACTAGAAGTCTCAATTTTGCTGAGTTTCCAGGTCTAAAAAATAGTTCAATTTACTAAAATTGCTTTCTAAATACACAGTTCAGCGCTTACATACATATATGTTAATGGGTCACATGACAAATTAAATCTTCACACGAGGATTAAATCCCCGGTAAAACCTACGCACTAAGTGAAAGCAATATTTTTGTTTTACTACTTACACTGCTTTTCTGTGAATCAGAGTACAAACCGCATCCCACCAAGATTTTTGTCTTTCTGTACAAAGCTGTTTACACACAGGAAGGGGCAGGCATAACGGCTGATAGGAGCTGTGGTGAGAATTACATTTCTCCTTTAATTGTAAGTGGCTGGTATATACTACTCCAAGGAGAAATACCTGTTTCATTTAAGGAAAAGTTAAGTTAGAAAAAAAAATTAAACAAAATTCAGAATATTTAATTTGTTAAAATCTTTGCTTACTTCAAGATCTAAAATACATATTGATTCAGGTGCATTTGTTTCAAGCCTTGAGGTTTCCTGGGGCAAATGATGGAAAAGCTGTTTTAGCCATTTTCGGATTCCAGGTAAAGCAGGCAATGAATTCCACTGTAAGCCAAGCCAAGTAAGGTGCTGAAGACTACCATTATGTGCTCGAATAGCACCTGAAATAAAATAAAAAAATTGGCTTAAGGGTTTGAAATTTTTCCTTGTGCCATTAGTTTTGCCAACATAAACAATTCACATTATATATATCTTAATTATATAACTGCTTTTCTATATCAAAGCTGGAGGGAATTCTATGTTAGGCAAAATCTCATGTTCTTATTAAATGCATTCTCACTTGATTATTTCTAGAAATTTTAATAAAAATAGTAGTGATGAAGAATGTTTAAGTCCATCTTAAAAAATGACACTGACTAGAACTCAATAAACCAAAATCAACTGACAAAAGCCAAATAAAGAACACCTAACCTAATAAGAAACCCCAAAACAATGGGTTTTCCTTTAAGTCATTAAAGCAATGGAACACCACTATATAATCCATCAGTACAGTAAAGAAATCTGTTTTTCTACAAGAAAGTCAATATTGAAAAGGTTATGCGCAGTCAGGAGTTCGAGACCAGCCTGGCCAGCATGGTGAAACTCCGCCTCTACTAAAAATACAAAAAATTAGCCGAGCACGGTGTCACGTGCCTATAGTCCCAGCTACATGGGAGGCTGAGGCAAGACAATTGCTTGAACCTGGCAGGCGGAAGTTGCAGTGAGCCAAGATTGCGCCACTGCGCTCCAGCCTGGGTGACAGAGCGAGACTCTGTCTCAAAAAAAAGAAAAGAAAAGAAAAGAAAAGGTTATGCGCTTCTGGAAGCATGAAGAGGTATAATCTTTCTGTCATTTTGGCAATTTGCAAGACTTAAAGATGTTCATGTCCTTTGTCTCAGTAATTCTGTTTATAGGTATCTCTATGGAAATAACTTGCCATGAAGACACTTTTTGTTGAAGTTTTTATCAGAGTATGATTATTAACAGTGGAAAAGTTGAGAAAACTTGGATGCCCAATAACAGAAAGTAGCAAGCAAATTATGACTACTTCATAAAAAAGATTATATTGCCAATAAAAGTGATATTTATAGTTTTAATACAGAGACTATGGGAGAGAATTCATGAAGGAAGCAAGATAAATCATACATAACCATTTAGATGAAAAATATGGCCAGATGCAGTGGCTCATGCCTATAATTCCAACACTTTTTGTTTCTGAGACGAAGTCTCGCTCTGTCGCCCAGGCTGTAGTGCAGCAGTGTGATCTTGGCTCACTGCAACCTCCACCTCCCGGTTGAAGCGATTCTCCTGCCTCAGCCTCCTGAGTAGGGACTACAGGCACATGCCACCACCCCCGGATAATTTTTGTATTTTTAGTAGAGACGGGGTTTCACCATGTTGGCCAGGATGGTCTTGAACTCCTGATCTCAGGTGATCTGCCCGCCTCGGCCTCCCAAAGTGCTGGGATTACAGATATGAGCCACTGTGTCGGGCTTAATCCCAACACTTTGGGGGGCTTAGGCAGGAGGATCACTTGAGCCTAGGAGTTGGAGACTAGCCTGGGCAACAAAGGGAGACCCTGTCTCTACCAATTAAAAAAAAAAAATTATCTGGGCCGAGTGGCATGTGCCTATGGTACCAGCTACTCAGGAGGCTGAGGCAAGAGAATCCCTTGAGCCCAGAAGTTCAAGGCAGCAGTGACCTACGATCACGCCACTACACTCCAGCCCAGGTGACACAGCGAGACCCTGTCTCAAAATACAACAAGGCTGGTCACGGTGGCTCACACCTGTAATCCCAGCACTTTGGGAGGCCAAGGCAGGTGGATCACCTGAGGTCAGGAGTTTGAGACCAGCCTGACCAACATGATGAAACCCTGTCTCTACTAAAACTACAAAAAATTAGCCGGGCGTGGTGGTGGGCATTTGTAATCCCGCTACTTGGGAGACTGAGGCAGTAGAATTACTTGAACCCGGGAGGCAGAGGTTACAGTGAGCCGAGATCGCACCACTGCACTCCAGCATGGGCGACAAGAGCAAAACTTGGTCTCAAAAACAACAACAACAACAAAAAATACATGCCACCCCCACAGCACCACATTCAAACTCCCCCCAGCCCAACCCACACACAAAAGGAATACAGGAAAATATTAAGTCGTTATTTCTGGGTAATAAGATTATGGGCAATTTATAAGAATTAAGACGGAGACCATTTCCTCTGAAACATATAACTTACCAACATCGTATCTAGCCAAATCTTCAAGCTCTGGTTCTTGTACATCAATGTTTCCAATATCATCGCTACCAAGAAAAGATGTATCCTTAGGTGACTGACTAGAAAACAGAGCATCATATAATGCAGACTGCCCGCTTTTGTTGGCAAAAGTTTCAACAACCACTTTTAAAAAATCTTGCTTGCCACGACTTAAGTTTAGCAACATGTGCCCTGAAAAAAAAATTTAAGTTATTTCCATCACTTTAAAAATACAGATTGTATTTGCTCACGTTGTCTCATTTGTATACCCAAAGGGGAAATAATATGATTATTGCAGACCTAACCCTCCAACCCAAAAAATACAGCTGGACAACAAAACGGGTGCTTATGTAGCAAATGAAAAGAGTACAGGTTTAATATTCTCAGTATCTACATAAGACAGCAGAAGGGGGAAAAAAGACAGGAATGTGTATGAAAAATGCCAAATGTATTTGCATTTTAGATGAAAAGGTCTGGATTTAAGTGGCCATAGGAGAACAGGGACAAGCTCTTATTCTCTGATCTGATACACTGATTTCTAAACCTGGCTCATCAGAATCCTCCTTTAAACAGCTTTTAAGAATTATTTCCAGCTGGGCATGGTGGCTCATGCTTGTAATCCCAGCACTTTGGGAGGCCAAGCTGGGTGGATAATGAGGTCAGGAGATCAAGACCATCCTGGCTAACACAGTGAAACTCCATCTCTACTAAAAATACACACACAAAAAAAATTAGCCGGCCCTGGTGGCGGGTGCCTGTAGTCCCAGCTACTGGGGAGGCTGAGGGAGGAGAATGGTGTGAACCCGGGAGGCGGAGCTTGCAGTGAGCCGAGATCACGCCACTGCACTCCAGCCCGGGCGACAGAGTAAGACTGTCTCAGGAAAAAAAAAAAAAAAGAATTATTTCCAGGCCTTGTTCCCAGAGATTTTTATGCCATAGGTTTACAGTAAGCAATCAAAAAATCATAGTCCTCGGATAAAGTACTGATACATGCTATAACACAGATGAACCTTGAAAACCTTGCTAAATGAAAGAAGCCAGTCACAAAAGACCACATACTATATGATTCCATTTATGTGAAATGTTCAGAAGAGGCAAACCTACAGAGACAGATTAGCGGTTGCCAAGGCTGAGAGGTTTGGGTAAAATGGGGAGTAACTGCTAATAGGTAAGGAATTCCTCATGGAGTGATGAAAATCTTCTAAAACTGACTGTGGTGACAGTGATAATACTCTATGAACATAGTAAAAGCCACTGAACTGTACACTTTAAATGGGTGAAGCGTATGGTATACGAATTATATTTCAATTGAACTTTTTAAAAAAACCCTCCTTCGAGTTAATTCTGCTGGGCAATTAGGTTTGGTTACCACTACACAGTTGTGTCTCAGCACACTTACAGAGGCACCCTCGGGATGCCCAGATCAAAGATATAAAAAAAAATACAGGCAATTTTTATCTAACTGTGACACCATGCAAAGGCACTTATGAGAGCCCTGCAAGGGTAGAAGGAAAAGAGAAAAGGAAAAAAGTAGAAAGTCACTTTAAGGACTGAAAGCCTAACTCCCACAAAAAAAGTGGGCTATGGAATAAAAGAGCAATGTGAGCTTTGGCCAACAGCCTAACTATACACCAAAGCTTATAATAACTTTGATTAATATTACATCTTGCTCTTTACAAAATTCATCCAATTTTATATCAGAACTGCTCCTTATAGAAAGCATTATGTTTCTTCAGTTCACTGCTTGATTCAATGGCCATCTAACTACCTTAAAGTTTGTATCTTAGCAAAATCACAGGTAATACGCAACAGACCTTTAGGATTCATCCCAAGCCAAAAATGGGGGAAAAAATCCACAAATTCCAAGAGCCTAATATAAGGTAAGTATATATCTTCTATCTTCCTCACTATGCTCTCAGTTCTTTAAGACAGATGCGTATCTTCTTCATCTTTATATCCCCACAGCAGTGTTTTTAGAATCAGCTGGTGTTAAATGGTTGGCAAATCAATAATTATACTTAGTTCAGGAAGTGACTAAATATTCAGGATAGAGGCTCTAGCAGCCAGATGAAGAAAGAGTTAAGAAATCCTCTCCACATAGGAACAAACAATATCAAATATTCATTTTTTTTAAAGAATGTGCTATTTCTTCGCATCTCTTCCATACCTATTGCTCTTAACTGATACGGCGAAAAGAAATAATTTTGACAAATTATCTCCTGGACAGACTGAGATTTTATCATAAGATATGCCTTAACAGAAATTCCTTTTTCTTTTTAAATTAAATTAGTTTAATATTACTATTACCTGATTGGCTCAGTCGGTCACAGGCCATCATTTCCAGCAGATTTTGTCCAGCTTCACCTTTTATTAATTTAATCTTTGGTCTTGGAACCTAATAATTTTAGAATCAAAAATCTTAATTTGATGATACCCATACTTCTAATAGTAACATGGTCTTATCTATTACACTGTACTTTTTTTGATAATGAATGAACAGTTAACCATTAATTAAACTGAATTGGAAAAGACTGCAAAAACTGGGAACCAAGGAATTTGTATAACCTATGAAAGATAGGCCAGGTACAGGCGTGGTGGCTCACACCTGTAATCCCAACACTCTGTCTGGGAGGCCAAGGTGGGCTGATCACTTGAGGTCAGGAGTTCGAGACCAGCCTGGCCAACATGGTGAAACACAGTCTCTACTAAAAATAAAAAAAAAAAACAAAGAGCCAGGCGTGGTGGCACACACCTGTTAATTCCAGCTACACGGGAGGCTGAGGCACAAGGATAGCTTGAACCTGGGAGGCAGAGGTTGTAGTGCGCCGAGACTGTGCCATTGCACTCCGGCCTGGGTGAAAGAGTGAGACTCCATCGCAAAAAAAAAAAAAAAAAAAAAAAAAAAAAAAGAGGGGCCAGACATGTTGGCTCACACCTGTAATCCCAGCACTTTGGGAGGCCAAGGTGGGGGGATCACTTGAGCCCAGAGTTCAAGACCAGCCTGAACAACACGGTGAGACCCTATCTCTAAAAAAAGTTTTTTTTAATTAGCCAGGCATGGTGGCACACACCTGTGGTCCCAGCTACTCAGGAGGCTGAGGCAGGAGGATCACTTAAATCCAGGAGGTCAAGGCTGCAGTGAGCCATGATCATGCCACTGTGCTCCAGCTTGGGCGACAGAGTGAGACCCTATCTCCAACAAAAGAAAAAAAAAAAAAAGCATACACAGAGCAGCTCTGAGAAATTAGTTTCTACTAAAAGCACATTCATGTTACATTCAGAGAAATGGAAAATTTAATTACATTACTTTTCTACCCTGCATAAATAGGACAACAGCAGATGTTGTCCTATTTGAGTAGATATGACACCCTACTTTAAAAAGTACAGGTGAAATGACACTTGGAAATGCCACATTGTAGATAACACATTTTCAGAGTATGGATAATAGGGGATAGCACTGGAATAAATGGGACAACCAGGAAATTAAAGAGATCCTAATGCAATAACCTATGAAAAAAAAAAAAAAAGCATGATGAATAGAATGGCGAAGGGAAGACGTGACAGCTGCCTTCAAATATTAAAATTATTTTATAAAAGAAATCATCAAAAGAAGAAACAAGACCAACAGGTAGAAGGCTTGAAGAATATTTTTATTCTATATAAGGAAGTACCAAGAGCCAAACCACCTAAAGATGCACTGGGCTATCTTGAAAAGTAATGAATGTCCATCACTGAAAACGTCCAGTCATAGGCAATGCCCACTTACTAGAAACATGCCAAAAGTAACTATATGGGTGACTAGAGCATCGGCTTTTAATTCTATCACCACTTTCTTAATTGGTGGTGGAAATGTAATTTGATACAACCTCTTTAGGGTTAGATATTTGGCAACAGCTCTAAAAATTATAAATGCACAGATATACTTTGATACTGCAATTCTTTCAGGAATTCATGGCACAAGTTAATCATTGCTAAATTACTTGAAGTAGCATTTTAAAAAAAAAGTAAAAGCAAGCTAATGTCCTGGCTTTAGGACCCTGGTTTTAAAAACTCCAAAACTACAGTACATCCATACAATGGAATAATATGCAAGCATCCAAACTAATGAGAATACCCTTTATATATACTGACATGGAAACATCTCCAAGATACAGTTAATGGAAATAAAGTAAATGCAATGTTCAAACGTTTTCCTCCTTCTTTTAAAGACAGGGGATATATGTGTGTTTACTTGGAGATGCATAAAACATTTCCTGAAGAACACACAAGAAAGCAATAACATTAGTTTCTTTGGGGGTGGAGAAAGTAAATAACTAGGGAACAGAAAGGAGTCTTCATAGCATATTCTTAAGAGCCGCCAGAATTTTAAACCATGTATATATAATTCTTTCCAAATATGCTCATTTTTCAAAATATATGATTTATGAACCTAAAAGCTTCTGATTTTGAATTTTAGAAATATTCGTATCGCCTATCCTTTTACTCACAAGTTTTCTAAACATCATGTCAAAGTTTGTCATCTATATGTTGAAAAGAGCACACAAAATAAGAAACAAAATGTTGACATCATTCTTTTTGTTTTCAAACTGACCTCAATTCATAAACCCGGCCTCTTTTACAAAATTATTCAATAGTTGAATTTGTGACCAGTTAATTAGTTGTGAATCCACTCAATCAAATCATCTCAATTCACTATTTCCTTTTTTTTTTTTTTTTTTGAGATGGAGTCTCGCTCTGTTGCCAGGCTGCAGTGCTGCAGTGCTGCAGTGGCACGATCTCGGCTCACTGCAACCTCCGCCTCCTGGTTTCAAGCAATTCTCCTGTCTCGGCCTCTCAAGTAGCTGGGACTACAGGCACCCGCCACCATGCGTGGCTAATTTTTCTATTTTTAGTAGAGATGGGGTTTGACCATGTTGGTCAGGATGGTCTCAAACTCCTGACCTCAAGTGATCCGCCCGCCTCAGCCTCCCAAAGTGCTAAGATTATAGGCGTGAGCCACCATGCCTAGCTATTTCCTCATCTTAACTAAAAGGTTTCAAGATACTTTGTCAACTACCTAGCTGCAATGCAGATGTACTTACTAGAACCACAGTATTCCTCTGATTAAGAGTCTGAAAATCTTGCCATAAAAGTTAGCCAATTCTTACATACCCAAATGCCAGCACATAACCTACATTTTATGCTTATAATCATTTGATCATTAAGCTTTAAAATAAACTGATAAAATAAAATACAAGCATCTAAGATGTTTCTATTATATATTCATTCTACAGAAATATGTGGTAGTTAATAAAGACTGAGGTAGGTATCTCTGTGCTGAAGTGGAACAATGAAGAAACATTTAGAAAAGCAAGGCATCTGGCAATAGGTAAAGCACACCCACATTGAGGCACAATATTTTTTAAAAGCAGAGAAAGAATGTATTGCACATTTGCATATGCAAAAAATATTTCTGAACACCCAAGAAACTCCTAACAGTAGCTGTCATCTAGGAAAGGAGACCTGAGTGAATGGATTAAGAGGGAAACTAACTTATTATGATTAAAAGTTCACAGTCAGGTGTGGTGGCTCATACCTGTAATCTCAGCACTTTGGGAGGGCAAGGCAGAAGGATCACTTGAAGCCAGGAGTTCAAGACCAACCAGCCTGGGAAACATAGCAAGACCTTGTCTTTACAAAAAATTTAACAATGTAGCCAGGCATGGTGGCAGGCACCTGTAGTCCCAGTACCGAGCTGAGGCTGAAGCAGGAGAGGATCACTTGAGCCCAGGAGTTCGAGGATGCAGTGAGCTATGATCATGCCACTGCACTCCAGCCACAGCACCTCCCAAAACTACATATCAAAAAATTGTAGGCTGTGCGCAGTAGCTCACACCTATAATCCCAGCACTCTGGGAAGCTCGAGCCCAGTTCAATGTTACGGTGAGCTACGATTACGCAACTGCACTCCAGCCTGGGTGACACAGCAAGACTCTAATAGACACACAGACAGATAAATTTTAAAGTTTCCATTAAAAATAAGAACTATTGGCAGGGCGCGGTGGCTCACGCCTGTAATGCCAGCACTTTGGGAGGCCAAGATCATGAGGTCAGGAGATCGAGACCATCCTGGCTAACACGGTGAAACCCCATCTCTACTGAAAATACAAAAAAATTAGCCAGGCGTGGTGGTGGGTGCCTGTAGTCCCAGCTACTCGGGAGGCTGAGGCAGGAGAATGGCGTGAACCCAGGAGGCGGAGCTTGCAGTGAGCCGAGGTCGTGCCACTGTGCTCCAGCCTGGGCGACAGAGTGAGACTCCGTCTCAAAAAAAAAAAATAAAATAAATAAAAATAAGAACTATCAGTTACTTGAGAATTTCTATAAGAACCTTTTAATGTTTGTATTACCTAGTGAACCTCACTAAATCCATTAATTTTCACTAATCCATTCCTTATGAACACAGAAGTTTCTACTGAGCAAATATTAGCACTTAACATGTGAACTGTCTATCAACGGTGTTTTTAAAAGATTTACAGGCCGGGCTCAATGGCTCATGCCTGTAATCCCAGCACTTTGAGAGGCCGAGTCAGGTGGATCACGAGGTCAGAAGATCGAGACCATCCTGGCTAACATGGTGAAACCCCATCTCTATTAAAAAATACAAAAGATTAGCCAGGCATGGTGGTGTGTGCCTGTAATCCCAGATACGTGACAGACTGAAGCAGGAGAATCACTTGAACCCAGGAGACACAGGTTGCAGTGAGCTGAGATTGCGCCACTGCACTCCAGCCTGGTGACAGAGCGAGACTCCGTCTCAAATAAAAATAAAAAGATTTATATTAGGCAGGGCATGGTGGCTCACTGCCTGTAATCCCAGCACTTTGAGAGGCCGAGACGCGCAGATCACCTGAGTTCAGGAGCTCAAGACCAGCCTGACCAACATGGAGAAACCTTGTCTCTACTAAAAATACAAAATTAGATGGGCGTGGTGGCGTGTGCCTGTAATCCCAGCTACTCGGGAGGCTGAAGCAGGACAATCGCTTGAACCCGGGAGGCGGAGGTTGCAGTGAGCCAGATGGCGCCATTGCACTCCAGCCTGGGCAACAAGAGCAAAACTCCGTCTCAAAAAGAAAAAAAGATTTATATTAGGAGGGGCCTTCTCTAAAAGTAATGAATCCTTTTTTTTCCCTCCCTAAGCAAAAAATCCTTCTCTAAAATTAATCATTTTTCTAAGCCTGGTTTAATGCTTTTTTGGAAGACTGCTTATTTCTTTTCCTTTCAAAAGTTATGCAGGCTCATTAAAAAAAAAAAAAAAAAAAAGGCTGGGCATGGTGGCTCACGCCTGTAAATCCCAGCACTCTGGGAGGCCGAGGCAGGTGGATGACTAGGTCAGGAGATTGAGACCATCCTGGCTAACATGGTGAAACCCCGTCTCTACTAAAAGTACAAAAAAAAATTAGCCAGGTGTGGTGGCGGGTGCCTGTAGTCCCAGCTACTCAGGAGGCTGAGGCAGGAAAATGGCGTGAACTCGGGAGGTGGAGCTTGCAGTGAGCCAAGATCGTGCCACTGCACTCCAGCCTGGGCGACAGAGCGAGACTCCATCTCAAAAAAAAAAAAAAAAAAAAAAGGCCAGGCGCGCCAGGCGCAGTGCCTCGCGCCTGTAATCCCAGCACTTTGGGAGACCAAGGCAGGTAGATCACGAGGTCAAGAGATTGCGACCATCCTGGCCAACATGGTGAAACCCCATCTCTATTAAAAATACAAAAAATTAGCTGGGCTTGGTAGCACGGGCCTGTAGTCCCAGCTACTCGGGAGGCTGAGGCAGGAGAATCACTTGAACCCAGGAGGTGGAGGCTGCAGTGAGCCGAGATCACGCCACTGCACTCCAGCCTGGCGACAGAGAGAGACTTGGTCTCAAAAAAAATAAAAAAATAAAAAATAAGAAAAGGTTTTATGTTTTCAAAGATTAATAGATATACTGTTACATATACACAATACAGTCATAAATGTTATATACATGTGTTTCAATTAACATGTTAAACTGCAATCATATTCTTCTATCATAGGCTATAAAGCCATTGCCCTACATCTACTTATTAGGATTTTGTCCAAGTAACACATCTTTTTGAATCAAGTTTACCCATCATACGAGATTACATCTTTATCATGTTCCCAAAAATGGCAGAGTAAAAAGATCAAACTCTTCAAATTTGTCTACAAACAAATCATGGCAATGCAGGCTTTCGACAAGAGTGCACTCAACATCCCTGTTTCACCAGCCTCACCAGTATTGTGTATGCTTAGTTATTTTCCACTGTATCAAATTGACTATTTCATTTCAACTTTAATTCCACAGGTTTGTTCACATATTGTCATTACATACCAGAGCACACCTTCATTTAAAACACATCAAGACTCCGTGAAATGTCAATTGCTCCAAGTGGAAGACTTACCTGAAATGCTATGAGATAGCACAATGCAGCCAGCTCAGAAAGAGCTCGCCATTGAACATTATTACCATGCTGACCCATCTTCAAGAGCAGAGAACCAGCATGCATGTAGAAATGTCCTTTCATTTCTAAGAAAGTAGCTGACAGTTCATCATTTCCACCCAAAGAAGATTTCGCAGACTGAAGAGCACTATCAAAACTGTAATATGAAAATATCAAACAGATGATACACACTTACTGCACTGTGAATAATCATGGTTCATTTAATTCAAAACAAAATAAAAATTTTATTTCAAGCTTCATCTTCCACATTCAACTTCTAATAATTCTTATTCCCCGTGTTATAAATTATGAATCATCTAATGCTTATTTTTATCCTGCATACTTCCTATACTTCATGCTTAACCTCTCAAATGATGTCTTATTCCCAGTTATTTCCAGCCCTCCAATCACAGGATAAATATAAGATCAGTGATTATAGGCGCACATTTCAAAATAAACCAGGATAAAGTTGGGAGACTATTTTGTAGTTTCTTCCTGATCATATAATTTCATTATTTAATTAACAGTTGTAATTTCTCAAATTAGACATAGCATTTCCAAATTATAAGTAAATAATTGACAGGTATTTGAGTATCAATACAGTAATTGCTCTTTTTACTATATAGATCATTACAGCATTAAATAAATTGTCTTTTTTTTTTTTTTTTTGAGACGGAGTCTCTCACTATCGCCTGGGCTGGAGTGCAATGGCACGATCTAAGCTCACTGCAACCTCCACCTCCCAGGTTCAAGTGATTCTCCTGACTCAGCCTCCTGAGTAGCTGGGATTACAGGCACCTGCCACCATGCCCCGCTAAACTTTTTTTATATTTTTAGTAGAGACAGGGTTTTACTATGTTGGCCAGGCTGGTCTCGAACTCCTGACCTCACGATCCGCCCGCCTCAGCTTACCAATGTGCCGGGATTACAGGCATGAGCCACTATGCCTGGCCTATTATTTGTAATCTATATTCTAAATTAGTTCTTCTAAATCCTAATGTTTCTCCAAATCCTCACTTTGGAAGAAAAGTAAAAGCAAAAAGCAAACACTTAAACGTGAAGCATGATTTTAAAGTGGCTTACAATAAAGCAACCAGAGCAAGTGAGGTCTAAAGATCTCTGAGGGTGCTCAAAAACCCCTTCAGGGGATCCATGAAGCTAAAATTACTTTTACAATAATACCAAAAAAATTTATATATTACATACTCATTTTCTCATGTATGTAGAGCTGAGTTTTTTTGTTTTTGTTTTTGGAGACAGAATCTCACTCTGTCACAAGGCTGGAGTGCAGTGACACAATCTTGGCTTACTGCAACCTCTGACTCCCAGGTTCAAGCGATTCTTCTGCCTCAGCCTCCCGAGCAGCTGGGACTATAGGCGCGTACCAACATGCCCAGCTAATTTTTTGTATTTTTAGTAGAGACAAGGTTTCACCATTGTTAGCTGGGATGGTCTCGATCTCCTGACTTCGTGATCCACCCGCCTTGGCCTCCCAAAGTGCTGGGATTACAGGGCTGAGCCACCGCGCCCCGCTGAGCTGAGTTTTCTAGAGGCTTCATGACATGTAATAGTTTTACAGACTGAAAGAGGAAGTAAATGAGAATCTAGCTATGTTCTATTAAGCGAGACATTAAAAAGATTTACAAAAATGCAAAAACAATGACACTTTTCTGACTACTTTTTTGCTGTTGGAAAATAGTTATTTTTCATAAAAAATGCTATTATTGGCCCTGTGCGGTGGCTCACACATGTAATTCCAGCACTTTGGGAGGCTGAGGCGGGTGGATCACCTGAGGTCAGGAGTTCAAGACCAGCCTAGCCAACATGGTGAAACCCTATCTCTACTAAAAATACAAAAAATTAGCCAGGCGTGGTGGTGGGCACCTGTAATTCCAGCTACTTGGGAGGCTGAGGCAGGAGAATCGCTTGAACCTGGGAAGCAGAGGTTGCAGTGATCCGAGATCACACTGTTGCACTCTAGCCTGGGCAACAAGAGCAAAACTCTGTCTCAAAAAAAAAAAAAAAAAAAAAGCTATAATTATTAACACACAATAGGGCTTATTACATTTTTAATGGATTACATTTTTTATTTGTTTTAATTTCTAATGTAATAAACACTGACAGAAATAACCCACATACGGCCGGGTGCAGTGGCTCAGACCTGCAATCCCAGCACTTTGGAAGGCCAAGGCAGGCAGATCACGATGTCAAGAGATTGAGACCTTCCAGTACTTTGGGAGGCCAAGGTAGACAGATCAAGAGGTCAAGAGATCGAGACCAGCCGGGCGCGGTGGCTCATGCCTGTAATCCCAGCACTTTGGGAGGCCGAGGCAGGCGGATCACAAGGTCAGGATATCAAGACCATCCTGGCTAACACAGTGAAACCCCATCTCTACTAAAAATACAAAAAATTAGCTGGGTGTGGTGGCAGGCACCTGTAGGCCCAGCTACTCGGGAGGCTGAGGCAGGAGAATGGCGTGAACCCTGGAGACACAGCTTGCAGTGAGCCGAGATGGCGCCACTGCACTCCAGCCTGGGCAACAGAGCGAGACTCCGTCTCAAAAAAAAAAAGATCGAGACCATCCTGGCCAACATGATGAAACCCTGTTTCTACTAAAAATACAAAAATTAGCCAGGTGTGGGCTGGGCGCGGTGGCTCATGCCTGTAATCCCAACACTTTGGGAGGCCGAGGAGGGCAGATCACGAGGTCAGGAGATCGAGACCATCCTGGCTAAGAAGGTGACACTCCGTCTCTACTAAAAATACAAAAAAATTAGCCGAGCGTGGTGGTGGGCGCCTGTAGTCCCAGCTACTCAGGAGGCTGAGGCAGAAGAATGGCGTGATACTGGGAGGTTCACAAGGCAGGTAACAAAGGGCCCATGAGTCCTGATTAACTGATCTGACAAACCATCTGTCACCCACAGCCCTAAGCCACACTGTGAAACTGCCTAGGGTGGCACCAGCTTTTTATCTTCCTCAGGGTCCTCCCCTCAGGCCCCCAAGTCACCCCCTCATGGTCCAGATTCTCCCGAGTGACTCCATTCCCATGGTCATCTCCCCTCCTGAGCCTCCCCCTCTGAGGGCCAAGGGCTGTCCTCAGGGCCCTCCTGGGGCTTCCTGGTGGGGAACAACCTGAGGCAGGAGGATAAGCTCTTATTCAGAGCATTGAGAGGAAATTGTGAAGCTTGCAGTGAGCCGAGATTGCGCCACTGTACTCCAGGCTGGGTGACAGAGCGAGACTCTGTCTCAAAAAAAAAAAAAAAAAAAAAAAAAAAAAATTAGCCAGGTGTGGTGTCGGGCACCTGTAGTTCCACCTATTCAGGAGGCAGAGACAAGAGAATCACTTGAACCCAGGAGGCAGAGGTTGCAGTGAGCTGAGACTGCACCACTGCATGCCAACCTGGCGAGAGCAAGACTCAGTCTCAAAAAAAAAAGAGAGATTGAGACCATCCTGAACCCCGTCTCTACTAAAAATACAAAAATTAGCTGGGCGTAGTGGTGTGCGCCTGTGGTCCCAGCTACTCGGGAGGCTGAGGCAGGAGAATCGCCTGAACCCGGGAGGCGGAGGTTACAGTGAGTCAAGGTCGTGCCACTGCACTCCAGCCTGGTGACAGAGCAAGACTCCCTCTCAAAAAAAAAAAAACAAAAAAGAAAGAAAGAAAGAAAGAAAGAAAGGAACCCACATACAAACATCTTTGATGTCCTTAAGAAAAATGTAAAAGGAACTTGTGACCAAAAAATTTGAGTATACAAAGAACACAAAATAAAACATCCTACATGTTTTCTAAAATAATCTTAAAGTTATGTTAGTTCTTTTAGATACTGCTCTTACCCTACCAATTTAGGTCACTATGTACTTTTTCAAGAAAATTACCTACTCCCTGCACTCAGTGAAATGAACTTCTTTCCTTATACCAGATGGGGAAATAAATTAACTTCCAAACAAATGGACAGCCTAAACTAGCAATCAGTAAACTTTTTCTACAAAAAGGAGAAGATTACTAATCTGGCTTTACAGGCATACAATCTCTGCTGCAACCACTCAACTCCAATCTTATAGTATGTAAGCAGCCACAGACAATACATAAACAGAGGCATGCTGCATTCCAATAAATATTAACAAAATTAGGCAGGGGCCATATTTGGCCCACAAGTTCTAATCAACAACCCCTGCTCTAAACTAACATCTTTATACAAATCCAAGTGATGTTTTTGTTCAATGGAATTTATTTTCAAAATGGAGACACTGGTTTTCAAAATCAAAATTTAGGAAAAAAGGTAAATCACATAGTTCAGTTATTTTGTTTCTTAGCTAAAACAGTATTTTCTGAAACACCAGTGATGCTAAGTGCTTATACTAGTACATGTGAACCTAGCCATCTGATGACAGATGAACTTTAATTTTCACTCAAGATTATACTATTATAAAAAAATAAAATATGAAATAGCAGTTAGAACATTCATTTTAAGCTTGACTATGACAAAACTGAGTATTTAACCATAAGGCTAATTTTAATCAAGCTTGAACTATAAGAGTTCTCTAAAAAGGAAAGTCATATAAAACCAATTAGAACTTCCCCGTAAAAGAAGAAAAATAAGATTGCCTCCTAGTGGTTCACTGTATTAACTATAACTCCTAGGTACATTATAGAAATAATGATTCAGTAAAGAAATTTAGAGCAATGAACTTACTGCAAAAAGAAAAACTACAATTTATACTAAAGCATTCTCCTCAAAGTCAACGCACCTTTCCAGTAATTCTCTACTTTCCTGCACATCTCTAGTGGAAAGCGTAAGAAGCATAAGATTAGCATAGGCCAGCAGTAAGTCTGTATTGGTTGCTCGCCAGTCACTTTTATCAGACTCCAAACACTGTAAAGACTCCAGATATTCCTATTTTGTGGAATGAATAGTAAGTTACAAAACTTAATCAAGTGTTAAGAAATTAACCATTTTATGCCTACAAATTCCTTTTCTCACTCCAACCACGTTTGTGAAACTACATTGATTTTTACATCAACCTTATAAATGAAAACACCAAAAATATATACATTTATCATAGTTATCTCCCCAATTTTCCCATTATAAATTCAACTGATCCTGGTAAAAATTTCGTTTTATAACTGTTCTACCTAAATAAAAGAAATTTAAGTCCTGCGGGGCACTGCTGCTTTAGTACAAAAAGATGTATGCTAATTGCCTACATAGAAATGTAAAGACCCAATAGCTTTTATCTACCTTAAGGGTCTGTACAACACACGAATTCCACTCTAAACTTGAACGCAAAGCTATGTTCCTCTCTGCCTCATGGCAGCGGGCCACAGCATCCTTCAATCTTTTAGTTGAGCGATACAACTCCACTAGCCGGATGTTCACATGGACGTCATCAGGTCTTACATAAAGTTCTGACTGAATCAAGTCAAAAAGTTTATTCCATCCATCTTCACCTTCACAATCTAGAAGCTGTTCCTATTTAGAGGGGAAAAAGAAAAATTATTAGAGTAACACTTGTGCAATTTTAAACAAGTCATGCTCCCAAAAAGCACCATTCCACTATGTCTAGTTTTATGATGATGCCACCAAAAACACCATCCTATATACCTTATTCGTCCCTTCTGAGAGTTGCTTACAACCCAGAAACTAAGCCTCAAGAACTGTATGTGAAGAAAAGCATCTGTGATTACTGCGGTAGCTCATACTCTCTTCAGAGACTACCAGGACTATTGCCACACATCCCTGTCCATCTGAGTCACCATCAGAAGCCTAGACCTCCCCAGTCAATCCTCAGCAACAAGGTCCTTATGCTCAAACTGCTCTGTATCTCCTTAAATCTGACTCAATCCCGCATCCCCTCTCCTCCCACTGTTCTGTTACCTTCATCATCATCTCAAAGCACTGTCATCACCTCCTGACCTTAAATGAAGACAGTATCATCTCAGGATAACCCCCACTACCATGATGGCTTTTTCTCTCTGAACTTACATACAAGGAGAGGAAGTAGGGTTTGTGGCCACTCACTTCTCATTTGCGATGCTCTTCCATCAGCCTCTCAAGAAGCTAGGACCATAGGCATGCACCACCATGCCCGGCTAATTTTTTTTTAACGTTCTGTAGAGATGGGGTCTTGCCGTGTTGCCCAGGCTGACTACTCAGTTCCTTAATCACCTCATCTCCAGTGATGTTATCCTCCACTCCAACCTCAACCATCCACTTGCCACTGACACAGGTCTTCAAAATCTGCATTTTGGTCATACCACCGAAACCACCATACCATCCTTCTTATTCTTCCACCTCACTGAGGGCCTACATACCCTTACTTTCAGAAATACCACATGACAAGCTCCCTTCAAGACAATAACATCATCAAGTTTTAAACACCTGTAAACACATATAAATACACACACTTTCTTCTGTCAGGCAAAAAATGCTATAATCCCTTATATCCATAATTACTGTTTGCTTACAGATCCCTTCAACTAATTCCCTCTTTTCCTCAGAACCCTCCCAACTGGTTTCTGTGTGCTTAGATTTGGGAAATCATAACCCCAAGCTAACTGATTTCATTTGCATTATCTCAACCATCAAACTGGTGCTGCCTAAAACAAAATACCATTTTAGTACTAACAGACTCACTTTCTCCACTCCCTGACACTTCACACCTCCTCCTATTTCCTCAACTTCCCCATACCTTCCTTTGACCCTCACTTTCAACTTATAACCTAGATTCATCCTTCACTGAGAAACCTGATGCTATCACATATAAATTCCATTTTACCTTACCTACTTAAACTCGTCTTTCCCCAACTCTCAAGACCAAGCCGCCCATTAGTACTCTGTATTTCATTCCCCTCTCTCCTTTATCAATTTCTCCTCTTCTGGATGAGATGGATGAAACCCTGGCCTCTCCCTATTGCAAAAGCCCTAGTCTTTGACTCTATGTTAAACATTTTTTTAAAAACCACTATGAGTGCTTTTAAAAAGTTCTATCTCATACTTGAGAGAAAAAGCCTTCTCAACAGTAATACTCCCATTCATTAAACAAATGTCAGAAACTGTTTACCTTAGCAAGCCTTAAATTTTAGGAGAAATGGAATTACTTTGCATGACAGTTATAAATCTCATGGATTTCAATTCCAAAAAAAAAAATCTGATACAGGAAAGGTGTAACAGTGCCTTCAAGTTATTAAAGAAAATCTTTAAAGAATGCTTCAAAGTATCTAACTTGTTACACTGCAAGAAAAGAATCTCCTGCCATTACATATGTTCTTTAACACTACTGACACCAGATTAACTGGATTGCCACGCCCAATATGGGAGTTATGTTTGAGGCATAACACCTAAGAGAGTAAAGAAATCTGCACAATTAGACCTCATGTTTTAGACTAATATTTAAAATCCAGCTGCTTATTACTGGGGAGAAAAACTTATCAGTAATATTTATCTTTGGAAGCATCTTCAATGCTTTTTCAGCTTCAAAAATCTGGACATGATTGTTCATAGCAGTTGAACAATAGCCAAAACCTAGAAATAACCAAAATGCCCCTCAAAAGTGAATGGTTAAGGCTGGGCACAGTGGCTCACACCTGTAATCCCAGCACTTTGGGAGGCCAAAGTGGGTGGATCACCTGAGAACCCGGGAGGCAGAAGTGGCAGTGAGCCGAGATAGCACCACTGCACTCCAGCATGGGCGACAGAGCAAGACTCTGTCTCAAAAAAATAGAAATAAAAAAAGTGAAAGGTTAAATTGTGGACCATGAAATACTACTCAGAAGTAAAGGAACCAACTATGGATATACAAAACTTAATATGGATCACAAATGGTATTATGCTGACTGAACAAGCCAACCTCAAAAGGTCACATGCTTGGCTGGGCGCGGTGGCTCACGCCTGTAATCCTAGCACTTTGGGAGGCTGGGGTGGGCAGATCACATGAGGTCAGGAGTTCGAGACCAGCCAGGCCAACATGGTGAAACCCCGTTTCTGCTAAAAATACAAAAATAAGCGGGACACGGTAACATGTGCCTGTAGTCCCAGCTACCCGGAAGGCTGAGGCAGGAGAATTGCTTGAACCTGGGAGGCGGAGGTGGCAGTGGGCCGAGATTGCGCCAGTGAACTCCAACCTGGGCAACAGAGCGAGACTCCGTCTCAAAAACAATGAAAAAAGAAAAAAAAAGTCACACATTTCATGATGACATTTACATAACATTTTGAAATCACCAAAGTATAAAGATGGAGAACAGATTAATGTTGCCAGAGGTCAGGCATAGTGAAGAGAAGTAAATAGCATGACTACAAAAGGGGCAGCATGAGGAAGATCTCTGTGGTAATAGAGTAGTTCTGTATCTTGACGGCAGTGGTGGTATGAATCTACACGTGATAAAATGAAAGAAAACTATACATACACATTGTACCAATGTCAAAATTCCTGATTTTGATATTGTGCTTTGGGCGGGTTAAACAGGTTGAGTATCCCTTATCCAAAATGCTTGAGACCAGAAGTATTTCAGATTTTGAATTTTTTCAGACTTTGGAATATCTGCAGGATACTTAGCAGGCAGAGCATCCCAAATCTGAAAATCTGAAATCCAAAATTTTCCAATGAGCATTTCTTTGAGCATCATGTCAGTGCTCAAAAAATTTCAGATTTTGGAGCGTTTAGGATTTCGGATTTTAAATGCTCAACCTGTATAAGCATTGGGGGAAAATGAAGTAGCATATAGGATCTTTCTGTGCAATCTTTGCAACTTCCTGTGCAAAAAAATCTATAATTATTTCAAAATTAAAATTTTTTAAATTTCTATCAGAAACATATATAATGGGGGTAGGAGGAGGCTAAAGGCAAATATACATTTATAATTTTATATTGTACATACACAATAAAGTATACATTAATAGATAAAACATTACAATATACATTTTAAATGTTTGCCAAACATATTTGTGTAGATTTTCTCCAGAACAGTTACTTAGTAAACTATATTTTACTCTATAAAGAATATCAGGACCAGTCAACACACTAGCAAGAACTTCCTACCATTTTTAGTAATTACGTCTTATATACTAGAGAAACCACCTTTTATCTTTTGCTTGAAAACCTTACTATCTCAAAATACAATCCCTTCCACTTTCAGACAATAGTTATTAGAAAACACTTCTTTAAAATATCCCTAAATTGTCATCCTGTAGGTAATTTTCACTTAATGAAGCAAAAATTGTATACTAGACAGAACTTAATGTAAATCTTAGCTCTACTTAGTTTACAGCTACTAAACTGTAAAATCCCTAAAATATTAATTATTCCAGAAGGGTAAATGAGATGTCACTTATAAAGTATAACAATGCCTAATAAGACAGTAGATGCTGAGAAAGGTTTTAATACACTTTTTAAAAGAAAAATGTTAAAGGAAACACAAACACCTGGGCTTAAGGTTTGCTATTGAAAAGTAATTTAAACTCCAAATATTAGAAATGGTTATGTCTTAAGTTTTCTCCCTTTATGTTTTGTTTGTTTACCTTTAGTTTATAAATTGCAGGACTTCCTGGGAAAAGTTTTGCTGCTCTTTCCACCCAGTATTCTGCTCTTCCATCAGTAACATCATTTTTACAAAGCAATTCTGCAATCTTCAACACAAGATCTTTTTGTGTTGGGTTTAATTCCACTGAACGCTAATATCAGAAAAGAAATTAAAGATTAGTAAATAAATTGTATGTATGTATGTAGGAGTATATATACTTATATACTTATATATAAAGGTTAAAAATTATCACTCCAACCCTTAAAAAATTCTACTTCTGGAGAAAACATATTACTTCAAAGGTGTTCAAATAAAAGTGTCTTGGAATTTTCTGGAAATGAACCAAATAAAGATTATATTTGTGTCATTTGAATGCAAAAAACACAAAAGAACACCATTTCTGACCGTGTTAGACTTACAATTTATAGGTGTTAAACAATTCTAAATCTGTTCCAAGCTGTGTCACATAACTGTACTATGATACCAATGCCTGTTTTATGATATTCATAAAATATATTTGACTTACTTATATAAATTTCTCTGGGCATCATGTGTTTGGCTATGCAAAGGCTATATTTGAATCCTATAACTTACCCTGTAACATTCAACGGCTTTCTCTGTGTTTTCTTCCAATTCATAAAGAAGACCCAGAAATCTGTGAGCTCTGGGATCCATCTCTCGCACATTAATGTAAGTACATATGTATCTGTTTTTTAAAAGTAATACAAAAGTAAATTAAACTTAGAACTGTACTTTTAAATGCTAACCGAAGAATACATCTTAAACCAAAGCAACCACTAAACTCGTTTATATTGTTACTCAAAACTACCACTATTCATACAGATAACTCAAAAGTATTCATAGAAAGAAATGGGTAATACTTAAAAACACATACATAGAGTTGACCACATACTCATTTTACCATTAAATGTCACATTTACCAAATTTTTCTCCAGTGTTATCCACACATAAGAAATGAACATATAAATTGCTTTTTCTTCCTGATCACATTTTAATAAAGCACTAACAGTTTTGCAAATAAATTAGAAGTGATTATAGTAAACATTTTTAAAGTTATCATAATGCAAAATACTAAACAGCAACAATTTCCCAAACAACAAAGGGAAATACACTTACCCTTTAAGCAAGAAAGTAATTTCTAACAGTACTATATATCCAGCTAAAATCGAACAGAAGAAAAATTACTAATTACAGTACCAAATACAGGAAATTTCCATTTCTCAAATCAAGTAACAACTAAAATAAGTAAATATCCTCTAGGTTCCTTGACAGTATTACCATCAGAGAAATGAGGCCAGACCTAAACTAAGGGATTAAAGTCTCACAGTAAAAAGGTACAAGAGTTAACAGTCACAGTGCTGCTAGTTACATAATTTATGTACCACCATTTTCCTTTCTTACCAGCATTTCCATCTTCCTTTGGATGCCTTTAAAAGCCTGCCTCCCAGCTGGGAGCAGTAACACACACCTGTAGTCTCAACACTATGGGAGGCCGAGGCAGGCAGACTGCTGCGCTCAGAAGTTCAAGACTAGCCTGGGCAACATAGTGACACCTGTCTCTACCAAAAAATGCAAACCTTAGCCAGGTCCACGTGGTGGTGCGCATCTGTATCCCCAGCTACTTGGGGCGCTGAGGTGTAAAGATCTCTTGAGCCCAGAAGGCAGAGGTTACAGTGAGCAAAGATGGAGCCAGCTGCTGCACTCCTGCCTGAGCAAGAGAGACAGATACTGCCTAAAAAAAAAAAAAAAAAAAGCCTGCCTCCCTCTTAATTTCCTGCTTTAATCCACTCCCAGTCAGGAAATCAGAATCACCAAGCTTCTTATCCCTAGGATAGAGCCTTAGAGCATCACATATTGTGTCAATTAAACATCTTTTATACAAGCTATTCTCCTGCCTTACAATTACAGTTTAATTTTTTATTCATTGCTATTTTCCATCTGATTAAGGTATCAGATATCTAACCAAAAACAAATTAAGATATAGGCATGGTCCTCTTTTACTTCAACAGAAGACAATTTTTAGAAAAAGTGTTTTAAGCCAAACAATTTCTTGCCCTTGGTATAAAGCAGCAGCATGCAGAAAACACTAATTACGGTTTCAATCTCAATGGAATCTAGGCTGGTCCTTAGCATCAGTCTGAGTGATAAATCCCTTATTCCAGAATACACTTAGGAAGAACTACTAAGGATATATTTTTACCTATTTCAAAGAAGAAAATGAGAAAAGGCATTGATTTTAAAAAAAGAATACATGTTACAGTTTGTACTTACTTTTTAGCAAGATCATATTCTTTAGCTTCATAATACAGCTTTGCAAAATAGAATCCTCTCGTTGACTTCTAAAAAAAATTAAAAGTTGTTTTACGTTTCATACAGAAATATTTTCCAACATTTTTTCAAAAGTAGTAAAAATCTGCCCTAAGTTTATGTTCAAATATGCCATTTTCATTCACTTAAAAGTTTTTTTTAAAGCCTGACAAATGCATAATTCCATGTTTTATAATTTCCTATCACAAAACAAAAAATAGAGCTGGGTGCAGCGGCTCATGCCTGTAATCCCAGCACTTTGGGAGGCCGAAGTGGGCGGATCACCTGAGGTCAGGAGTTTGAGACCAGCCTGGCGTTATAACATGGTGAAACTCCGTCTCTACAAAAATAGAAAAATTAGCCAGGCATGATGGCGGGTGCCTGTAATCCCAGCTACTCGGGAGGCTAAGGCACGAGAATCAGTTGAACCCAGGAGGTGGAGGTTGCAGTGAGCCAGAGGTTGCAGTCAGCTGAGATTGTGCCATTGCACTCCAGCCTGGGCGACAGAGACTCCATCTCCCAAACATCATCATCATCATCATCATAAATAAGCTGGGTGCAGTTGGTCACAACTTTAATTCTATTTAATTCTAGCACTTTCAGAGACCAAGGTGGGAGGCTAGCTTTGAGGCCAAGAGTTTGAAACCAGCCTGTGCAACACAACAAGATCCTGTCTCCAGGGGGAAAAAAATAGCCAGGCATAGTGGAGCATGCCTGTGTTCCTAGCTACTCAGGAGGCCAAGGAAGGAGAATCACTTGAGCCCAGGAGGTTGACACTGCCGTGAGTTATGACTGTGACACTGCACTCCAGCCTGGGTGACACAGGGAGATCCTCTCTCTAAATAATAAATACATAACATACAAAAAATAAATTCAAGAAAGCAAGACAAGCAGACAACAGAAGTTAAGAATTTTCATCAGCCTTGGAAATCTTGGAAACCCTGTGGTACCACTCTCTCACTTAACAAACAAAAGAAACCAGCTTTCTTTGGGGAGGAAAGGTATTCCAGAAATCTCTTCTCCTACCATGTGTAAAAGCCTCTATGGGAAAGAATAAGTAAGTACTTAGGATCTATTAAGGCACTGAGGATTCCCTGTGCCTCAATAGTACATGTACTGTTCTCTCTACAGATCAGATCAGTATTTTACAGTCAAGGAGTCAAAAAGGCAGAAATAAATATTGAATTCTTCAAGTAATAAACAAGGTCCACAGCCTGGCTCCTTGGTTACATAAACTCCAAAGTCCAAAATGCTGATGCACACCAGGCTGGGTGCGGTGGCTCACACCTGTAATCCCAGCACTTTTGGAGACTGAGGCAGGTGGATCACTTGAAGCCAAGAGTTCGAGACCAGCCTGGCCAACATACAGAAACCTCCTTTCTACTAAAAATACAAAAATTAGCTGGGCATGGTGGCACACGCCTGTAATCCCTGCTGCTTGGGAGGCTGAGGCAAAGAATCGCTTGAACCCGGGAGGCAGCAGTGGGCCAAGACCGCACCACTGCACTCCAGCCTGGGCAACAGAATGATTCCATCTCATAAAAAAAAAAAAAAAAAAAAAAAAAAAGCTGATACAACCAGAGTATGTTCCATCCATGTGATACAGAGTATACAGCTACTCAAACATCTTATTTTTGAAATTCCAAGACCCCAGTGAATGTCCAAAACGATGAATAGTACCAAACCAGGTTGCCATCAATCGAAACATGTTTCCTGTTTGTGTCCTCCACCCACAAATTTAATGTCTTGTCCATCTCAACTAAGCACTTATCACACACTGTGGCTGTAACTTTTGCAGTTTGGGGTGTCACAACAAAACTAGCACAAATTTCTTTTTCTTTCTTCACAATTTCATGGACAAAAGATTTGTTCTTACCATAGATCTTAGCAACCCCAGTATATGATCTTTTTTCTTTCCTAAGTCAAAAACTCACCTCTTCACTTAAAGGAAGCACTATATGGCTTCTCTCTGGCATATGTGAACTGCCAGCATCGCTACTCTTGCTCTTTGGTGCCATTTTAAATAAAATAAGGGTTACTTGAACACAAGCACTGCAATACTCCAACAATTGATCTGATAACTGAGATGGCTAGTATGTAACTAGCAGGTGGGGAGCACATACAGCATGAATATGTTGGACAAAGGGATGACTTGTGTCCTAGGTAGGACGGAGCAGGAGGCCGTGAAATTTTTATCATGTTATTCAGAACTGTTTGCAATTTAAAACTCATGAAATGTTTATTTATATAATCTTCCATTCAATATTTTTGGACCACGGGTGACGCAGGTAAGTAAAACCACGTAAGGCAATACTGTGGATAAGAAGGGACTACTGTACCAGCAACGAACAATCAGAAAAGGAAATTAAGAAAGCAATTCCATTTACAATCGCATCTAAATGAAAAAAATGCCTGGGAATAAATGTAAACAAGGAGGTGAGAGACTTGTATGCTTAAATTACAAAACGTTGCTCAATGCCAGGCTAACACCTGCAATCCCAGCACTGGCAACAGAGCAAGACTCCATCTCAAAAAAAAAAAGAACTATAGCAATCTTAACAAAAATAATACACAACAGTCAGGACAGCACGTAAAAGAACAAGGCTTGTTCCCCCCTTCCTTTTTTTTTTTGAGATGGAGTCTTGCTCTGTCACCAGGCTGGAGTGCGGTGGCTCGATCTCAGCTCACTGCAACCTCTGCCTCCCAGGTACAAGCTGGGACTACAGGCGCACACCACCATGCCCAGCTAATTTTTGTATTTTCAGTAGAGATGGGGTTTCACCATGTTGGCCAGATGGTGTCGCTCTCTCGACCTTGTAATCTGACTTCCTCCGCCTCCCAAGGTGCTGGGATTACAGGCGTCAGCCACGGAGCCCGGCCAGTTCCCCCTTTTCAAAATGAAGAAATAGATTCAAGGTACAATGCCAAAACATAATAGAAAAATAATTCCATTACCTTCTTTGCTTCCAACTATGTTATTAAAGTAGACAATCTTAAGATAATTAAACAACTTTACAAATTATTCTTCTGTATGATCTTTTGCCTCTAACCTGCTCACTTTACAAGGGAACTGAAGCTCAAGCAGGCAAATGCCTTGTTTAAAGATATATAGCTAGGAAGGAGCACAGCCCATGTTATGTAAACAGGACAATATCTGATTCAAGCAGTACTTCTTTGCATGACAGCAGATGTCACTATAAGCAAATACCTGAATTCACTTAAGCTGCCAAATATCAAGAACTGATGCAGGGCTGAAAACAGGAACAGTAAGACCCTAAGAGATGCCACATCATCGCTATCTTGCACAGTAAGATAGAGATGTAATTGTAATTGTCCAAAACTTAACATTTGTGGCCTACTTTTTCATTATGCAGTTCTGAATTTCTCTTTTTTTTTAAATTCAAACGGAGTCTCGCTCTGTCACCCATCTTGCACAGTCAAATGAATCTCCCTCCCCCTAAAATCCTCCAAAAAAGCTGCTGTTCTCAACAAACCCATCTGATCAGCTCCAAATCTGTGGAGTCCCAACAAGGGTGAAGGCCGTGATTATACAGGACAATGAGGAAAAGTCTAGATACTGAACCATGAGTTCCCCAATCTTCTTCCCCTGGAACATAAGGGTAAGGAAATCTCTCAAAAGGCAGAACAAACAAAAGAGGAGAATAAGAGAAAAATTAGAGAAACTCCAGCTTTCAGGTAAACATCATTAAAAAAAAGGGTAAGAAATGGTCAAAGAAATAATACAAGAAATGCTACAGAACTGAAAGAAATGAGTTTCCCAATTGAAAGGACACTTTCAGAAAACCTTTGTTACCAAGAACAAGAATCTCATCAGACTCCTAACAACAGAACTTCTAGAAAATGGAGCAATGCTTTCAAAATTGCGAAAAAAATTATTTCAAACTCAGAATTCGATAACCAAATGATCAACTAAATTAAGTAAAGACATTTTAAAGACATACCATTAGTTTCCAGACCAGCCTGACCAGTATGGTGAAATCCCATCTCTACTAAAAATAGAAAAAATTAGCCGGGCATGGTGGCGCACACCTGTAATCCCACTACTCAGGAGGCTGAGGCAGGAGAATCACTTGAACCCGGGAGGCGGAGGTTGTGGTGAGCTGAGACCATGCCACTGCACTCCAGCCTGGGCAACAGAGCAAGACTCTGTCCCAAAACAAAAACAAACAAAAAAACCTCTCATCCACTTTTCCTCAAAGCAAGTGAGACTATGCTACACCAAAACAAAGAAAGTAAATGAAGATGACATGAGATACAAGAAACAAAGGGTCTAACTCAGAAAAAAGATGAAGGGAATTCTCAAACTGGTGATAAAGGGAAGTCCCAAGAGCACAGCTGTGTAGCAAAGAGGAAGAAAACCCAATCCAGGTTGGAGAAGTCGGTTAGTAAGGGTATTCCAGGTAGACAATCAATCAATCAATCAATGTTTTAAGCTGAAATTGAACGGATTATGTGACCAGTTTGACCACATTTGAGGGTTTAAGTTGCTGAGTTTAAGTAAGCAAGTAGTAACACAACATACAAGCAAACCAAAAAATAAAGCAATTATTCAGTCCAGGAAAAACAAAACTGCACAACAAGGGCAATTCAAATGCAAAATATTTACCTTATATTTATATAAATGTTAAATATTCATTTAAACAAAAACTGCAATAACAGTACTGAAAGAATGAGGGGCAAACCAAAGTGTCTGAGGACAGTTTTGGAGGAGCATAATAGCCAGTACAGAATGTCTAAAATGGGGCCCGGCGCGGTGGCTCACGCCTGTAATCCCGGCACTTTGGGAGGCTGAGGCAGGCGGATCATGAGGTCAGGAGATCGAGACTATCCTGGCTAACACGGTGAAACCCCGTCTCTACTAAAAACACTAAAAAATTAGCCGGGTGTTGTGGCGGGTGCCCGTAGTCCCAGCTACAGGCTGGGGCAGGAGAATGGTGTGAACCCGGGAGGCAGAGTTTGCAGTGAGCCGAGATCGCGCCACTGCACTCCAGCCTGGACGATAGAGCGAGACTCCATCTCAAAAAAAAAAAAAAAAGAAAAGAAAATGTCTAAAATGGGAGAAAGGGAATTAAAAATAACAAAAGTATATATGTGTGTTACTCAGAAGTATGAAGTATAGATGTAAAGGGCAGAAAAAACAACTAACAGCTGTCAAAGGTGCCTGCCTGTAGTCCTAAGTACTCAGGAAACAGAGGTAGGAGGATCATTTATGCCCAAAAATTTGATGAGCAACACAGCAAGACCCTATTCTAAAAAAAATATAAATAAAAATAAGAGCTGTCAAGTAGACTTTGAGAAGTAGGAATCAGCTGCAGAATAAGAAACCGACTTGACAGAACATAGAAAAACTAAACAGAAGCCATCTGGAAAAAGAAAAACTAGAGAAAAAATTATATATTTTTTTCTTTTTTTCTTTTTTGGAGACAGAGTCTCGCTCTGTCACACAGGCTGGAGTGCAGTGGTGCAATCTCTGCTCACCACAACCTCTGCCTCCAGGGTTCAAGCAATTCTCCTGTCTCAGCCTACCGAGTAGGTGGGACTACAGGCGCTGCCACCACGCCCGGCTCATTTTTGTATTTTTAATAGAGATGGATTTTCACCATATTGGTCAGGCTGGTCTCTCGGCCTCCCAGAGTGCTCAGATTACAGACGAAGAATATTTTTAAGAAGGGCAAAAGCACATGTGAGGGAGTAGAAAAATGGCAAAACAAGAGGAGACTAACAAATGAAAGCACAATGGAAGACTAGAAAGATATGATATACAGACGCATCATCACACTCCAAAACTCCGACATTCTAGAAAGCATGGGCAGTTCACAGATGGCCAGCCTCTGCCAAACTGGGGGAGAATACTAACCTCTTCATATTCTTCACAGCCACTGCCTCTTCTCCCTCCATTCTTTACCTTCTATCCAAAGCACCCTGTTTTGTCATTTCACTCAAACCTAACTTCACAGAATAGCTTCACATGTTCCAAAGTTACTCACTAGTTAATCCATATTCCGCTGAAATCCCCAGGTTCTAATGTAAATGACTTTCAATTTGGGGGAAAAAAAGACTCTAAGTGTAAGAGAGGTGGTCATAATAACCAATCGTCAAAATCTTGCCACCACTCCACTTTATTTAATGGAGAAGTTATGTAGTTGAAAGAACATTCTAACTTCTGTCTAGACCAGTGGTTTTTAATCTTTTGGAAGCCAAGGTCCCCACTAAGAATCTCAGAAAGGCTCTAAGCTTGCTTTTTTTTTTTTAAGCTTGTTTAAAAAAAAAAAAATCAGGCTGAGCAGAGTGGCTCACACCTGTAATCTCAGCATTATTTACATGTAAAGAGGAAAAATACCCTTAAAACATTTGTGGAAAAGGTTAAAAATTGCAAGCCATACTAACGATTTGTAAGAACTTTAGAATTTTTTTTTTTTAAGCAAAGTCAGCTACCAAAGTGTTCCGGGCAGGGAGGGGGGCGAGGGAGGTGAGTATGAGGAGTGGAGTGGAGCTGGACCCTTACAAAGGGACAGCGACAAACACCTCATACTCAAAACAAGGGGACTTTCCGTGTCATTTGCGCCGTCGGGCCATTGCAAATGTCCGCGCTGAGATGCCTACCTTGTCACTCGACGCAGCCGCCAAAGCTCACCCGGAGCTGCGTCAGTCCCCACTGGGTTCCTCCAGGCCAAGGAGGTATGACCTCCGCCGCAGCATATAAAGTAAATGTCCAGGAGATGGGAAGAAACCCGCCGATACAGCACCCGGGTGCCCAAGCCCCCGAGAACTAGGCCGCGCGGGTACTACGGGGCCAGAAAGCCCGGGCCAGGACGGGCCCAGGAGCGAGCACCGTCGGGAACAAGCGTCGGGAACAAGCCGGGAGAAAGAGGAAGCGCCGGCGCCAACGGTCTCCCGCCCGCAGCGGTCCCCCCAGGACTCTTCCTGCGCTTGCAAGCGCCGCGCCGCCCACAGGACTGCGCCAGCCGGCGGGCGCCGCAACAGAGCGCGCCAGGGAGCAGCGCCCGTCAGGAGCCATGACGCCTGAGCCATCGAGGCCGCCGCCGGGCCGGGTCCAGGCCACCGCCTCAACAGAGCGCGCCAGGGAGCAGCGCCCGTCGGGAGCCATGACGCCTGAGCCATCGAGGCCGCCGCTGGGCCGGGTCGAGGCCGGCGCCTCAACAGAGCGCGCCAGGGAGCAGCGCCCGTCGGGAGCCATGACGCCTGAGCCATCGAGGCCGCCGCAGGGCCAGGTCGAGGCCGGCGCCTCAACAGAGCGCGCCAGGGAGCAGCGCCCGTCGGGAGCCATGACGCCTGAGCCATCGAGGCCGCCGCCTCAACAGAGCGCGCCAGGGAGCAGCGCCCGTCGGGAGCCATGACGCCTGAGCCATCGAGGCCGCCGCCGGGCCGGGTCGAGGCCGCCGCCTCAACAGAGCGCGCCAGGGAGCAGCGCCCGTCGGGAGCCATGACGCCTGAGCCATCGAGGCCGCCGCAGGGCCGGGTCGAGGCCGCCGCCTCAACAGAGCGCGCCAGGGAGCAGCGCCCGTCGGGAGCCATGACGCCTGAGCCATCGAGGCCGCCGCCGGGCCGGGTCGAGGCCGCCGCCTCCACAGAGCGCGCCAGGGAGCAGCGCCCGTCGGGAGCCATGACGCCTGAGCCATCGAGGCCGCCGCAGGGCCAGGTCGAGGCTGCCGCCGCCTGGCCAGGTCGAGGCCGCCGCCGCCGCCTCAACAGAGCGCGCCAGGTAACAGCGCCGGTCGGGAGCCATGACGCCTGAGCCATCGAGGCCGCCGCAGGGCCAGGTCGAGGCCGGCGCCTCAACAGAGCGCGCCAGGGAGCAGCGCCCGTCGGGAGCCATGACGCCTGAGCCATCGAGGCCGCCGCCTCAACAGAGCGCGCCAGGGAGCAGCGCCCGTCGGGAGCCATGACGCCTGAGCCATCGAGGCCGCCGCCGGGCCGGGTCGAGGCCGCCGCCTCAACAGAGCGCGCCAGGGAGCAGCGCCCGTCGGGAGCCATGACGCCTGAGCCATCGAGGCCGCCGCAGGGCCAGGTCGAGGCCGCCGCCTCAACAGAGCGCGCCAGGGAGCAGCGCCCGTCGGGAGCCATGACGCCTGAGCCATCGAGGCCGCCGCCGGGCCGGGTCGAGGCCGCCGCCTCAACAGAGCGCGCCAGGGAGCAGCGCCCGTCGGGAGCCATGACGCCTGAGCCATCGAGGCCGCCGCTGGGCCGGGTT
The DNA here is from genome assembly GCF_000001405.40 of Homo sapiens. Lineage (NCBI taxonomy): Eukaryota > Metazoa > Chordata > Mammalia > Primates > Hominidae > Homo > Homo sapiens. Next base: position 106,467,534 of record NC_000002.12, read on the forward strand.
GAGGCCGCCGCCTCAACAGAGCGTGCCAGGGAGCAGCGCCCGTCGGGAGCCATGATGCCTGAGCCATCAAGGCAGCCGCCGGGCCGGGTCGAGGCAGCCGCCTCCACAGAGCGCGCCAGGGAGCAGCGCCCGTCGGGAGCCATGACGCCTGAGCCATCGAGGCAGCCGCCGGGCCAGGTCGAGGCCGCCGCCTCAACAGAGCGCGCCAGGGAGCAGCGCCCGTCGGGAGCCATGACGCCTGAGCCATCAAGGCAGCCGCCGGGCCAGGTCGAGGCCGCGGCCTCAACAGAGCGCGCCAGGGAGCAGCGCCCGTCGGGAGCCATGACGCCTGAGCCATCGAGGCCGCCGCAGGGCCAGGTCGAGGCCGGCGCCTCAACAGAGCGCGCCAGGGAGCAGCGCCCGTCGGGAGCCATGACGCCTGAGCCATCGAGGCCGCCGCAGGGCCAGGTCGAGGCCGGCGCCTCAACAGAGCGCGCCAGGGAGCAGCGCCGGTCGGGAGCCATGACGCCTGAGCCATCGAGGCCGCCGCAGGGCCAGGTCGAGGCCGCCGCCTCCACAGAGCGCGCCAGGGAGCAGCGCTCGTCGGGAGCCATGACGCCTGAGCCATCGAGGCCGCCGCCGGGCCGGGTCGAGGCCGCCGCCCGGCCAGGTCGAGGCCGTCGGTCTCTTCCAGACCCACTCACCTTTCGAGGCGACGGGGCGGAGCCCTGCACCGAGGCGACGTACCGCTCCCCGTAGGCCTTGCTGCAACTCATCGCGCCACCAACCTGGCTCCCGAGATGCGTGAGACCAGCGCTCAGCCCCGCAGCAGTCGCCAATTCCAAGAGGAAAGCGCCTGAAAGCCACTGAGGCAGCGGCGTAGCCGGCGGAGGACCACTGTGACGAACTTGTGTCCTGCGTCAACAGTGTGTGGAACGTTGGCGACTTCGGCGCTCGAGCTGCACTCGGCTGGGCTCTTGGCAGCACCCTGTGCTCTGAGGGTGTCTTGCCCGCCGGGCGCCGTGGCTCACGCCTGTAATCCCAACACTTTGGGAGGCTGAGGCGGGCGGATCACTTGAGGTCAAGAGTTCAAGACCAGCCTGGCCAACATGGTGAAAGCCCATCTCTACTAAAAATACAAAAATTAGCCAGGTGTGGTGGCAGGTGCCTGTAGTCCCAGCTATTTGGGAGGCTGAGGCAGGAGAATCGCTTGAACCCAGGAGGTGGAGGTTGCAGTACGGTGAGATTGCCCCACTGTACTCTAGCCTGGATGACAGGGCAAGACTCCATCTCAAAAAAAAAAAAAAAAAAAAAAAAAAAAAGACTAAACTGTGATTTGAGGCAGCTGAGGAACTAAGAGCCCAGGAAGAAAGGACAGTAATGAAAAAGCCAACAAATGAGACCAGTATTTAGTGGTATTTCCCCTATAGGCAATTATTTATTCAAAAATACAGGAACAGCATTTATTTGCTTAACTGCAGATATGCAAACAAAAAATTTAAATGGTCTTAGTTACTATCTACATGCAGATGCTTCCAATCTTAATCTCTAGTCATGACCACTGATCCTTTTTTGATTCCTTTAATTCAATTTATATATCTCTAAGTGAATATCTTGTCAACACTGACAATCAAGACTAAGATGTATTTATTCTATTCCAGATTCTACTCTAAAAGTCACCAGGAAAAATTCAGCTCCACTGGTCCTGGCTCTAAGTCTACTAGCAAAATCTTCCAGAGAAGTGGAAAAGCCATCAGCCAATGTGTTAGACTATCATTTCCATGACCTTACACCTATCAAAAAGGCACTATTACCAGGCTTATAGAATTCTAAAAAAGTTGGAAACCATTTTCCATTATAAAAGAAATTCTTCCAAATCACACAAAACACTCTGACGCTTCTCCAATTCCCCCTTTCAATGTTCCGCAAATGTGCTGGTTTGAAGGAAAAAAAATTCAATGTGGCACATGTTTAAAAATATAATGAAGACATAGACATTATCAAATACAACTGATAGCACTAACCTTCCCTTTGAACCGTCCCTAAACATCCACACTCACATGTCCTTTAAATACAAACCACTTTTCTCCAGGCTTCCTAACTTGGTAAATCCAGGTACCTTCCCAGGTCGTTCAGAGAATTGGGAGCCTCGTTCCACATCACTTTTCCCCAGCCCAGCAGCACAAAACCAATCAGCTGACAAATTCATTTCCACCTCTCAAGGCCTCTCATATTAATCCCTCCTTTCCACACATATACTGCCCTAGCTCAGACCCTCTCATACTTCTTAAACTGACACAGACAACCTCACTTGGAGGCTAACTGGTCTCCTTATCTTTAATCCCAAAATACACCTATTTACCACACAGATCCAAAACCTCGTAACTCCTTTCTCAAAATCCTGTAATGCCCTGTCAATTGCATTCAGAAGAAAACCACCTTTTCATCCTTTCTCCCTTTAAGAGCACATTGGTAAGAGTGTAAATCCCAGTTCTACCACTTAGTAGGTTTATTTCATTTGTAACCTCTATCTCATTTGTAAAAAAAAAGAATCATAGTACTCTCTTCTCAATAAAACTGTTCTAAGGAAATAATTAATACTAATAAAGCACTGAGAACAATGCCTAGCACATAGAAAATGCCCAAAAAAGGTTATTATTGTTATCCAAACCCTATCCTGCCTCACCCTACAGACTACTTGTACTTTTATAAGTATTTATTCTACAGATTTATTGAGTCCTTATGACTAGGAGATGAAGATACAAATATCCATTAAAAAATGTTCCGCATTATCTAGCCTTCCTGCCTGTGCCTGTGTGGTTTCTCCTTGCCCTGAATGCTCCTTTCTACCTACAGATATCCTACTCAACCCCAAGGTCCAAACGAAGACTGACATGTCTCTCAGAGATGAGGCTTTGATTTTGCCATGTCCTCCCATTGGATGTCATCTTCCCATCAGTCAATCAACGATGGTACTCTCTTTTCCACATTACTGAGTCATGAGTCTTTCTTAAATTCTAATTTCTTATGCAGACAGTACATCAACTCCACACAATTGTGAGATCCCTAGATGGAAAAGAATGTATCATTTCCATCTCTCCAGCACCTTCAAAAAGTATCACATACATCACAAGGGAGGTCAGTGTATGTTAACTGAATCACTTCTGTTTGAAAACATTTATTCTGCAAGTAGAAACTAAAATTAAGTTAACCATGGAAAGAACTAATGTTTAACCAAACTTCTTTAAAAAATGTTAACTTTTTGGCAACACCTAGTCCTTTTCTTACCTCGTCCAATGATCCAAGGAGTTTACTAAGAGGCTTTGGAGCACTAACGCCATCTAGTGGAGTACTGGGCCGAGGCATTGTGTTGGACATCGTCAGAGAGGGAGCTGGCAGTCCAGGAATAAAAACCTTTCCCACCTTTAAGCAATAAAAACATGTGGAAAAAAAAAATACTGCCTTTAATGCATCACATCCTTAAATAAAATGTTAAGGAATATAAACATATATTTCTTTTGATATTTCTAAGTTTATGCTCAACAAACACAGCAAAGAAACAATTCAAATGTCAATAATCTATTGAATTCCACTATCCAACTGTAAATATGTTGGTATAATTTCTTTTTTTTTTTTTTTGAGATAAGATCTCACTCTTTCCCTGTGGCTGGAGTACAGTGGCATGATCTCAGCTCACTGCAGCCTCAACCTACCAGGCTCAAGTGATCCTCCCACTTCAGCCTCCTGAGTAGCTGGAACTACAGGCACATGCCACTATGCCTGGTTAATTTTGTATTTTTTGGTAGAGACGGGGTTTCACCATGTTATCCAGGCTGGTCTTGAACTTCTGGGCTGAAGCCATCTGCCCACCTAGACCTCTCATACCTTAGTATAATTTCTCTTGGTTGGATTCCTTCTCTTCATTACTGAAGACTTTTTTGGAAGGCAAGGAGAGGAATGTTAATATAGTCAACACATTATATAAAAATCTGTACACTATGTACTCTTCTACCTTATTGGTCATAAAGACAGTAAGAACAGCGGCTGGGCGCGGTGGCTCACGCCTGTAATCCTAACACTTTGGGAGGCCGAGGTGGGCAGATCACAAGGTCAGGAGTTCAAGAGCATCCTGCCTAACACAGTGAAACCCCATCTCTACTAAAAATTAAAAAAAAAAAATTAGCCGGGCATGGTGGCAGGCACCTGTAGTCCCAGCTACTCTGAGGCTGAGGCAGGAGAATGGTGTGAACCCGGCAGGTGGAACTTGCAGTGAGCCGAGATCGTGCCACTGCACTCCAGCCCAGGCAACAAGAACGAAACTCTGTCTCAAAAAAAAAAAAAGAATGAGTTGACAATCCATGCTAACCACTCCTTATTTTGGCTATCTGTAGGGTACTTAGCAAAAACAGAAATTCACATCTGTACAGGCTGAAAACTTGATAAGACTAAAAAGGAGATGCTCAGAACTAAAATGAGATCTTAACAATGTACATATTCATGTTAACACACTACTCAAAAGCTAACAAAATAACAGAAGTTGCCCCAATAAAATCCTTAGGCTTAAAAAACAAAAATAACAGTGAGAACTAATTATGCATAATTTTTTAAAAGCTATCTCAAACCCCTAATTTACGAAAAGATGGAATAAGCACATACCATGCTATTCCCTCATTAATCACCAAAAAGAAAAAAAAACTGAATAAAATTTATAATGCAACTAACAGAAGATTCTGAAAAAGTGAAGAAAAGAAGACAAACTGGCTAGTAACCTGAGACCCAGGAATGACCTAATGATGAATTCCCTAGGTTTCTGGTTTTTTTGACTCCTTACATAACCAGGCCTCAGGCTTTCAAAGAGCCTATAACACAGACATGCCAACGTTCACAGACAAAACACGCCCTAAGAAAATCTTAGTCTTTCCAGCCAAAGTGTTGGGAAAAGAATGACCAACCAGGACAGAAACTTTTCACTATATCTGCCCTACTCTTTACAAACACCATGAAAAAAGTCATGGCCGTCCCTTCCTCCTCATCAGGAGGCACAGTGAAAATTTTGAATGTCCCTCGTCTATTTGAGGAAGTCCCCTTCTATTTCTAGATGCTGAGGATTTTTTTAATATTTGATTTTATCAAATATTAAATTTTGATATTTGATTTTATCAAATGATTTCTCTGCATCTATTTAGATCCTTGGTCAGCAAACCATGTTCCATGACCAAATCTGGCTTGTATCCTGTTTTTGTACAGTCTGTGAGCTAAGAATAGGTTTTATGTACTTAAATGGTTAAGGAAAAAATAAAACAGAAGACAAATATGTAACAGAGACTGCATGTGGCCCATAGAGGCTAAGATACTTGTCTGAACTCCTACATAAAAAGTTTGCCAGGCTGGATGTGGTGGCTCATGTCTGTAATATCCCAGCACTTTGGGAGGCTGAGGTGGGAGGATCGCTTGAGTCAGGAGGTCATGGGTGCAGTGAGCTGTGATCCCACCACTGCACTCCAGCCTGAGTAACAGAACGAGATACTGTATCAAAAAAAAAGAAGAGAAAAAAATTGCCAAGGTTGGAGAGGACATGAACAACATTATCAACCAAATGGAATGAACTGACATTTACAAAATACTCAAGGGTGCCTTCTTGGTGATTTGGCCCTTTAAAGTCTCTCTTTGTTCCTGGTCATTTTTTTTTTTCCCACTTTATAGCGACTCCAGCTATCTTTTGATTACTGTTTGCATAATATATCTTCTTTCCATCCTTTAACTTACCTATGTCATTATATTTGAAGAACACTTCTTCTTATAACCAACATATATAGTTGGGCTGTACTTTCTAATCTCTTCCGCTAGTCTCTGTTATTTGTGTTAGACCATTGTATTTAATTAGTGGCCTAGTGGGATTTAAATCTGCCATTTAATATTTGTTTTCTGTATGTTCCCACTTTCTTTGCTCATCCAGAAGAAGCAACTCTTCAAGTTTGATCATAAGATTTTGGCAATTCTGTTCAAGTTTGGCAGTTCTGTTCAGGTTTAATCATAAGATCTTGGCAATTTAGTCACATCTTCAGGCTCTACTTCTAATTCAAATTCTCTTGCTATTTCCACCACATCTGCAGTGACTTCCTCCACTGAAGTTTTGAGCCCCTCAAAGTCACCCATGAGGGTTGGAATCAACTTCTTCCAAGTTCCTGTTTATGTTGATATTTTGTCCTCCTCCCATGAATCATGAATATTCTTAATGGCATCTAGAAAGGTGAATCCTTTCCAGAAGGTTTTTTTTTTTTTTTTTTTTTTTTTTTTGAGATGGAGTCTCCCTCTGTTGCCCAGGCTGGAGTGCAGTGGCGCAATCTCGGCTCACTGCAAGCTCTGCCTCCTGGGTTCATGCCAGTCTCCTGCCTCAGCCTCCCGAGTAGCTGGAACTACAGGCACACGCCACCACGCCCGGCTAATTTTTTGTACTTTTAGTAGACACAGGGTTTCACTGTGTTAGCCAGGGTGGTCTCGATCTCCTGACCTCGTGATCCACCTGCCTCGGCCTCCCAAAGTGCTAGGATTACAGGCGTGAGCTGCCGCACCCGGCCCAGAAGGTTTTCAATGGACTTTGCCAGATCTCTTAGAGGAATCACTATCTATGGCAGCTCTAGTTAAGTAATGTATTTCATAGTAAGACTTGAAAGTCAAAATTACTCCTTCACAGGCTGCAGAACAGATATGTCAGCAGGCATGAAAACAACATTCATCTCCTGTACATCTCCCTCAGAGCTCTTAGATGACCAGGTGCACTGTCAATGAGCGGTAATATTTTGAAAGGAATCTTTTTTCTGAGCAATACGTCTCAACAGTGGGCTTGACACATTCAGTAAACCATGCTATAAACAGGTGTGCTGCCATCCAGTCTTTGTCGCTCCATTTATAGAGCCCAGGCAGAGCAGACTTGGTATAATTCTTAAGGGCCCTAAGATTTTTGAAATGGTAAATGAGCACGGGCTTCAACTTTAAGTCACCAGCTGCATTAGCCCCTAACAAGAGGGTCAGACTGTCCTTTGAAGCCAGGCACTGACTTCTCCTCTCAGGTTATGAAAGTCCTAGATGGCATCTTCTTCCAACAGAAAGCTGTTTCATCCACACTGAAAATCTGTTTAGTGTAGCCACCTGCATCAATTATCTTAGCAGCTTCTACATCAGCACATGCTGCTTCACCTTGCACTTTTGTGTTATAGAGAGGGCTTTTTTCCTTAAACCTCAAGAATCAACCTCTGTTAGCTTACAACTTTTCGTCTGCAGCTTCTTCACCTTTCTTGGCCGTCACAGAATTAAAGAGAGTTAGGGCCTTGCTGTGGATTCGACTTCAGCATAAGGGAATGTTATGGCTGGTTTGATCTTCTGTCCAGACACTAAAACTTTCTTCATATCAGCGATAAGGCTGTTTCGCTTTATCAGTTGCCATGTTCACTGAAATAGCACTTTTAATTTCCTTCGAGAGCTTTTCCTCTGCATGCGCAAGTTGGCTCTTGTGCACAGGTGGTCTGGCTCTCAACCTATCTCAGCTTTCAACACGCCTTCCTCACGAAGCTTAATCATTTCTAGTTTTTGATGTAAAGTGAGAAACTTGTGATTCTTCCCTTCATTTGAAAACTTAGAGGCCATTAGAGGGTCCTGAAAAAATATGGCAAATGCTTAATTCTTTCCCTTTCATTATCAACTTTCAGAACAGTTAGTTATAACAGCCAACTGCAATGGTTGCAAAGCAGATTTTTTCCTTTCTCTCTACCATTATGAATCCCACAATTTTTATTTATTCAAATCTTTGCAATCAATTATAGTAATCATGTGTTAAAATATTTCTGTACTCAATGTTTTATAGGTTTTTGCTGGCAATAACAAATTGAATTACATAACGACAGAGTGTTTAAAGATTATCATCAAAGTGACAAAGGAGAGTGTAAAAAAAGTGATGATATATAAAATAAAATTAAATTTTTATTTTCCTGCCATTATCTTCACATTACATTATGTCATGTTACAACGTACACCCAGCTGCTGAGATCATTAGGCTGGTTTTATCATTTCTGTTAAATTTTAAAACAAAACTTTTTTTAAATTGCATTAAATAGTGAATCAAATGCTAAAATTCAAATCAACTCACCTGCTGAACAGGACTGTCAACTGTAAATGCTTTATAAACTGCCAATGCCTGGCTTTTACTTCCTTTGCTCCATATCACCATATTTCCAGCAACATAGAGTTCCTCATCATAGTCCACATCTTCTCCAATTTCACTTACTCCTTTCCTTAACTGCCAGTTTTCCTTAAAAATTAACACATGTAAGACATATTCGAGCACTCTTTTTTTGTTCTTCAAAAATCTGGAACAAAATTTATTTGCCCATGGAGTAAGACTCAATTCAAACACAACTCCTACAAAGTTTGGTACACTGATTAACAGAGGATGTGGATATATGCATTACATTACAGAATTACATGAAGAATTTATGCAATAATTCTCTATATTGAATGTTTTATATTATTCCTCTATATTCCTCTGCCAAAAACAAAAACAAACAAAAAGTACACCTCTATAGTTCCAAAAGTCAAATCACATGCTTGGGAGACTAAAAGGACATATTAAGTATATGAGGTAGGGTAGGGAAAGGACAGTGAGGTGCACGTGGGAATCACTCGGGGAGTTTATGCACAAATGCAGACTTCCTGCTTCGCAATCACATATATATTCACCTTCTTTTCCTTTGTCCCACACACCAAAATGAATGGAAGAAAGAGAAGTTTCCATTTGTAACTACATAGGCTTTCCCTCCCCGAGATTTTGGTATCCCAAAGGGATATGACAATGGAATAAGGCAGGAGGGATTCATTTTCTGACACACACTTAACATCTCATTCCCCTACTTAAGAACTATTACTCGCCGGGTGTGGTGGCTCACGCCTGTAATCCCAGCACTTTGGGAAGCCGTGGCAGGTGGATCACCTGAGGTCTGGAGTTTGAGACTAGCCTGACCAACATGGAGAAATCCCGCCTCTACTAAAAAAATACAAAATTAGCTGGGCGTGGTGGCACATGCCTGTAATCTCAGCTACTCGGGAGGCTGAGGCAGGAGAATCGCTTGAATCCAGGAGGCAGAGGTTGCGGTGAGCTGAGATTGTGCCATTGCACTCCAGCCTGGGCAACAAGAGTGAAACTCCATCTCAGGAAAAAAAAAAAAACTATTACTCTACCTACTTTTGTGGCATTTCTTCTCTCCTTTAGAAACATGTAAATCTTCTGCAGCAGGGACTACTTCTAATCTCTACCATTTAATCATTAAATAACATGAAATCTGGTCCCCACATATTAAGTGAAAAGAAAAAGGTTTAAAATGGACAACAATCGTACTACTGAACCTGACTCACATTATAACACCACAAGTTGGCCGGGCACAGTGGCTCACGCCTGTAAACCCAGCACTTTGGGAGGCCGAGGCGGGTGGATCACCTGAGGTCCGGAGTTCAAGACCAGCCTGACCAACATGGAGAAACCCCATCTCTACTAAAAATACAAAATTAGCAGGGGTGGTGGTGCATGCCTGTAATCCCAGCTTCTCGGGAGGCTGAGGCAGGAGAATCACTTGAACCCGGGAGGCAGAGGTTGCGGTGAGCCGAGATCGCACCACTGCACTCCAGCCTGGGCAAAAAGAGCAAAACTCCATCTCAAACAAAAAAATTAAAAAATAAAAAATAAATAAAACCACAAGTTATAGAGGGTATCTAAATAAGTCGCTATGACAATGTAATAAAGTCATTATTTTCAACATTTATTGAAATTACCACACCTTAACTCTACCCTAGAAGTGGCATCACACCGATCTCTCAGTTGCATCTTAGTAGCCTTAAATTACAAGTAGATTATATCACTCTACATTTCAAAAACACAATGGGAAACTCAATGGAACCTTCTGTTTCTCGTGGATTGTAACCTCCTGAAGGGATCCCACCAAGCCAGCAGCACCATCAGAAGACCATAATTCTGAAGCTGGCTGCAGCTGGCGAAGTTGAAGGTTCAAAGCATTAGGGTGGTGCTTGCAGTGGTCTCCACCAAAAGGAACAAATTCCTGCAAATCCCTGGCTGCAATCATCGTTGTCCTTTCTTCATAGAAGTTCGTCATGGGTTCCAAATATCAACATTATTTCTGTATGACTTCAAACACATTCTGGTCAGCTTCCAGACTCAAAACTAGAATAAAAATACCATAAACACACAAGTCCTTAATCCTTACATAGGTGTCAAGTAATTATATCAGACTGGTAAGTGTATAAGTTGGTCATAACATAAAAGGGCATTCTAGATCTGATTCAGACAGTTGCAATTATCACATTTTAGTCACAGACTGACAGTTACCACTATAGGAAACCACTGAGATGCAACAAGTACTTATGTCCCGCACCACCTATCCCGTGTTTCCCACTACTATACGCTAATTTTTCCATACTTTATATATGAAGTATTTAGACAAGTTGTATTCTGTAGTCCCATAACTACATGGCTTCTCAACATTTAAGGTCATTTCTGGTTAGATGCCAGAACCTCATTTGAAAAGTACATCTAAGGGATCATTGTCATATTGGAATAAAACAATAAAAAACCACACATTAATTCATCAGAGGTTGAACTGCTTTCAGCTGACCAATCTACAAAAGACATAGGTTATCAAATGTCTTAAGTAGCTGTGACACCCCCAATCCCACCTAAATATATAACTACAATCAATTTCAATTATTGGTCGAAACCCAGAGAACTGAGGCATGAATAACTCTAGCCATGGAACAGTTATGCTTGCAGATTTAAGGGTATTAGGTTTTAATTAATTATTACATCTAATTAATCTAATTATTAATATATTACAGTACAGTTTATTACTAAAAAAATGTGGATAACTGTTAAAGCCTTCATCACAAGGTTAGGAAGCAGCCAGGCTTTAGACAAAAGTACAGATAAGTATAATTAGATTGCCCTTTGATCCACTTTCCTGTACCTGTTTATATATACCATGTTCCTATAGACAACATTTTTAATGTTAGGAGCCTAAGACTTTTGAGATGATGCAAGCTAGTCTTAAGACCCCATCAAGGAACCACATTAGCATGAGAATGTGGTTTATCTCTCTGTCTTATGACTTCATCCTTCGTTCTCTGACCAATCAATACCTTAGCCCACTACCCTCTCTTTAAAACCTCTGGGCCGGGCGCGGTGGCTCTCGCCTATAATCCCAGCACTGTGGGAGGCCGAAGCGGGCGGATCACCAGGTCAGGAGATCGAGACCATCCTGGCTAACATGGTGAACCCCCATCTCTACTAAAAATACAAAAAATTAGCTGGACTTGGTGGCGGGCGCCTGTAGTCCCAGCTACTCGGGAGGCTGAGGCAGGAGAATGGCGTGAACCCAGGAAGCGGAGGTTGCAGCGAGCCGAGATCATGCCATTGTACTCCAGCCTGGGCAACAGAGCAAGACTCTGTCTCAAAAAAAAAAACCAAAAAACCTCTAGACCTTAACTCTTTGGGGAGGCTGACTTGAAGTTTCCTCAGTCTCCTAGTTCGGTGGCCCTGCAAGTAAAACACTTTATCTGCTGCAATCCCTGTTGTTTCCATGTATTGACTTGCTGCTCATAGGGCAAGAGTCCTATATGGTTACACAAACACCCAAAGCCTATGTAGTTCCTTTGCAGCTCCTCTAAAGCCACAAAGTTATTTTGCTGTGAATTAAATGTTATTCTTGGCCAGGCGCGATGGCTCACGTCTGTAATCCCAGCACTTTGGGAGGCCGAGGCGAGTGGATCACCTGAGGTCAGGAGTTCGAGACCAGCCTGGCCAACATGGTGAAAGCCCGTCTCTACTAAAAATACAAAAAAACTAGCTGGGCGTGGTGGTGTGTGCCTGTAATCCCAACTACTCGGGAGGTTGAGACAGGAGAATCGCTTGAACCTGGGAGGTGGAGGTTGCAGTGAGCCGAGATCATGCCCCTGCACTCTCGCCTGGGCAACAGAGTGAGACTCCATCTCAAAAAAAAAAAAAAGCAGACTTAATTTACTTGAAGTAGTTTGTTTCTTCCTTTTTTAAAAAATGCATTCCTTTGTCAGCAGGTATGGGAGAATAAATTTCTTTCTTAGCTGCCAAAGACACACTGCCAGTAAGAGAGGTCAATAAAAAAAGACTGCTTTATGCACATTACTCCATTTGTTCTGTACTGTGATGACTGCTGTTTGCAGAAATTCTCTGGACTATATTGATTTTCCTCTGTTGGTGCATTGATAGAACTACTCTCAGGGGAGAGATTTCTAGGAATGAAATAGAAGACAATGTGAAAAATAGTATGTACAAAGTTCAGAAGATTGCATTTTGAGATAGTAGGTTTCTAGTTGCTCGTGTAATCTGGAGATTTCTTTTCAATAGAAGTGCAAAATTTGTGCACAGACATACTCGTATTGGTAATTAATTATTTGTTTATTGCTAGAGAACCTTTACCCACTATGTTCAGCATGCTGCACCCACTAGATGAAATAACTCCACTTCTTTGTAAATCTGGAAGTAAGTGTATTTCTATATTTTTTTAGATAAGCTCTTTTGTTTTTTTTTTTTTTGACTTTGGTGAGGGAGATTATAAAGGCGCTCATCTTGAGCTGATGCAGCTTCCAGCTGCATCTTGAGTAATTTAATAGTCATGGAGTATTTTGTGCCACCTGGTACAAGAGAAGAAGTTAATCTATAACAAAAGATCAGTGACTCAGAAGGGAAGGGGTCTTATCTTGGTGCCATTCAGTCTTTCACAACATTTTACAAACAAAAAAAAATTTAAAAAGGATGAATCTATAATCAGATAAGCAGAAGTTGCAGCTGTTAGCTATGTAGCTCAGGTTCCACAGTCACATTTTCTTCAAGCCACAGAATAAGGTTGCAACAACTTATTTAAATTATTTATTTTCCAGCTGGGCGTGGTGGCTCACGCCTGTAATCCCAGCACGTTGGGAGGCCAAGGCGGGTGGATCACAAGGTCAGGAGATCAAGACCATCCTGGCTAACATGGTGAAACCCGTCTCTACTAAAAATACAAAAAATTAGCCGAGCATGGTGGCGGGCACCTGTAATTCCAGCTACTCGGGAGGCTAAGGCAGGAGAATTTCATGAACCTGGAAGGTGGAGCTTGCAGTGAGCCGAGATTGTGCCACTGCACTCCAGCCTGGTGACAGAGCCAGATTGCCTCAAAAAAAAAAAAAAAATTATTTTCCAAGTCTCATCTGGGCCTCTATTTCTTTACCAGGCTCATTAATTGCACATTTTTATAGCATTTATTTATTATTTGCTTTTTTTAAAAAATAGATATGAAGTTTCACTACATTAACCAGGCTGGTCTCGAACTCCTGGCCTCAAGTGATCCTCCCATCTCAGCCCCTCAAAGTGCCGGGATTACAGGTGTGTGCCACCACGCCTGGCCTATTATTTGTCTATCTCACAAGACTCTATGCTCCCCGTGGACAAAAATCTTATCTGTTTAGTTTATCAATATATGCACAATGCCTGGAATGCACAGGGCCCGGAATAGCAGAGCATGTGCTCAGTAAGCATATGTGGGGTGGTGGGCATAGAACACACTGCATTACATGCTGACTCTGATCACACAAAATGTCCTGTGAAGTAGGTGTGATTCATATGAGAACTGTGGGACCCAGATAGGAAAGCCATTCCCCCAAGGCAGGGCACCAGTTAGTGTCCAGCCCAAGTTCCAATTTAAGTCTTGCTGATAGGCCCAGGGCCACAAGATACAGATGCTCAGCCAAGGAGGTGAGTGGGGGCTCGAATCTAGACCACTCTGCTCACCAGGTTTGAGCTAAGAGCTAAGACCGCCAAACAATAAGAAAATTTCCCAAACACAAGCTGATTTTAGATCAATCTATCAGAGAATGTTTTGAACTATGTAAAATAATATAAATGCATATGCACCTGCGTATATAGCTATAGATATAATGAGAACCGATAGATCTCTCATTGGTCAAGGTCCTGAGCAAAGCCAGATCCCTTAACTGACACTCAGTACCCCAGCCCATCTCATTTTCTTCCTTCTACTACTGCATTTGTGCACAAAGAAGTAAAAGACCAACAAGCATGGCACACTTAGTCTGAAAAGTATTTAAGGAACAGAGATTTATGTTGCAATAAGTTTGCTAATTTAGATACAGAAATGGTTGATGTCCTCTGGGTAGTCATAATTTTTAAATTAGCTTTTCCTTCTTTTTTTTCTTTTTTAATAGAGATGGGGGTCTTGCTATGTTGTCCAGACTGATCTTGAACTCCTGGCCTCAAGCGATCCTCACAGCTCAGTCTCCCAAAGTTACAGGCATGAGCCACTCTGCTTGGCCAGAGATTAACTTTTCTACTGGATCAACATTTTTGATCTCCTGAAAAAAAAAATCCCTTTTTATTTTGAGACAAGGTTTCCATTCTGTTGCTCAGGCTGGAGTGCGGTGGCACAATCATGGCTCACTGCAGCCTCAACCTCCTGGGTTCAGGTGATCCTCCCACCTCAGCTTCCCAAGTAGCTGGGACTACAGGCACACGCCACCACCTCTGGGTAATTTTTTATTTTTATTTTTTTTTTGGTAAAGACAGGGTTTCACCATATTGCCTGAGCTGGTCTCCAACTCCTGAGCTCAATCAATCCTCCCACCTCAGCCTTCTGAGTAGCTGGGATTACAACTGCAAGCTACTGCACCTGGCCCTCTTTCTCTTATTTGAATAATTTCTTTTTGTTAAAAGGCTCACCCTAGAGTCTGGAATTGGTAGGAGCAGAAAAAGAGACTTTCATTTCTTTATGTGATTTTAAAAATCCTGGATATTCTTTCTTATGTTTTTTAACATTTTTTATTTTTATTTTTGATTGACAGTACAATATGAACATAGTGTTTCAACATTTTAAAATAAAATCACTAAAATAAGAAAATTAATGTGGAAAAATAAAAAAGTGGGAGGCCAGGTGCGGTGGCTCATGTCTGTAATCCTAGCACTTTGGGAGGCCGAGGCGGGTAGATTGCCTAAGCTCAGGAGTTTGAGACCAGCCTGGGCAACACAGTGAAACCCTGTCTCTACTAAAATACAAAATAAATTAGCTGAGTGTGGTGGCACGTGCCTGTAATACCAGCTACTCGGGAAGCTGAGGCAAGAGAATTGTTTGAACCTGGGAGGCAGAGGTTGCAGTGAGCCGAGACAGCGCCACTGCACTCCAGACTGGGCAACAGAGCAAGACTCTGTCTCTACAAAAAAAAAAAAAAAGGTGGAATGTGTCCTTGGGGAGGTAGTACTAGTAAAGTGTTTGTACGAACTTGATTTTGAGATATGGAGCTGCACTTTGACCTCCAATAGGGGAGCATTCCATGGGCCTGGTCTCCAACTTGGAAATAAACTCTCTAAAGACATTATTTTCTTTGCTTTACACCTCATGTCACTTCTCTGAGTAGGAGGGATTCTGCTTTCATTTCTTTTAATGGTAACAGTGGAATCATTAACTCCCTACTAAAAGAGGCTTATTCAATATATTTTTGTTTGATTTGGGCTCCCTTTGATGGTGGTTAGTTTGATATTTGAGACTTTTTCCTAAGGAGACTATAAAAAGCAATCTAGACTTCTTCTCTTTGATTTGGGTTAGAACTAAGCGTGAGATTTCCAAGTGGAAAGTGAGCATCAACCTAATAAGCTTTTATTCTACATCGTTCAAAATGTTCTCTGTAAAACTGATCTAAAAATCTGCTTGTATTCTGGAATTTTCTTATTGCATTATCTTAATTTTTTTTTTTTTTTTTTTTTGAGATGGAGTCTTGCTCTGTCGCCCAGGCTGGAGTGCAATGGCGCAATCTTGGCTCACTGCAACCTCTGCCCTCTGGGTTCAAGCGATTCTCCTGCCTCAGCCTCCTGAATAGTTGAGATTACAGGTGCCCTACCCCACCCAGCTAATTTTTGTATTTGTAGTAGAGATGGGATTTTGCCATATTGACCAGGCTGGTCTTGAACTCCTGACCTCAGGTGATCCCCCCTCCTCCACCTCCCAAAGTGTTAGGATTACAGGCCTGAGCCACCGTGCCTGGCTGCACTATCTTAATTTTTACACCAGTCCTTTTACCTGTTCACTCCTTCCACAGCTATTTAAAGAGCACCCCTCATTTATGAATATAGGAACTGAGGCCTGAGAGTGGGTAAATAGCAGAGAAGCGATGCTAACAGGCACTCTTTCTGCTATACCAGTGCAGTCCAGGCAGGTTATGTATTCTCTGATTCCATTTCCCTTTTCTCTTGGGCACCCAACTAAACTCCATTTTCCAGGCCCCTTACAGTTTGGTTGAGTCCATGTGACTGAGTTCTGGCCAGGCACCACAGTGGCAGCAGGTCACACTTCGATGACCCAATCTAGCAGTTCTCAACCCATCAGACCAGCCCTCCTTCACCAGAACGACTCTTTGTAATGATACTTTTACTGTCCTGAAATGAATTTCACAGATAATAGGCTCTACCTACACATGTAATTTCAAAACAAGTCAACAAAAATCCTGAACTATATAAAAGAGGAGATTGCTTTATAATAAATGGACCAGTCAACACTCAGGCACAGCTGCAGAAGACAATATAGTGAGGTCCCCAAATACTTATACCAACCTGTACTGAACAAACGTCAACCGAAGAGAAGTCAGAGCATGAGCTGATCTGTAGCCAAGACCAGGAAAATGGAAGAGCAAAGGCACAAGTGAATGGTGGACTAAAAACCGCTACATTCAGAGAAGGCAAAACCTGAGAGGGAAAGGTACTTTATGTTGACAGGCAAAACTGAGTTTTGTTCCAGGTTCAGATAATTAATTACAAACAGGTTATTCACCTGAATGAATATCCAATGGCACACATGAACATCAAAGGAAAGGTCCTTCTGTGCACCTGGCTTCCCTGACCCCACCCACTAAACGCCCACAGCCCACCTCAATCGATATGACCATCTCCATGCCCTCAATGTTTTCCCAAGCCAGTCCCACAAGAAAGTGATAGCTTCATCTGAGACCTGCTGAGTTACCTCCTCCAAGTTCAATGGGCAAGCAGATCCCGGATTTTATTTAGCCCTGAAGTTAACCCAGTGAGATGGCATGGTTGGTATTATTTTCCTCATTTATCCACGTAGAAACAGAGGCCTGAGAGTGCGTAAGTAGCAGAGAAGTGATGCTAACCAGTGCTCTTTCTGCTATACCAGTGCGGTCCATGCTGGTTATGTATTCACTGATTCCATTTCCCCTTTCCTCTTGGGCACTCAAGTAGACTCCATTTTCCAGCCCCGTTATGGTATGATTGAGTCCATGTGACTGAGCTCTGGCCAGTGGAAAGTAGACAGAGTGATGTTGATGCTTCCAGGCCTGGTACCCAGCCCCAGCACCCTCTACACTGCCCTGGTGAAGGCAGTCATCCTCTTTTCCCTTTGCACAGTGATCCCTGGAGCCATGAGTTGAAGATGGGGGAAAGACCCTGGTCCCCTGCAGGACTGAGTGGAGCAAATACTCCTTACTCCCTGGCACAACTGCACTTGAATGTCACAGAACAATGCAGGGGATTTGTATTGAGTTAAACCACTAATATTTAGAGGTTAATTTATCACAAACGCAAGAGTTTCCATAACTAATGCATCCAGGGGTTCCCTGTCTATGATTTTAGACAATACCTGACAAAGCAGTGAGTAACTTTTAATCATTTACTGAGAAAGTTGTTCCTTTTGCAATGCTGTGGCGCCCATGAGAGAGTGGATAGAAAGAGGTAGCTTGTGTTTTCTAAACAACAAATACTTTGAATACACATACAAAGAAGAAATACAAATGGCCAACAAGCACATGAATTGATGCTTAACATCATTTCTCATTCAGGAAGTACAAATCCAAACCACAATGAGATATCACTTCACACCCACTAGGATGGAACAAAACAAAAACAGAAAATAACAAGTGTTGACGATGATGTGGGGAAATTGGAACCCTTTCATTGTTGGCAGAAATGTAAATGGTCACAGCTGCTATGGAAAACAGTTGGTTAGTCCCTCAAAAAGTTAAACATAGAATTATTGTATGACCCAGCAATTGCACTGCCTGAGTACATACCTGAAAGAATTGAAAACAGGCACCCAAACATATATTTGTACAAGAATGTTCACAGTAGCATTACTCACAAAAGTCAAAAAGTAGATATAGTAGCCCACTCAAATGTCCATCATTAGATGAACAGATAAAGAAAATGTGGTATATACAGGTACATACACAAAATATTACTCAACAATAAGAAGAAATGGTGCTACAATGGGGATGAACCTGAAAAACATTGCGCTGAGTCAAAGAAGCCATTCGCTAAAGACCACACATTGTATGGGTCCATTGCATGAAATATCTAGAACAGGTAAATCCAAGAACAGAATGAAGATTAGTTGTTGCCAGGATTTGGAGAAAGGTGACAATAGGGAGTGACTGCTTAATGGGTGCAGGGATTTCTTTTGGGGAAATAAAAATATTTCAGAACTAGACAGATGTGGTGGTTGTACAACATTGTGAATGTACTAAACACCACTGGACTGTATGCTTTTGAATGGTTAATTTTGTGTTATGTGAAATTCACATCCGTTTTTTTAAAAAGCTCACACTAGTGTGTGGTCTCCCCAGGTCTGTGTCCATCCAGACCTCAACAGTCGCTCCTGGGAGCGAAGGCAGTATCCAGCGAGACTCTGGCCTCTGGCTGGGCTGAGTGACTTCTTTTCCCCCAGTGCCTTTGAACTCTCTGCACCCAACTCAGCCATGAGCAATGCTGTCACCAGCAATGGGCAGAGGGGCTGGGGCAAGAGTGGGATGGAAAGAATACTGGATGTGGAGACCAAATGTGACAGTGTCCTTGCCCGGCTGCCTGCTTTAGATCTCAGGGGACATGCCATTTCCTCTCCGATAAACTCTAAGCTCTTAGGGTAACCCATGGACCTGCCTGGCTGGGTCTTTGCTGACATTTACAAGGAGCCTCTCCCGCAGCCCTCCAAGGGGTCCCTCTCCCCTGCAGGCTGCATGCCCAGTTCTCCCTGGACCTCCCCAACCCCCTCTCTACTAACCCCCGTTTGAACAGGAAGACACAGCCTGAGCCAGGTCTCCCCTCACAAATCTCCCCACCAGGGCTGGATCGCGCAACAAATAGAGCCGGCCCCAGGGCACTCGCCGGCAGGGCGCAGCCGGTGATCGTCACAGTCCTTCGAAATTCTTAAGATCTAGGTCTTGCTGCACCCGCACAACCTACAAACAGCGTCGGGGCCTTCTCTGCACCTCCAGTTCCCAGCTCACCTCCCTCAGTGTCACAGCCGGTTACCTTTCCTTCCTCCCTGGCAAGGGAGGGCAAGACTTGGGGCTTGCTGACTCCAGGCCCAGCCCAGCCCGGGGCACCCAGGAGCCCCTCAATTGCTACTCAAACAGACAAGAAGCGGCCCGAGTTAGTGGCCAGCTCCACCATGCACTACACATCCTGACCTCTCTGAGCCTCTACTGTCACTCGGGGTCACAACCCTTTCCTGAGCACCTCCCGGGGCAGGGGGCGATGACACACATGCAGCTGCCTGGGGGAGGCCGGCGGTGTCCCCTCCTTTCTGGAAAGCGGAGGGTCCTGGTGGGCTCTGGAAACGCAGCCCAGACCTTTGCAATGCTAGGAGGATGAGGGCGGAGACCTCGCGGTCCCCAACACCAGACTCCCGCAGCCACCGCGCCCGGTCCCGCCCTCCCCACTGCCCCCCCCAGCTCCCCGACCCAGGCGCCCCGCCCGGCCAGCTCCTCACCCACCCCAGCCGCGACTGTCTCCGCCGAGCCCCCGGGGCCAGGTGTCCCGGGCGCGCCCCGATGCGGCCGCGGCTGTGGCTCCTCCTGGCCGCGCAGCTGACAGGTAAGGCGGCGGCGCGCGGGCTGCCCAAGGTCTGCGCTCCCGGGGCCTGAGCGGGGAGGTGATACGTGGCTGTCCTGGCCCTGGTCCTGGCAGGGTGCAGCGTCGAGCCCGCGGTGGCGGGGCGCCCGGGAGGCAGCTTGGCAGGCAGGGTCCCTAAGGGTGGAAATAAAATACCCCCATATCGCATTACCCCGGGGGACCGGAGAGCCCCTGACTGAGGCCACCTCCCCTCAAAAGCCTGGACGCAGGAGAAGGGGAGGCAGTGAAAAGGGGAGCGAGTGAGGGAAGGAAAGAGAGGGTCACTGGAGGTCACCAGGGGAAGGAAACAGGTCCCTGCCCAGGGTCCCCGCAGGATGTGCTCGGAGGAAGGTTGGCCAGGCCGTGGGTCCTGTGGACACATTTTTATTACTTCCGGGGAAGTGTTTGTAGTACAATCAGACAAACATGGGGCGTTCTCAGTTCTCGGAGGGCTAGGGCAGGGTGATCCCTCTGGCTCCCGTTCTCCCTGATGTGGCTGGTGTTGGGTGTCATGGGTAGCGTGGCTCCCTAGGAAGCAGCCTGGAGGTTGGGTTGCTGGAGTTGGATGGGGCATCTGGATTGTCCTTCTGAGTAAGCCCAGCCAGACTGCCTTTTGGAAGAAGCCTCCACACACCCGGAAAACTGCCCAAACTTGTCGATTTGCTCTCGTGCCCAAAAAGCCCAAAGCTGGTCATCTTGCCAGGGGGTGACAAGGCCTGCCCGCCGGGGGTTCTGGCCCAGTGAGTGCCACATCATAAATAGAAAGAGCCCAGGCCGTTCAGAGCACTAAAGTCATTACTGATGAATCTAGAAACATCAGGTCCCTCTGAGAATGGAATTCCTGGGTTACCGAGGGGAACATGCAGTGAGGCCTGGCTCCATGTCCAGCACACAGCAGGGCCTTGGCCACAGCCCGGAGTATTCAGTTCCTAGGGGACAAAAAGCAAGTGGGTCCCGGGAAGAGCCGGGGTGTGTCTCAGCCAGGAGAGGAAATGCACACTCACAGCCCAGGCCTTGCTCTTACAGGAGTCGCTTCTGGGTTTTCCCTGAAGGGCTTCGGGCACCTGTGTACTTGCAGCCCCACTGTGTGCTCGTGAGCACATAACCACCATCGGGGAGAGGATTGCAGGTTTCTTCAATTCAGTGGTTCAAAGTCAGGTTCTGGGGTCCCACAAGCTGGGTTTTAATCTGGATCACTGTGTGACCTTGAGCACATCTTTAACCTTCCTGAGTCTCTCTTTCCTCATGGATAAAGTAGTTGCAAAACAGTATCTCCCCCACAGGATTTGGTGAGGATCAAATGAGACAATGTATGCGCCATGCCAGGCACAGCTCAATAAACTGGCATTATTGATTCTTATTAACTCCCCCAAGAAGTGAGTGACCCAAAGCAAGGAAAAACCTCTGCTCTGCTGGAACGGCAGTGTGGTGTTTGGGGAAACAAGAGGAAGTCCAGCAGCCACTTGTGCCCCAGGCATCATTTCCTTCTTGTTTTTATTTTTATTTTTATTTTTTAATAATTTTTTCTTTTCCAAGACGGAGTCTTGCTCTGTCGCCCAGGCTGGAGTGCAGTGGCGCAATCTTGGCTCACTGCAATCTCCGCCTCCCGGGTTCAAGCCATTCTCCTGCCTCAGCCTCCCTAGTAGCTGGGATTAGAGGCATGCGCCATCATGCCTGGATAATTTTTGTATTCTTAGTAGAGACAGGGTCTCACTATGTTGCCCAGGCTGGTCTCGATATCCTGAGCCCAAGTGATCCTCCTGCCTCGATCTCCCAAAGTGCTGGGATTACAAACATGAGCCACCACACCCGGCCCCATCATTTCATTCTTGATGCGAGCGAAAGCTAAGAGTGGTCCAGGAGCGAAGTCAAAAAGTCGAAGTTCATTTCATCAGTGTTGGAGAAGGCCATTATGGGGCCACGGAGCCTGAGCTGCAAGTGCAGGCAGGATTTTAAACATGAGGTGCTCAGTAAGCTGGCTCCTCTTGGGCACACACACATGCCCTCTGCCCCCCTCTGCCTACCCAGGTCTGTGTCCTCTCTGTGCCTCCCAACTCCTGCGTCTCTGCCCTGGCCTGCAATGTCTCCCTTTGCTCCACAGCCAAAATGAAGGGCTCACCAGGTCAGATTGTGTTTGTTGGAAGCTGTGCAGCCTTGGTGTGTATGGAACCTGTTCTGATCCTTCTCCTTGAGATTTAATTTACTTCCAGTAACAACCCTGTGATATGAGACACAGGGACAGTATTTACCTGTGTACATGGCCATACAGTTTGCAGTGTGCTTTTTTGGACAGCATTTCATTTATTTCCAACCCTCAGAGGCAGGCAGGACAACAGCCCCAAGCTGTCCTCCTTTCATAAGAAGACAGAGGCTCAGTGACTGGCCTGAGGTCTCACAGCTGGCACGGCCAGAGGCTGGGTTCTGGGCCGGGTCTGTGAGTCCTGCTCTAGCTCCTCATGAATAAGCCCCTGCTTGCCGGGTGCTTCTCGTCAGAGTCTAAGATGAACTCCCAGCCCTGCTTCTGTGGTGTCTGTCCTTCCACTGGGGAATACGGATCCAGTGACCCATCAGTTGCTGGGCTCGGGGGTCATGGGCTGTAATTGTACCTACCAGGGTCTGTCCAGCAACGGACAGACCAGCCACATGCTCTGCTGTGATTCTGGGCTCCTCTCCCAGCCTGTCCTGGGTCTCCTTCGGCAGTTTGGAGCCTACCGAAGGGCTGTACATCCAGTGGCAGCCAGGGGAGGTGAAAGGCAACCAGTTTTGGCTTCAGACTTCAAATCCTTGAGTTTGACTCCTAGGCCACTTACATACTGTAAGTGGGACTTTGAACAAGTAACTTCATGCCTCAGTTTCCTCATCTGTGTAACGAGGATTAAAAATCCTGGATCTATCCTTTTGTGGTGGTACATGCCTATAGTCTCAGCTACTTGGGAGGCTGAGGTGGGAAGATAGATTGAGCCCAGGAGGTCAAGGCTGAAGTGTACTATGATAGTGCCTGTGAGTAGCCACTCCACTCCAACCTGGGCAACATAACAAGACCCCATGTCTTTTAAAAAATTCCAAAGCCAGTTTGAGGCTTGATTGAGTTCCTTTATGCAAGGGCCAGGCATATAAGTACACAATAAACAAATGGCAGCTCTCTCCCCTGTACCTTTGTAAAGCTGAACTTAGCAAACACCTGCCTTCCAGATGATCTCCTGGGAGGTGGGGTATGTGAACTCTGAGTCCAGGAGCCAACAGCTGTGCTCAACACACTCCCTGGACCCAGTAACTGGGCAGGTTCTTCCATGGCTTTTCCTTTGACACTTGACTCAGTGTGACTGCGAGGTCCCACAGCTGTGGCTAGGAAAATGTGCGATGTCTCTGTTCTTGGCTTTTCCTAGTTCTCCATGGCAACTCAGTCCTCCAGCAGACCCCTGCATACATAAAGGTGCAAACCAACAAGATGGTGATGCTGTCCTGCGAGGCTAAAATCTCCCTCAGTAACATGTGCATCTACTGGCTGAGACAGCGCCAGGCCCCGAGCAGTGATAGTCACCACGAGTTCCTGACCCTCTGGGATTCCGCAAAAGGGACTATCCACGGTGAAGAGGTGGAACAGGAGAAGATAGCTGTGTTTCGGGATGCAAGCCGGTTCATTCTCAATCTCACAAGCGTGAAGCCGGAGGACAGTGGCATCTACTTCTGCATGATCGTCGGGAGCCCCGAGCTGACCTTCGGGAAGGGAACTCAGCTGAGTGTGGGTAAAAAGCAGGCTCAATGCTATCAGTGAGCACCGACTGTGTGCCAGGCACGTGCCAGGCACTGGGACCACCAGGCTTCAGTGTGCCCCTGTCTGCAGCTGTGACTAATGGCACTGCTGCTAATAGTAACAGAAAGAACATGTGGAGACTTACCCAGGCCAAGCCCCTCCAAGTGTTTACATAGTTAGCTTCCTTAATGCTGCCAACCACCCTGGAAGGTAGGTCTATTACCTAACCACTTTAGGTGGGAATAAGATGAAATTGGAAGAGACGGGTCAGCGTCAGAGATGAGCATTGTGCTTCTCTTTTTTATTTATTTATTTATTTTTTTTGAGACAGAGCCTCACTGTGTTGCCCAGGCTGGGGTGCAGTGGTGCGATCTTGGCTCACTGCAGCCTCTGCTTCCTGGGTTCAAGTGATTCTCCTGCCTCAGCTTCCTGAGTAGCTGGGATTACAGGCATGAGCCACCACACCTGGCTAATTTTTTGTATTTTTAGTGGAGACGAGATTTCACCATGTTGGCCAGGTGGGTCTCGAACTCCTGACCTCAAGTGATCCACCCACCTTAGCCTCCCAAAGCGCTAGGATTACAGGCGTGAGCCACCGTGCCTGGCCAGGCATTATTCTTCTTATGGGGACAGGGCAGTGCGGTCCTTCAGGCCACATCAGGGACATTCGAAGCTACGGCTGGATTGGGCTGAGCCCCTTGGCCTTATAGTGGTGTTAGAAATCCCCAGAGTGTGCACACAGGGAAAGGAGGCCCTCACTGCCCTGATATACCCAGTGAGGGCATTTCTAGGGGCAGTGGAGGGACAGGTGCCCTTATGTTCTCTGTGAGGGCCTACAGCTCGAATTCATACCTGAGTCGAAGTTAGTAAGGAGACTGAGCCAGGCCCAGCTCTGCTTGCAAACTTGCCATGCTTTCTCCCCTGGGCCTCAGTGTTCTCTTCTGTGTCACACGGGGGTGCTGATGGCCTCCATGACCCACTTAATCCCAGAGAAGCTGCAGACCTCTGACTTAAATCAGCAAGTCCAGCAGACGCACATTTCAAGCCACAGATGAAATTCTAAATTTAAAGTCATGTTTAAAAAAGCAAAAAGAAGCAAGTAAAATTAATTTAAATAATGTTATATTTAACTCAATTTATTAACTATATTTTCATCTCAACATGTAATCAATATAAAAAGTATTGCTGAAATATTTTACATTCATTTTTCATACTAAGTGTTCGATGAGCATTTTACATAAAACATATGGCTCATCTCGATTCAGACTGGCCACATTTCACGTGCTCAGCAGCACCTGTGGCATATTGGACAGAAGGCATTTAGTTATGGGTGGTAACTCTCACAGCCTGCCTCTGGCTCTAGCCCCACCTCCAGCTTGGCCCAAGGCTGGAGCCAACCCCCTCCAGGGCTCCCACTGCCCTGCTTCCTGCTCACTTGAGGGCACTAAAAGCCACAAGGGGACCCAGAAATTAGACCACTCAGCGTGAGGAAGTGCAGGGGCAGCTGGGGACAGCAGCACGATTAGGAAGACACAAACCAAAGTGATGCCCCGCCACCTCTTGCTAGCCTGGGAGGGTGTATTGCAGGCAAGAAGCTGAGGCATCCCTTCACGTGGGGATCCACTGATTTTCGTATTGAAAAATGGACTTTGGGAGTTTGGGGTTTGGGGTTTGGCTTTAGCTTATTGTTTTTGTCTCTGTAAGCCCCACACCTTTCCACTCATGAGATTTCAGAGTCTGAGAAGGTGGAGGGTACAATAAACACAGCTAGTTTCCCGCCTTCCCACCGCCTCCATCCCAACCGCACTCACTCCTGACTTCAGTGTTTCCAAACCCCAAACCCCTCCCAGCACTACAGGAATGTCAATGCCTCTCTCCAGCTCTGGTTTGCAGCCAAACCTGCTTCTCCCCAGGGCTTGCAATCAGACCTTCTTCGGAGCCGAACCCCACCTTCTCACCCAAGAAAGGCCTTTTAGAGGACAAAGCTGGGATGGTTGAGAAAGTGTTTGGGGAGAGACAGGGCCTTTTTCAGGCCCTTAAGTATATCATGGGCTCGAAGTTTTATTCCTTTTAAGAACAGAGAGGGAGAGATTAAACTGGGGGCTCAGGAGGAATCCAGGGGGACCTGGCTCTAGGCAAGAAGAATTTAAAACAGAACAGTCCCCCAACCTGAGTCTCCCCTAGACCCAGGCGGCGGTGCCCAGCCAAGGCACTGAGGGCCCAAAGAGTTGGCTCCCCTCTGGGCTCACCACTGACCATCTGAAAGACGTCCCTGCTTCCTCGGGTAGAAAATAAGTCAAACAGAACTACTCTAGGGCCGTGAGGATTGAAGGAGGCAACACTCCCAGGAGAGGGCCAGGCTCGTTGCACCCTCTCCGACCCTGCTGATGACAGTTTCCTCTTACAATAGTTGCCCTCAGCACTATGATGACCCAGGGCCTTGGGTGCACCTAAAGTGTTCAACTTTTTGTCAGAAAATCTTTGCACGTGAGGTAGTGTGGCAGAGCGAGAAGCACAGGTTCTAGAATCAAGGTCTTTTGCTGCAGATACTGGCTCTGCAGCCAGTGGCTGTCTAACTTTGGGCACATTGTTTCAGCTCTCTGAGCCTAGGCTTCCTCCTGGATAAAATGGGGACAACAGTGCCTGCCCCAAAAGTTGTTGTGTCCAGTAAACTTATGCGGAAAGGCTCAGCACTGCTCCCCACACATGGCTGGAGCTTAGTGCACTTTCATCCTAGTTGCTTCTTCCCATCAATGTCTTGAAGCAGACAAACAGATCGTGTTCTCTCCGCTTTCCAGAGGAGGCTCAGAGAGGTGAGGGGTTAAAATGTCTACTTTTATATAGAAGATGCCAGCCCAAAAATGACTGATCTGTGGGCTTCCCCTGCCTGTTCCCCCTTACAACCCCCCAACACCTTTTTTTTTTTTTGAGACGGAGTCACTGTCACCCAGGCTGGAGTTTAGTGGCAGGATCTTGGCTGACTGCAACCTCTGCCTCACAGGTTCAAACGACTCTGCTGCCTCAACCTCTTGAGTAGCTGGGATTACAGGCACGTGCCACCACGCCCAACTAATTTTTGTATTTTTAGTAGAGACGGGGTTTTGCCACGTTGGCCAGGCTGGTCTTGGATTCCTGACCTCAGGTGATCCACCTGCCTCGGCCTCCCAAAGTGCTGGGATTACAGGCGTGAGTCACCGCGCCCAGCCTTAATATTTCTTTTCTTTTCTTTTCTTTTTTTTTTTCTGTCCCCCTGACTCTAGAGTTTAGGTTCATGGTGTCTCCTTACTCCCTCTCCTTCCATTTTGGAGAAAATCAGTGCAGAGAGATCTGTTTCCTTAACCCACAAAGGCAAGGGTTGGACTCTGTGGCCAGCAGTGCCCCCTTCATCCCCAGTAGGCATCAGAGCCACAGCTGTCTTCCTTTGCTCTGGGTGCCGGCCCACTGCCCCTCCCAACACTTCAGCAGGGGTCACTGGGTAAAAATGAAGGAGAGGGGTGACCCATCCAGGAGTCAGGACAGGGGCTTGGGGTCCCAACACAGCACTCACCACTTGGGGCTGCAGGGGCCAGCTCCCCTTGTCTCTGGTGTTCACCTTTGAAATTAAAGTTTGAGACTGAACTTCCCTTAGCTCTGATATTATATATATATTTTAGGGCCATCTGAGAAGGAAAACCAATCCCCAAATATGACACATGCGTGGTACTCTACATGCAGAAAAGGGCACCCCCTCCTTCCATGAGCTTCCTCCATGTGCTTAGGGAATGCCGAGTTGGGCGGAGGGGCTCGTTGTGCCAAAGGCTGGGCGATCCAGCCCTGGGGCTCAAGGTCTTCAGCCAGGTGGAGCCACATCTACTGAAACTTTTTTTGGACACACTGTCCCTTTCATTCTCAGATAATCCCAAGAAGGAGGTGGCAGTTATCATTATTTCAGCAGATAAGGAAATCAAGGCACAGAAAAATGCTATGACTTGTCCCAAGTCATACAGCGGTTAATCAGGGGTGTAGGTCGGCCGGGTGCGGTGGCTCGTACCTGTAATACTAGCACTTTTGGAGCCCGAGGTGAGTGGATTGGAGTTCAAGACCAGCCTGGCCCACATGGTGAAACCCCGTCTCTACTAAAAATACAAAAAATTAGACGAATGCAGTGGCACGACGAATGCAGTGGTACGCGCCTGTAATCCCAGCTACTCTGGAGGCTGAGGCAGGATAATTGCTTGAACCCGGGAGGCAAAGGTTGCAGTGAGCCGAGATCGTGCCACTGCCCTCCAGCCTGGGCTACAGAGCGAGACTTTGTCTCAAAAAATA
Source organism: Homo sapiens (assembly GCF_000001405.40). Classification (NCBI taxonomy): domain Eukaryota; kingdom Metazoa; phylum Chordata; class Mammalia; order Primates; family Hominidae; genus Homo; species Homo sapiens. Next base: position 106,495,547 of record NC_000002.12, read on the forward strand.
AATAAATAAAAAAATAAAAATAAATAAATCAGAGGTGTAGGCTCTGCTCAGTTCTGTGTGGCTCCAGAGCCTTCCTCTCTCCAGGACACAAAGCTGAACCCCATCCCTAGGCCCTCACCCCTTTCCCAACATCTGAGAATTCAGAAAGCAGATCAAACATTCTATTGCTCTGTGACCTTCAAGCCCTGTAGCAGCCTGGGGAACAGTCATAAGGACTTCAGTACTTGGATGTAAGACAAATTTTGTTCATTTGTTCATTTATTTGCTCTTGAGACAGGGTCTTGCTCTGTCGCCCAAGCCAGAGTGCAGTTGCATGATCATGGCTCACTTCAGCCTTGACTTCCCAAGCTCAGGTGATCCTCTCACCTCAGCCTCCTGGGTAGCTGGGACTGTAGGCATATGCCACCACGCCTGGCTAAACTTTTTATTTTTTGTAGAGAGGGGGTTTCACCATGTTGCCCAGGCTGGTCTCAACCTCCCGAGCTCAAATGATCTCCTGCCTTGGCCTCCGGAAGTGTTGGGATTCCAGGCATGAGCCACCGCACCCGGCCATAAGACAAAGTTTTGTCTTTGAGTCCACGTGGTGTTCACTTGGCTAAGATATGTGTCTTGCTTTCTTTCTGTAGTTGATTTCCTTCCCACCACTGCCCAGCCCACCAAGAAGTCCACCCTCAAGAAGAGAGTGTGCCGGTTACCCAGGCCAGAGACCCAGAAGGGTGAGTTCCCTATCCCTCTGCACCCTCAGAAACAAGGCAGACATCCCCTTGCCCTCCCTCCCTCCCCTCCTTCCTTCCCCAGGCACTTTCCAAGTGTCAACTCTAGAGCCTATCTCCCCAGCCCAAGCTAGGGTCAGAAAGGATGCTGAGTGTGATAGCAACTCACAGTCTCGTGGGAGACAGACTCGTAAATTGTTACTGGACAAAGCTTAATGGAGGAGATCTCCACCCACACCCCTGCACACAAATGTCCACAGCTTCATTATTCATACTAGCCAAAAGCAGAAACTACCCAAACATCCACCAGCTAATGAGTTGATTAACAAAATGTGGCTTATTTATTATCGTGGAATATTGTTTGGCCATAATAAAGAATAAAATGAAAGGAGCCAGTCACAAAAATCCATATACTATATGATTCCATGATTATGGAATATCCAGCATATGATCCTCTGTAGAGACAGAATGTAGATTGGTTGCTGCCTAAGGCTGGGGGCTTGGGAAAGAAATGGGGAGTGATTCCTAATGGGTATAAGGTTTCTTTTTAGGGGAATTTAAATGTTCTGAAATTACATTATGATAATGGTTGCACAACTCCATGAATACACTAAAAACCATGACATTGTACACTTTAAACAAGGGGACTTTATGAGTAAATTATAACTCAATAAAGCTGTTAACAAACAAAAAATCCACTCAAAGGACCAGCACTTTAAACTTTTCCAGTTTTGGCCAGACGTGGTGGCTCACACCTGTAATCCCAGCACTTTGGGAGGCCCAGATGGGTGGATCGCCTTGAGCTCAGGAGTTAGAGACCAGCCTGGGCAACACGGTGAAACTCTGTCTCTACAAAAATGTAAAAAAATTAGATGGGCGTGGTGGCACATGCCTGTAGTCCCAGTTACTCAGGAGGCTGAGGTGGATGCCTTGAGCCTGGGAGGTGGAGATTGAAGTGAGCTGAGATCCTGCCACTGCACTCCAGCCTGGGTGATAGAGCCAGGCCCTCTCTCAAAAAAAAGTTTCCAGTTTTAATACCTAACAGAGGACCTAATACACAGTATGTGCTAGTTCATGAATACATGTTTGTTTGCAAATGAACACATTTGCTTCTCTATGCTCCACCAGACACCTCAGCTGGAGTGTACGCACATACACACACACACAGACACACATGCCCATGCACACGCTTTCCTTAAACCCATCAGCCCAAACGTGTTTCTGGAAAAATACTGACCTCAGCCCAGCAAAAGTCACTGGTGACAAACAGAAAGTGCCATCTGCTGCTACCCAGAAAACAAACCACAAGCAGCCCCAGGAGCACTGCCTCACACTGCTCAGTTTGCTTTGTCTTAAATATTTTAAGTACCAGAAATTATTGAGGACAGTACTGAATAGGATCTGGGAGACCAGGGTGGGAAGCTGCCGTCACATGAGGTCACAGTAAAAAGAAAATCAGAACCAATGTACAGAAGAGTAAAGTCTTAAGGAGCTTAAGAGTAACCTTATTTTACAAAGTCCCATGCCCTGACCCCTTCACCTAAACGATTTCAGGCAGACTACAATAAAAAGGATATAAAAGGCAAATACAATAGAGCCACTAAGATGAGGGCACAAGAACTGGTTGTGTGCTATGGCTGTGGAGAACCCAGCAACATCAGTTTAAACAAAGGGAAGACCCCAAGTTGTATGGCACCCCAACCCCAGTGATAGAAAGAAACAACCTGCCACCAAAAGAAGAAACCTTCATCCTAGCACTAAATTCTAGAAGCAATCTGCCCATTCATCTTCATGTAAGGACAGCTGAATGACGGCAAACTCACTCATACTTTTATAAATGATGGCAAAAACAAAGGTCTTCAGATTTCTTGCATAATTTCTTTTCTTTCTTTCTTTTTTTTTTTTTGAAATGGAGTCTCACTCTGTTGCCCAGGCTGGAGTGCAGTGGCGTGATCTCAGCTCATTGCAACCTCCGCCTCCCAGGTTCAAGTGATTCTCCTGCCTCAGCCTCCAGAGTAGCTGGGATTACAGGTGCCCACCACCACGCTTGGCTAATTTTTGTATTTTTAGTAGAGGCAGGGTTTCACCATGTTGGCCAAGCTGGTCTTGAGCTCCTGACTTCAGGTGATCCACCTGCCTTGGCCTCCCAAAGTGCTGGGATTACAGGCGTGAGCCACTACGCCTGGCCTCTTGCATCATTTCTTGTACTAACCCTCAGTAAATTCCCAGGGCAAAATGCAAACCAAAGATTAATAGGTTGTTAAGAATAACCCGGATGTGTGTGAAGGTGACCTAGTGGAGTAAGGCTGGGGATGGGTGTGGGGAAAGTAGGTGGAGGTTACACTGAGGAGAGTGGCCCTGGGTCAGTGTAGCCTAGTGGCAAGTCAGTCAGGCCTAGGTCTGAATCTCTGTCTACCACTGCCTGTACTATGAGACACTGAATAGGTGATTCAGCCTCTGTGAACCTCAGTTTCCTTGTCTGTGAAATGGGGATGCAGGATTAAATGAGATGCTATTATACACCAGGCACTCAGAGCTTGTGGGGCGTCCACACAGACCTCAAAGCCTGTGATCATGAATGAAACCCATGGGGTCACTGAGAAGGCACTGTCCCTGAGGCTTAGGGCTGTTCCTAAGACAACACCCTTAGGTGCTGGGGGACCATTTCTAAACCATGGACTCAGGAGCAGAGTGCAGATCCAGAGCTCAGGAGACCCTGAGGCCCCAGTAAGATGAGGAAGGCTGGGCTGGGGGTGTCATTGGTGTGGCTCTGGCAAATGACCCCTTACCCAAGCACGTTATTTGCAGCAGCAACTTTTCCCGGAGAGTCACATTTTGGATGGGAGACAGTGCTCCAGAGGAGACCTGTAGCTACATTGCTGGCCTCCACAGTGGTCTTAACCATGACCTCTCCTCAGGAAGGAGCCCTGCCGCCCTGTACATCCCTGCGACCTGCACCCACCTCCATTACAGTTTTTAAAAACTTAGTTGAGCTAGGCATGGTGGCTCACACCTATAATCCCAGCACTTTGGGAGGCCAAAGCTGGTGGATCACCTGAGGTCAGGAGTTCGAGACCAGCCTGATCAACATGGCGAAACCCGTCTCCACTAAAAATACAAAAATTAGCTGGGCATTGTGGTGGGCACCTGTAATCCCAACGACTTAGGAGGCTGAGGCAGGAGAATCGCTTGAACCCAGGAGGTGGAGGTTGTGGTGAGCCGAGATCACGCCATTGCACTTCAGCCTGGGCGACAGAGCAAGACCCTGTCTCAAAAAAAAAAAAAAAAAAAACCTTAGTTGAGATATAATTTGCATACCGCAAAGTTCACCCATTTTAAGCATACAAATTCAATGATTTTGGGTAAATTTACCAAGTTGGGCGACCGTTACCGTAATCTAGTTTCAGAAGGTTTCCATCACCCCAGTAAGATTCCCTGTGCTTGTTCACAGCTCATCTCTGTTCCCAGCCCCTGGCAGCCACTAATCTACCGTCTACCTCTGCAGATTTGCCTCCCCAGGGCATCTCATAGAAGTGGAATCACACACCATGGGGTCTTTCATGCTTGGCTTCTTTCACTTAGCACCATGTTTTGAGGTTCATCCAGGTTGGGAGAACAAATAGGAGGTGAGAGGGAGCCCAGCAGATGCCCTCAGCATCTCAGAGGGGCCCCTCATCCAGCCTCCCTGTCCGTGTATGAATCTCCTCTCCACACCCCAGCCATCCAGCCTTGGCTTGTTCCCCTCTAGTGACAGTGGGCTGCCACCCATGTAGCAGCCCGCTCCCTTCCCTCCTGTACCTCTCATGCCCTCATGCAGCTGAGGTGGGCCCCACAGGGGCTTGGAACTCGGAGGATCTGTGTCCACACCCTGGTCCTGCCTTTTAGTAGCTGGGTGACCTTGGTTATATAATTTAACCTCTTTGAATCTTGTTGTTTTTGTTTTTTGAACTGTGAAATGAGAGGTAAAAATAATGGCAAGCCAGGCACGGTGGCTCACACCTGTAATCCCAGCACTTTGGGAGGCCAAGGCAGGTGGATCACATAAGGTCAGGAGCTCGAGACCAGCCTGGCCAACATGGTGAAAACCCATCTCTACTAAAAACACAAAAATCAGCCGGGTGTGGTGACAGATGCCTGTAATCCCAGCTACTAAGGAGGCTGAGAAAGGAGAATCGCTTGAACCCAGGAGGCAGAGGTTGCGGTGAGCCCAGATCTCGCCATTGCACTCCAGCCTGGGCAACAACAGCAAAACTCCGTCTCAAAAATAAATAAATAAATAAATAAATAAATAAATAAATAAATAATTAAAAAATACCAATACCTTTCTTCCTCACAAGATGGGAGTTTGCATTTAGTATGTACTTAGCACATATGTATTCAGTAAAAATTCTCTCTCTTCCTTGACATCCACAATGCTTTCCAATTTTCCGAACCTCGAGCCCAAATCTGCAGCCTTGCCCTTTCACCCATGGGCCCTGCTTTGCCCCTCAGCTACTCAAGGGACCAGCCACAGGGGCCTGAAGGGTGTCAGAGGAGGATTTGGGACATTGATAGTGTAAAGTCTGCTGTTTAAATAGCACACAAAATGGACAAAGGAAAAGATAGTCAACTCGTAGAAGAAAAATCATACAAGTTCCCAATATATGAAAATAGGCCAAAGCTTATAAGAAATTAGGGAATTTAAGTGAAATAACATTTTCCCCCACTTGACTGGCAAAAACTAAAACATTTTGATGATATCAAGGGTCAGCAAGGTGCACTATTGGCGGGTGGGGACGGAAGTCAGTGCCGCCTTTTAGGGAGGCATTTGACAGCATCTGTCACAATTTAAAATGGGCAAAGTCTGGGGTTTAGTAGTTCCCGTTCTCAGTATTTACCTCAGGAAGGCACCTTTGTAAGGAAATATACAGGTTGTTTTCTGCAGAGTTATTTGTAAAAGTAAAACACAGGAAACAATCAAAAGGCCCACTGATGACAAGTAACTCATGGTACATCCATGCTGTCAGATGTTACTCTGCTGGAAGAAAGAACACATTGACTAAGTGAAGGAAAAAAGGTGCATTGAAAAAATAAAGGTACAAAAGAACAATTTGTACAGTATAATCCACTCTATATATTTTTTAAAACTATATGTATTTAAGGCCAGTTGCGGTAGCTCACACCTGTAATCCCAGCACTTTGGGAGGCTGAGGCGGGTGGATCACTTGAGGCCAGGAGATTGAGACCATCCTGGCCAACGTGGTGAAACCCCATCTCTACTAAAAATACAAAAATTAGCCAGGCATGACGGCGGACGCCTGTAATCCCAGCTACTTGGGAGGCTGAGGCAGGAGAATCGCTTGAACCCAGAAGGCGGAGGTTGCAGTGAGCCAAGATTGTGCCACTGCACTCCAGCCTGGGCGACAGAGCGAGACTCTGTATCAAAACAAACAAACAAACAAACGAACAAACCCTATATGTATCTATAAAAATTACATAGGCATGGAAAGAGAAAGTTACTAAATTATCAATGGTGATTAATTCTGTGAAGGAGCAAAGATGTCAGGGAACACTCTAATCCTATATTTAAATGTCTTACAATGAAAATATATTCAGCTATTTCTTGTGAAAAATAAAAGTTTTAAAAATAAATAGTAAAAGACTCATTACCAGGCATGAAAATTGTCTACTTCTTAAAAATTTGAATGTGGGACATGAAATTTTATAATAAAATGATTTCAATAATGTTTAAAGTGCTTACAAAGACTAGACGATGGCTGGACATGGTGGCTCAGGCCTGTAATCCCAGCACTTTGGGAGGCCAAGGTGGGCGGATTGCTTGAGGCCAGGAGTTTGAGACCAGCCTGGCCAACATGATAAAACCCTCTCTCTACTAAAGATACAAAAATTAGCCAGGCATGGTGGCACATGCCTGTAATCCCAGCTACTCGGGAGGCTAAGAATGAGAATCCCTTGAACCCAGGAGGCGGAAGTTGCAGTGAGCTGAGAATGCACCACTGCACTCCGGCCTGGGTGACAGAGCAAGACTCTGTCTCAAAAAAAAAAAAAAAAAAAAAAAAAGACTTGAGGAAACATACATTACATCGAAATACAAATGGTGGTATTCTCTGGGAGGTGGGGCTTCCAGTTGAATTTTTCGCTCCTTGTATTTTTCTGCGTGTCTCACGCAGAAAAATGTTCTGTGTTGAACACATGTCACATGTGTGTTTTCCAGGCCCACTTTGTAGCCCCGTCACCCTTGGCCTGCTGGTGGCTGGCGTCCTGGTTCTGCTGGTTTCCCTGGGAGTGGCCATGCACCTGTGCTGTGAGTTGTCTCCTCTTGGGTTGTTGGGTGTCCCTGTTTGCTGTTTGAAGTGTCCCTGGGATACTTTCTTCTCTAGGGGAGCAGAGCAGATGGCAGCCTGGTGGGAATTTGCCTCAGAGAACCTGCGGTATTTCCGGAGGTAGTTCTTGGCCTGGGGCTACGCAGCCAAAACCAAAGACCACCCTGTCCCTGGAGTCAGGCAAACCTGGGTTTGAGTGCAACGTGGCTGTTTCCTGATCCAGTGCCCCGGTCTCTCTGAGCCTCGGCTGCCTCAGATGGGGGTAGGACATTAGCTACCTCCCAGAGTTGCTGTTTGTAAATTCCTACCCCAAATGCCTGGCACTCGGCACGTGTCAGTGAGTGGGAACTCACGTGAGCAGTTGAGACCAAAGCCCAGTGTCCAGAAAAGTTTGCCTATGGGGTTTGTGTTGTGTTCCTAGAAGCTAGAAATCCTCTCCACGACACCGATATTGATGAGGCTGTGGGAAACAGAAATGACTGCTGCTCCCAGCCACCCCAGAGACTGGACTGTTTCCTTCTATGGCCCCCACCCCAAGCTCTGCACAGCACTGGGTTCACAAGAAAGACGGGGAGCCGGAGGGGAGGCCTGCATGGCTGCCCTAGAGCCCAGAGCCCAGACTCTACCCCGGTTCTTCTGCTCACCTGTGCCACCTCGAGCCAGCCCCTTCCCCTCTCTGCGCATCTATAAAGTGGGCAGGTGGGACAGCAAGGGCATGAACTAGATCAGTGGCTCTTAACTTTTGTAGGTCACAGACCCCTTTGAACATACGATGAAAATAACGGACCTCTCCCCACAGAAATGCACCCAGGAGCATACTTTTGCCTACAATTGTTCCCCACAGAGGGGCCCATGTACCCCATTCTAAGAAACCCATAAATCTCAGTGGTTTGCAAACTCTCTCGATCAAGGAAGGACCTCATTGGTAAAATATTTTGAAACACATTTAATAACATGCATAAAATGTTAAATAAGCGAATACAGCTAATTGAATATTATAAAGTAAATGCAGCAGTTGGCTGTATTTACTTATTTAATATTTTATGTATGTTATTAAATGTGCTTCAAAATGAAAAGCAAGTTGGGTGTAGTGGCAAGTGCCCGTACTTGAGAGGCTGAGGAGGGAGGATCACTTGAGCCCAGGAGTTCAAGTCTAGCCTAGACAACATAATAAGACCCCATTCCTAAAAAAATAAATGAAAATCAAAAGTAATAAAGGCTGAAATACAAATGTCAATAGACATGCTTTTATTTTCTTCCTAACTCCCAGTGGGAAATCTCGCTCATCCTCTGAATGCAATTGCCCTAGCCTGAGACTGCCTGTCTCTGGGACCTTTCATGTCTGACCTGCTGTGAAGGGCAAGCAGGTGTGTTTAAGGACACAGACTCTGCAGCTGATTAATTGAGTTTGAATTCTGGCTTTCCCACTTACTAGCTGCATGACTTTGGGCATGTTATCCAGTAATTCACTCACTCTGTGTCTCAGTTTCCCACATATAAAATGGAGATCTTAAAAGTAGTATCCAACTCAGGTTTTCAGTGAGCATTAAGGGGATTAAAATGTGTAAAGTGTTTGGGCCAGGGTCTGGGACCAGGGAGGTGGGCTGAGGTGTCAGCTGCCCCTGTGACAATCCTCCTTGGCCTCTGGGGCTCAGCACAGTGACCCACAGCCCACACTGACTGGCGCCCTTGCTTTCCTCTTCCAGGCCGGCGGAGGAGAGCCCGGCTTCGTTTCATGAAACAGTAAGTGTATAACCTGGGTGTGGCCTTGGGTTCCTCAGCCCCTGCTGCAGCTTGCAGCCTCTAACTGCGGCGAGGAGCCAAAGTCAGACCTCATCTTCCAAAGATCATAGACTCGGCCGGGCGTGGTAGTGCACACCTGTAGTCACAGCTACTCGGGAGCTGAAGCAGGAGGATCACTTGAGCCCAGGGGTTCAAGGCTGCAGTGAGCTATGATGGTACCACTGCACTCCAGCCTGGGCAACAGAGTGAGACCCCATCTAAAAAAAAATTTACAGACTGTATAAATAGGTGGGGTGATAGAGTTCAGGAACCTAAGAGATAACCTAAACAAACAAAAACCTGACCAATAAGTTAAATGTATTTCAACAACATTCTTAGCTCTCCTGAGGAGAGCAATCAGGCTTTGCATGCACAGAATACCGCAGAGTATCCCAAACTCATCCCATCCGTTATTTCATCCCACCTATTATTTCATCCCCTTGGTTCTGTGTGAGATAAGGGGTTATCACCCTCATTTGACAGATCAGTGGAGAGACTACTGGAATCGGATTTGAAGACCAGCCTCTTCCACCAGCCATTGCTTTCCTTCCCTAGGAGCTGCCTTTGTCCCACCTGCCGCCCTCGACCCCATCTGGGTCCCAGGAGTTGACAGAGTCACATAGCACTCTTGGGGCCCACTAAGCTGAGAAAGCGCCTGTACTTACCCTGGGCTGGGCTGGGACCTTTAGTGGTGGCCATTTAGTCACCACCTTTGCAAGTTGCTTTTCCCTGGTAGGGCAGTGACATTAGGTCCTGGGTCTTTCATGAGGCTGTTGGAAGCCATCCTGGGCCAGGGCAGCATTCCTGCATTTGATTTTTGTTCCTCAAAACAGAGACTGTTTCACATCTGCCTATCCAGTTAATTACATTTGATCCTTAGAACAACCCCCTCTATACAGAAATGTTTGGGGGAGCAAAAGTACACAACTCTAAATTGACGAGGGCAACAGGTTCTCTTGCTCAAAAGCTCCAGCTTTAGGTGGAGACAGGGCTGGGTTTGAATCCCGTCTGCCAATCACCATGTGACAGCCAGCAAGTCACTTCATGTCTCCAAGTCTCGGATTTCTCGTCTGTTAAATGAGCTAACAGTGCCAATCTCACAGTCAGTGTGAGGGCTCACTGGGGTATTATCCTTAAAGCATGTGGCCCCAGGACCCCTGAGTCAGAGCACAAGCTCAAGTCACTTCAGTAAATTCCACTCTGCAAGTGCAGCAACGGACAAACAAAATGTATTTTTGAATACTCTAAAATTGTAAATAGCCATATAAATTCATATTACTATATGCTCTGCACTGTTGTACACATTATATTTATATCGAGAGTGGCTTAAACATGCCTGCTGGATTTTATGGGCAATTTTCAATGATATTTTAATTGTGTACAATTTTCACCTTGTGTGTTGGATTTAGAAGCTGCCCCCTACCCAAGAGATAATAACTTGAGTGTAGCTGTCTCAGGCCAGACCTCTAGAAAGTTCCATTCAAGGCCGGGTGCGGTGGCTCAAGCCTGTAATCCCAGCACTTTGGGAGGCCCAAGGCAGGTAGATCGCCTGAGGTCAGGAGTTTGAGACCAGCCTGGCCAACATGGTGAAACCCCATCTCTACTAAAAATACAAAAAATTAACTGGGCGTGGTGGCGGGCGCCTATGTAATCCCAGCTACTCAAGAGGCTGAGGTAAGAGAATCGCTTGAACCCCGGAGGCAGAGGTTGCAATGAGCAGAGATCACACCATTCCGCTGCAGCCTGGGCAACAAGAGTGAAACTCTGTCTCAAAAAAAAAAAAAGAAAGTTCCGTTCAAAATCTCTCCCATGATGACCTTTCATGGAAAGTAAGTCCCTCTCTGGTACTAACTGTGGTCTGGGTCTGTCCCCACCCCTTCATTTTAACTTGCTCCCCAGTGATCTGATGCCAGTTTTGGGGAGGCTGGATGCAGGACCTCATGCTTTTGCAAGCCCAGGGTCAGCTTGAGGCAGGGAAGGGGCTCTGGGTGGTCGTGGGGGGACCCTGAGACCTCCTCACTCTCTTCATTTTGAACAGACGTACTCTCTTCTACTGTCTGGGTTTACACTTACCTGTAACATGTCATTTGAACAAAAGGGTTTGTGGCTTCAGAAAAGCTTGAAAACCACCTCTGGTTTTGCTCTCATGATCCAGGCATGGAGAAAATAGCCTGTGGTGCTCACAGATCTGAGTTGCGATTTGAGGTAGTTGTTCCCCAGCCTCTAACTGTCCTTAGAAAATCATCCCATCCGCAGGCTAATTTCTTCTGGCCCCTTGATATAAATTTGTGATTCTCTTAGATTATTTTAGAGGTACTACAGGAAGTAACCCAATTCAAAGCTACCGTTCTTTGAGCTGCAGTTTTGTTTTGTTTTGGTTTTTAGCCTTAACAATCTTTTTAATGACTAAGATGGGCCCTAGAAACATACTAACAAAAAACTCTCGGCCCCAGGCTACTTGGAGTAGAACTCTGCATTCTCACTTGCCATTTGTCTCTGTTACAGGAAATTCAATATCGTTTGCCTGAAAATAAGTGGTTTCACAACTTGCTGTTGTTTTCAGATTTTACAAATGAGCAGAGAATACGGTTTTGGTGTCCTGCTACAAAAAGACATCGGTCAGTAACGAGCACGATGTGGAAAAATGAGAGAAGGGACACATTCAACCCTGGAGAGTTCAATGGCTGCTGAAGCTGCCTGCTTTTCACTGCTGCAAGGCCTTTCTGTGTGTGACGTGCATGGGAGCAACTTGTTTGTGGGTCATCGGGAATACTAGGGAGAAGGTTTCATTGCCCCCAGGGCACTTCACAGAGTGTGCTGGAGGACTGAGTAAGAAATGCTGCCCATGCCACCGCTTCCGGCTCCTGTGCTTTCCCTGAGCTGGGACCTTTAGTGGTGGCCGTTTAGCCACCATCTTTGCAAGTTGCTTTGCCCTGGTAGGGCAGTAACATTGGGTCCTGGGTCTTTCATGGGGTGATGCTGGGCTGGCTCCCTCTTGGTCTTCCCAGGCTGGGGCTGACCTTCCTCGCAGAGAGGCCAGGTGCAGGTTGGGAATGAGGCTTGCTGAGAGGGGCTGTCCAGTTCCCAGAAGCCATGTCAGTCTCTGAGGGCTTCCTTTGGGGCCGGGAACTTGCGGGTTTGAGGATAGGAGTTCACTTCATCTTCTTAGCTCCAATTTCTACTCTTAAGTTTCTCAGCTCCCATTTCTACTCTCCCATGGCTTAATGCTTCTTTCATTTTCTGTTTGTTTTATACAAATGTCTTAGTTGTACAAATAAAGTCCCAGGTTAAAGATAACAAACGGGTCCTGTGACATAAACGTACGAAAGCCCATCTACAGCAAAGACATCAGTGCTCAGTGGAACAGAAACCAGAAGGAGAAAATTTGTACATCCTCCTTTTGCACCTGAGATCCTCATTTGCCCGACATTGTAGGTGTGGAGAGTCCTAGAGAGGCTAGGAAGCGCCCAGGGCACCCAGAGCCAGGCTGCAGGTGCCTCAGGCCCCTCTCCCAGCCCACTCCCAAGCTGAACTAGCACGTGTTCATTTCTACCGCGGGTTGAACCGCAGGGATCCCTGGCTTCAAGTCAGGCACCAAACAGAAGGTAGGAGGCATGAGGGGTTCTGTCACATGTCTCTTCATTTTCTTATTGATTCTTAGCCTTGACAGTTGGAGAAGGAAAAAGCAAGGAGAAAGTGCTGAGCAGGAGTGGAGAGTGAAGAGCAGGACCTCGTGCCTGGGTTTGAAAAAGTGCCTGAGACCCATCTTAGCCGCCCCTACCTGAGCTTTAGCAGCCTAGGAGCTATTGCACCATAAAACACTGCAACCTGAGGCTGCATTAACAGAAGCACCACGTCCAGGTCCAGGGAGAATCCAGCCTCACCTGCTTCTCCTGGCCAGCTCAAGGAAGGACATTGACAAATCAGGTTATGTTCAGTTACCTGTGACAACCACAGAATGTAAGAAATGTTACAAAAAAAACAGGAAAGGAAAGACGACTCTGGGGAAGGGGCAGTGGGACCTTCTCCTGGCATCTGGGGTGCGGCCGCAGCAGAATGAGGTGTGGTGGGTGGAGTTAGAAAGGCATAGATGCAGTGTTACCGGAAGGAGGGCCTTGAGTGTAAGTTGTCCAGGTCCTTGGCATTTTGAACAAAGAACTGAACAAAACATACAAAGTAATAAAGGAATAAACGCAGCAAAAGGAAGAATTTATTGAAGTGAGAAAGCACTCCACATGGTAGGAGTGGACCCTAAGCAGATAGCCCATGGGCCCAATTGCAAAGTTTTCTGGGTTTTAAGTACCCCTTTTGAGGTACCTGTCGGCTACCCCTTAATCTGGGTGAAGGATTTGGTCCATGGCTAATGAAAGGCTGAGGTGAATTGACGCCCTATGCGGATGAAGGGATGGCCCGTGCTTGGTCTGTGGTCAATCCAGGGCAGTCTCCCTTTCCATCTGAGATGCAGTGGAAGGGGGAGGGTTGTAGGGAGAGTAGCCTTTGATCCTTGGTTACTCAGTGTGGGGAGATGGGGTTTTTCCTTTTGGTGTACGTTAATTGGCCTTAGATGCCCTGCCCCCAGACCCAGGTGTTTTCCGTTTGCTCCAGCTTTGAGAAGTCAGCACAAATTGGCCTCAGATTCCCTGCCCCCAGACGTAGGTGTTTCTCCTTCATTCAGCACGAATTGGCCTTAGATGCCCTGCCCCCAGACCCAGGTGTTTTCCATTTGATCCAGCTTTGAGAAGTCAGCACAAATTGGCCTCAGATTCCCTGCCCCCAGACATAGATGTTTCTCCTTGATTCAGCACGAATTGGCCTTAGATTCCCTGGCCCCAGACCCTAGACTCCTGCCTCAGCAAGAGTTGTTCAAAAGAAACAAAAGCTCTGCCCATCAGCTCTGAGGACAAGGGACAGGCTGCCTTCCAAGGCTGAGGGGAGGGGTGAAAGAATTGGGGTCAGCTGGACCAGACTCCTCTAGGGTTCGTGTTTCAGGTGGGCCCCTCACCCGGCCCATCACAAACAAATAAGAGATTAAGGCCTGCAGTGCACGTGGTCTGCCCTCCTTGAAGGCTCACACCCAGTGCACAGCGGAAGTAAGAACAGGCCACAAGGCCCCTTGTCCCACTGCAGGCTTTGAAATTTGACCATCTCCCTGCTGCTGTCTTTGCAATTGCATGTACTTGTTCACAAGTTCTCATGGGGTTGGGCTGGGGGCAGGGGTGGTTTGTGCTCCTCCGTCAGTTTTCTGTGCAGCAGGCACCTGCCGAGGCGGGCTCAGCTCCGGCCACCCAGGGAGCTGGAGCAGGCTGGGCTGCCAATGGTGGGGGCTGCAGTGAGAAGGTCTGCACCCAGCACCTGACCTTTGTTTGAAGAAGGAACTGAGCTGCTACTACACTCTATAGGGCCATTATGATGAAATATGCCCCCCAAACTCCATCCAGCTATCTTTTGACTAGCAGTTCCACTTGTTGGCATTTATCTGAAAGAAATACATCAAAAAGTGGCATGCACAAAGAAATACGCATCAGATTGTTCCTTCTAGTGCTGCTTACTAGCTAAAAATGGGAAATAATCCAAATGTCCATCAAAAGGGACTGGTCAGATAAATTCAGACACAGTCTAATAAGGGGGTTTAGGCGGCTGCTAAGGAATGAGCTAGATCCATATATGCTGATATCAAATGATGGTCATGACAAATGCATATATTTTTAAAACATCTGTATAGATTATTCTTAATACAATATATGGCGCAATACGTAGTCACTGTTAAAATTCAAGCACAGAAGAAAACAAGCAAAACAAATATATGTTGTTAGAAGTTAGGATACAGTTACCCTTGGTCCAGTGATGGTCATTAGGAGGGAGCATGAGGTTTGAAGGTGAGCGTTTCTGCTTCTCAATCTGGGAATCACTTATATGAGTGTGTTTCATTAGTAAAAGTCATCAAGCTGTACACTCAGATATGTTGACTTTAGAGCTATGGATATAGATGTAAATTATACTTCAAGAAAGAGACTTTTTAAAATCCAAGTACAGAACATTGTAGAACCGTGTAAAATTGGTATTTGGAAGTTTCTTCAGCAAGCACATGGGATTACAGCTCATGCCTGTAATCCCAGTACTTTGGGAGGCCCACACAGAATGATCACTTGAGCTCAGGAGTTTGAGAGCAGCCTAGGCAACATAGCAAGACCTCGACTCTACAAAAAATTTTTAAATTTTTTTCTGGGCATGGTGGTGCTTGCCTGGAGTCCCAGCTATTAGGGAGGATGAGGTGGGAGGATCTCCTGAGCCCAGGAGTTTGAGACTGCAGTGAGCTGTGATCACGCCACTGCACTCCAGCCTGGGCAACACAGACAGACCTTGTCTCAAAAATAAATTTTTTCTAAAAAAAGTTTCTTGTTTTTTTTTCTTCCCATATTTTTTAAAACATAAAATTGAAATCTCGAGAATATAATACATAAAATAGAGAATATAGAAAATTAAATCTTCTAATATTGTTCTGCAGATTTGATCTTTTTTCTCTAATAATAAATCAAGGCCTCCGGGTATATTTGTTTGTATATGTACAGGAAAAGGTCTGTAAGGATTTACTTTCAGCTGTTAATTGCAGTGACTCTGGGGAATTTCCACTTCTGCTTTGTACAGTTCCTTGTGTGAATTTTTACATCATGTATTACTTTTGTAGTTGGGGAAAAAGCAATTAAAAGTTTGGAAAAAAAGAACCTCTAGCCATTGTTATAATAAGAAGTTGGAATCAATAAAAATATCCACAAACGAAAGATTTATTCATAAATTAAAAAAATCTGAACCATGGAAATCACGGTGAGGCAGGTCCGAGGTGGCCAGACAGCACAGCCTGGGTCTTCACCAGCTGTAGACTTTGGGCGAGCTACATTTGCAATTGCATTTACTTGTCTGGAAGTTCACATGGGGCTGGGCTCGTGGCAGGGGTGGTCTGCACTCCAGCAACCTTAGGTGAGCCTGGGTTCTCTGCTCTGAAGGAGAACATCTATAGTACTCCCTTTTCTGTGTTTTTCTGTGGACCTTAATGGGTCTGGGAGCAGCACTGGTGTTCTCCCCTCCCCCCGCCCCCTTCCTTTCAGTGGGAAGTAGCCTGCAGGTGTGGAGCCCACCCCGGCCTGTTCAAAAGAAGAAGGGGGGTCCTACACCACCCCCTCCCTTTCATCCTTACTCATCCTCACCCCCGCCCCGCAGCTTGTGTCTCTACCTGTAGGAAGTGGGCAACTTGTTTTCAGAAAGTGATCCCCGACCCCGCGTGGGCTGCAAAGCTGATCCGAATCTACCACCCAGTCAAAGGGAAAGACAGAAAGAGCCCTGTCTTCAGAGGCCTTCCAAAAGATATTTCCTCTGTCGCTTCTTGGGAAACCTCCTTCGATGCGTCACTGACACTCCCGGGGAACCGTGAGTCACTGGTTCCTGGAGTCCTCCCAGTTACATAACTCAAACAGAAGGAAACCATATTCCTCAGCCCTGCGTCGGTTTGAGATTCACAGAAATATGCACGACACGTGTGATTCCTGTAAAGCTGAAAGCAGAGGCGCTGAAAAAGACACTTACATCCTCCACAGTACTGTTGGCTCTCCTGGATCCTGCTTTTCCCATTAGTTTACTGCCTTTCACAAGCGAGTACCCTTTTAAGAGCTTTGCTTAGACTTCTAAATTTGAAAGGAAACCATGTCCATTCTTCTACGTAATTTTGTTGTTGTTTGAGACAGGGTGTTGCTCTGTCACCCAGGGTGGAGTGCAGTGGCGCACTTATGGCTCACTGCAAGCTCTGTCTCCCCGGCTCAAGCGATCCTTGCACCTCAGCCTCCTGAGTTTCTGGGACTATGGGCATGCACTACCACACCTGGCTAATTTTTTATATTTCTGGTAGAGATGGGGTTTCCCCATGTCACCCAGGCTGGTCTTGAACTCCTGGGCTCAAGCAATCCATCCGCCTCGGCCTCCCAAAGTGCTGGGATTACAGGAATGAGCCACAGCACATGGCCTTTTCATGCATTTTTAATTGTAGACCATTTCCACTCCTGTCCCTATTTATGACTGAACTAATACCCACAACTCTGCACTCAATTCTCCTCTTCCTTGGGTGTGTGTGTGTGTGTACAGTGCTCTGTTGCCCAGGCTAGTGTGCAGTGGGGCCATCATGGCTCACTGCAGCTTTGACCTCCCTGACTCAAGCAAGTAGCTGGGACTACAGGTGCTCACCAGCATGCCCAGCTAATTTTTTTTTATTTTTAGTAGAGATGAGGTCTCGCTATGTTGCCCAGGCTGGTCTCAAACTCCTGAGCTCAAGCGATCCTCCCACCTTAGCCTCCCAAAGTGTTGGGATTACAGGCATGAGCCACCATGCCCAATCCCTTAAGTTTCTTGATGCTGGTTCAAATATATCTATTTAGGGAAACTTCTGTGTGCCCAGCCAGCCCTGTGCTGGGACTAGGGGTGCGGCATGGCCAGGATAGACATAGTTGGGCCCCCAGGGCTCGCAGTCTTGCTTACAGCCTCTAGGCCTCAGTTCCCTCCCTAGTAGCCCAGGGCCGAGGCCTGTAGGGGTCCTCTGGCTCTTTCCTGCCACCTGTACAAATCACTCCTAAGCCTGAGGCCAGAATTGAAATGAATGAATGAACAAAGCAAAAGGCTCAGATAGAAAGTCCTTAGGCCCCCACAAGCTGAGAGCACAGCCCTCCCTCTCCACTGCCCCTCCCAGCACCTCCTCTGCTGGCTCCCCCACCCATCCGCCCACCCACCTTTCTGTGCTCCTCAAGGCTGTGAGGACCACTCGGGATGTTTACTCTGCCAAGTACAATGGACAATCCCCTTAGAGAACCAAGTTCAACAACTCAGATCTCAATCAGGCATGTGTTTCAGACACTAAAGATTTGGCTCAGAAGATGTCCCTAACCCCACGGGCTTTCATTCTCATGACCAGGGGGACACAGGCTCAAGGCTGGCACTTGCGTGGCTCCAAGAGTGAGTGGCCTCAGTGCCTCACTGGCTGCAGCCTCGTGCCAGCCCCGGACAGACCAGAGAAAGACCCGGGTGATGCCAACACAAGCAGAGGGCATGGATTGCCTTCTCAAAAAAGTTGTGTTTGGCTGGGAGTGTTGTTCACAGCCTCTTACAGATTTTGTGGAGGTCTCTGCGGTTGGGTGAGGGCAAAGTTACGAGGGGAAGATGTGAGGTGGTGTTGGTGGAGGGGTGGAGGCTCCTCTTCCCCACACACCCCTCCCCAGCACCCCTTCAGCATCCTGCAAGCCTGAAGCTGCCTGCTGGGCTAGGCCTGCTGTCTGGGCAAGACCAGACCAGGCAAAAGGGAGGCCATGACTCC
Organism: Homo sapiens; assembly: GCF_000001405.40. NCBI lineage: Eukaryota > Metazoa > Chordata > Mammalia > Primates > Hominidae > Homo > Homo sapiens. The sequence continues at coordinate 106,513,714 of NC_000002.12, forward strand.
CACCCCTCCACCCTTACCTCAGCCTCAGCCAAGTTTGGGGGACATGGGGAGGGGAGAGCAACAGTAAACGTGATCAGCACAAAAGGTGGGCCTACCTTCGGATCACGAAGGCTCTAGCTGGGCCAGGGCAGAAGATGGAGTTTGGGTTGTCCCCGCCTCTATCTGAGTACCTACCCTGCAGCCACACTGATGCTTCTGGTTTGGAAACAGGGAGGGAGGGTGGCTTCCACAAGACAAGCAGGCTTTGGTTGAAGTCCTTTTGTGGGCCCTGCTCAAAGCCCAGCTCCCTAGAAACTCAGAAAGCCATGTTGGGTGGTCTATCTTGTGGTGTAGGGGATGAAGGAGGAGAGAAGAAAGGCTCACAGTGGCTCAGACCAGAGCCAGTGCTCACTCTGGCAGTTCCATCTTCCTCCATCGAAAGTCTGCCAGCCCCACCGAGCACAGAAAGGAGCTTATCAGTGGGAGAGGGAGTAATACTGTCGGCCTTTTATCTGTGTAATTTCAGAGTGCGCCTGTGTGTGCTTCTGTGTGTGGCAGGCGATTTGGTGGGGTGGGTGCAGGGGAACGCTTGTCTTTTTTTTTTTTTTTTTTTGAGACACAGTTTTGCTCTGTTGCCCAGGCTGGAGTGCAGTGGCACGATCTCAGCTCACTGCAACCTCTGCCTCTCGGGTTCAAGCGATTCTCCTGCCTCAGCCTCCCAAATAGCTGGGATTACAGGTGCGCGCCATCATGCCCAGCTAATTTTTGTATTTTTTAGTAGAGACGGGGTTTCACCACGTTGGTCAGGCTGGTCTCGAACTCCTGACCTCATGGTCCTCCTGCCTCGGCCTCCCAAAGTGCTGAGATTTCAGGCGTGAGCCACTGTGCCCGGCCTGGAACGTCTGTCTTATAAATTTTTCCTAGTCATTGTGACATACAGGGCTGTTCAATGGACAGCTATCCCACGTTTGAGCCTGGTCAGACGCTCCTGATGGTAACTCCAAACCTCCCCACCCTCTCCCCCACACTGCTTTTAATATCCAAGCTCAGTTAAGACTTTTGTGTGTGTGTGTGTGTGTAAGAGAAGAAAGCTGATTCACACGTTCTCATTTCTTCTGCCATGACCTCTACACCAAAATCTTTTTCATAGCATTCTTTATGACTCTGGCATGGTTAAGCATACATTTTCCAGAAAAATAATAATCTGTCATTTGCATACAAATGTCACTGAGTGAGTAAAAATGTAAAACAGTGATGCTGCTCACTGCTGGAAAGCTTGTGGCCAAGGGCACACAGGTGTTGCTGATGCTGGAATAATCGAGCGCTACAGCTTTGTGGAAAACAGTCTGCCTCTCCCAGTCCACTGACTCAGATGTTAATCTCCTTTCGCAACACTCTTACAGACACACCCAGGAAAAGTACTTTGCATCCTTCAATCCAATGAAGTTGACAGTTAATATTAACCATCACAGCACCTCTGCTTTCTCCCACCACAACCCAAGATGGGACAGATGAGCATTACTTTTCTGGGATGGAGGCTGTCCTTGTGTAGCTGGGTTTGTGACTGCCCAGCTAACACTGGACAGATATTAGGTGTAGCCTATTTCCTGGTACCCACTCTTGAGGAGCTTATTGCTCTTTGTCATAGACTGCCCTGTTTGTGCTCCCCACAACATTCATGTTGAAACCTTAGCCCCCATGTGATGGTGTTTGGAGGTGGGGTCTTTGAGAGGTAGTTAGGTTTTGATGAGGTCAGCAGGGTAGAGGCCCCATGATGGGATTAGTGCCCTTAGAGGAAGAGGAAGAGACCAGGTTCTTTCTGCTCTAAGCCATGTGAGTATACGGAGAGAAGGTGCCATCTATGAAGTAGAAAGTGGCCCCATTAGACAACAACTGTGCCAGCACTTTGATCGTGGCCTTCCCAGCCTCAAGAACTGTGAGAAATAAATGTTAAGCCCTCCAGCCTATGGTATTTTTGTTATAGTGACCCAAACAGACTAAGACTTCTCTCAGGAATCTTTCTACACCCCCATGTCTGGAGGGAAGGTCAACAGGATCAACAGCATCAAGAAATCTGAGCCTCTTCTGAACACATCTCCTTCCAGAATTGGAGATCTTTACACACTTTAGACTCCTCTTTTTTTTTTTGAGATGGAGTCTTGCTCTGTTGCCCAGGCTGGAGTGCAATGGCGTGATCTCAGCTCACTGCAACCTCTACCTCCAGGGTTCAAGCGATTCTCCTGCCTCAGCCTCCCGAGTAGGTGGGATTACAAGCACCCACCACCATGCTCAGCTAATTTTTTTTTTTTGTATTTTTGGTAGAGTCGGGGTTTCACCATGTTTGTCAGGCTGATCTCGAACTCCTGACCTCAGGTAATCCACCCGCCTTGGCCTCCCAAAGTACTGGGATTACAGGCGTGAGCCACTGCACTGGGCCTGGACTCCTTTTTTGAAGGTTTGAGCATGTGAGTGATGGGAGCCCTTTCTGCCCCACCCCACCGCCAGCATCTCACTTCTGTCTGTGCATTCCTTTCCCAGCAGCACCAGGGGGACATCCACAGTAGCTTTGCTGAGTTCACCAACCAAAGGTACTTACAAATCCTGAAGCGAAGGAGCACCTTTCCTTCACCCTGAGGGTGAGTAGGAAGGCTCACGTGGCCTCTGGGTTTCCGAGGACATGACATACCCAGGCCTAAGCTGACCCGATACCTTCTTTCCCGATGTACCCCTGGTTTGTGAAAATATTGAGTCCCAATTTGATAACACCAATGGCCGGTTTTATAGCAGTATGTGTCCTGGTCAGGGTTCTTTCTGTAGTATTTATCCCTCAAGCACTTATTGTGAGTGATGCTGTCAAATAAATAGAAAGATGAGAAGTATAAATATTGTCTTCCGGAGTGGCTGTGTATGGCAATGGTGTTTCTCTGACACCATTATCGCCCTGCCTGTTAGCACTTACTTGTGAAATCCAGAGCTCTTTCGTAAGCCTTTGCTTTGTTTGGGGTTTGGGGCACTTATTTTTTGGAGTGTTTGTATACCACAGCCATAAGTTATACCACACATATAACTTGTGTGCATATTTTAAATAACATGAAATTTAAAAAATGGTTGACTGGAACCTAAACATTTCAATTCTAAATGATCTTTCATTACCAGGCTTTTTCAAAATTTATTATTCAGAATTTATTAATATGCATTATTCATATTTTTATTATAATATATGAAATAGTATATATTGATATATTATATATAACATGTACTTATATAATATATAATATATATTTCATATATGAAGATTAATACATGATATATTTTATATATTTCATATATGAAAATTAATATACATGAAATAAATATTTCATTATATTATCGATTTCATTAATAATATTTATTAATTTTAATATTCATTTATTACTCAAATTTTATTATTATTTAATTTCCTAGCTTCCTTCCATATTTTTTGGCACATTCCTTTGCTCCTCTCACCCCCAGCTTGCTTCACTGATCCTGGGCTCCTGCTTTTTCTGGAGAATAGTCTTGTTTTTCCACATTTTATCCCTTTGGTCATGCCGACTCCCCCAGCCTAGGCATTTTTGACATCCTCTCTATTCGGGACCCCATTTCAAGTTACAGACTAAAGGCTTTAGATTTTCCCCATACCCCGAACTATCTTTGATTTCTCGCTTCTTTCTGCTTAGGCCCTGCTGACATTTTTGTTTCTTTAACAGTATACCGGCCACGCCACTTCCATGCTAAGACGTCTCCGCTGACTCTCGGTTGCCTGTGGCATCTCACTGTCTCAGGTCACCAGACGGGAAATTAACACCAACATGAAAATCCAAGTCTTAATTGCGCAACATTGAGCCCCCAACTCCCCACAGAGAGCCCCGTCAGCCTCCCTTCCCCAGTTCTCTGGGGTTGCCCAGGGGAGGTTCACAGGTAGCCAGGCACTCAAAAATGTCCCTTCCTATAGTTTTTAATAACAGCACGCTTTGTTTATAGCTTCTGTTTTTTTTTTGTTTTTTTGTTTTTTGTTTTGAGACAGGGTGTCGCTCCGTCGCCCAGGCTGGAGTGCAGTGGCGCGATCTCGGCTCACTGCAAGCTCCGCCTCCCGGGTTCACGCCGTTCTCCTGCCTCAGCCTCCCAAGGAGCTGGGACTACAGGCGCCCGCCACAACGCCCGGCTAATTTTTTTTGTAATTTTAGTAGAGACGGGGTTTCACCGTGTTAGCCAGGATGGTCTCGATCTCCTGACCTCGTGATCCGCCTGCCTCGGCCTCCCAAAGTGCTGGGATTACAGGCGGGAGCCACCGCGCCCAGCCTGTTTATAGCTCTTTTAAGGAGCTTGCAACACTGTAACAATACTGAGGCTTCTGAATTCCTGGGCCATAGGGATGAGATTTTCTTCATCCTGCTATTTCATACCCAGCCTAGCATGGTGTCTTGTATGCAGTGGGTAGGTAGTAAACATTTATTTGAGCTTTGAGATGGTAGGAGGGTTCCTTGACTTGGGCTTCTTTAGAAAATGAAAATAATATTTTCTACTCTTTCAGAGGAAAGAAAAGAGGATTAATTACGGCAGCTTTGATAGGAGGACATTATTTAGGAGTTACAAAGCAATCAGTCAGTTGAGAATTGCACAGTAGGTAGGGCATAAGATGTAAAGACATAGCTGAAAATACTGAAAGAGAAGGAGCAATAGCTCAGCAATATTAATCCTCATTTAGGAGTCCAGTTTTTCATTAGATGAAAAAGTGATAGGTTCTGAGCCCTGGAAGATGAACTTTCTTTACTTAATCAACTCATATTGGTTTCAGAATGTTGATTTGTTAGAGGAATACCGAGTAGTATAAATTATAATACCAACTATTCTCTGTAAGGCAAACCAATATTATTTTCTAGAAAAAATGAGAAGTTAAAATTAATTAATTCATCTCTCCCTGTCCTCATCCATCTATCCATCCATTCATCCATGTATCCATTCACCATCCATTCATTCCTTCATTCACTGCTCCATCTATCCTTTCTCCCTGTCTCCTTTTCTCTCTACTTATCCCTCCGTCTATCATCCACCCATTCCTTCATATCTCCATTGCTCTATCCATTTTCCTTCCTACATTTTCTCTCTCTCACTATCCATCCTTCCATCTTTTTATCCATTTATCCCTCCACTCATTGCTCCGTCCTCCCTTCAGCCCTCCAACCATCCCCTAAACTCCTCCATCCCTCCATCCCTCCACTCATTGATCCATCATTCATCCATCAATTCCTCCATCCATCTATCCCTCCATTCATTGCTCCATCCTCCCTTCATCCTTTCAACCATTCCATCAATCCCTCCATCCATTCATTCCTCCATTCACTGCTCCATCATCCATCCATCCATCCATCCATCCATCTTCTATAGGCCTCATCAAGATGTTTACAAATTAGATGATATTTTTAATAGTACACTTACAACAATAAGATTACTAAGGCTTTAGTCCTTGTGACCTGATTGCTGGACTCCTCCTCAAAGGTTATCCCAGGCATTTCTGAATAGCCTCCAGCATGGTGCTCAGATTTATTCATCTCTCTGGCCACCTTGGGGGATAGTGGGTGATCACTGTGTGATGACTGCCTGGCTGTCTGTGCCTGCTGACCACTACTGCTTCAGTGAAACTGTCTCCAGGGAAGAAACACATCCTTTGACTTCTGAGTCTCAAACATTGGCCAGTTATTTTCTTAATTCCTCATAACATCACTGAACCAGGCCCTGTATTGAGGGTTCGGGGTAATATAAGGGAAGCGCCTTACAGAGAATAACTTTCCAGTGAATGTGGCCTGATGGAGAGCGTTCCTGACTAGTGTTCAGCCCTGATGCCTAAGGCAGAGTGAGCCCAACAACCCTGTGACGAAGACCATGCTCTGAACTTACACCCCAACGCTGAGACCCAAACACATGCAGGCCCAGAGAGCAGAAGTGCTTCCCCGTCCACCTTCGTGTAACACAGGGGTGTCCAATCTTTTGGCTTCCCTGGGCTACACTGGAAGAAGAACTGTCTTGGGCCACACATAAAATACACTAATACTAACAATAGCAGATGTGCTAAAAAAGAAAAAAATTGCAAAATAAACTCAATGTTTTAAGGAAGTTTACAAATTTGTGTTGGGCCACATTCAAAGCCCTCCCAGGCCACATGGAGCCCGTGGGCCACAGGTTGGACAAGCTTGGTCTAAGACATATTTTGTGTACCATTCTGTTCCGCTTGATAGCAGGCTTATCAGCAAGTTAGCCAGCGGGGACATCCATCACCTCAGGAAAGCCCTGCCTACACCCGCTGGGATGTGGTTTCATCCTATGGCCCTAGTTAGACAACTGAATCACCCCAGGACAGTGTAGACCAACTTCAGTGTGGGCTTAGAACATTTTACCTCCAAACACTCTCTCTCACGACACAGTGTATCCTTGTCTAAATTATAGTTCATTCTTCATTTTATAGTTCTATATTGGTTTATAAACATTTATATACTCAATGATTATTGAAAGGTTTCTGAGACCCAATAAATAAAATCTGTTTTCCTTAGCCATTTGAAAACATGAGGAAACAAAGGAATCCGCTGATGGAGACTGAAAAATGACAGAAGGTGCTGTGAACCACAGATTCCTCATTGCCTGCCTGCCCCACAGTCCTAAGGCCATCTCAGGCTTCCCTACCTGGGGCCTTTCCAGAATCATTGAGGCTCGGGGACCAGAGACACTGGGGGTAGGTGGTTCTCAGAAGGCCAAGGGGGATTAGGTTGCACATGGCCTGGCTGTCTTTCAAGCCTCCTGAAGTGGCCTTGTTGTCTGCGATAATATCCGAGGTTTGTTGCCTCATGCCAAGAAAATTAAGGACATGAACACACACAAGGAGTGAGTTTAAGAGTAGAGGATTAGGCCGGGCATGGTGGCTCACACCTATAATCTCAGCACTTTGGGAGGCCGAGGTGGGCGGATCACTTGAGGTCCAACATGGTGAAACCTGTCTCTACTGAAAATACAAAAAATTAGCCGGATGTGGTGCCCCACACCTGTAATCCCAGCTACTCGGGAGGCTGAGACAGGAGAATCGCTGGAACCTGGGAGGTGGAGGTTGCAGTGAGCCGAGATCATGCCACTGCACTCCAGCCTGGGCGAGAGCGTGAGACTCTGTCTCAAAACAAAACAAAACAAAAAAGAGCAGAGGTTTAAATAGGCAAAAGAAAGAGAAAGGAGTTAAGAGTGGAGGCTTAATAGGCAAAAGAAAGAGATAGGAGAACAACTCTCTCTCTAAGAAAAAATTGCAAAAAAAAAATCATAATGTTTTAAGGGAGAGAGAGAGAGAGAGAGAGAGAGAAAGAGAGAGACAGAGAGAGAGACAGATGCGAGAATGGAAAGAGATAGATGCCGAATGGGAATCGGATTTTATAGGCAGGCTTGAGGAGGTGGTGTCTGATTTACATAGGGCCCACAGATTGGTTGGACCAGGTGTGACGTTTACATAGTGAGTGGAGAAGCTGGCCACCACACTCTAATCGTATTATGCAATGGAGCCTTCCACTTGGCCGGCACCATGTTTTCTGCTCCCTACTGCACAAGTGGCTGGCAAAGAGAAGGGAAGATGAAGCCACCATTTTGATCATGCCTAGTCTCAGGTAGCCTTTTCCTAATGGCACGGCTGCTAGCATTCACCTGTGAAAGCTTCGAGCTTGCGTGTCTATGTCTGCAGCTCAATTTTACAGGCTGCTCTTTGTTAGAAAAGAAAATGATATGGGGGCTGCTTTTCATTAAAAGGAAAACCTTACCGAGGACTTCCTTACCCTCACTGTCTGCCTGTATAATTTATTCTTAACTCTTATATCACTCCAATCAGATAAATCCCACAAGAGAAGTGACTGAGAACGTGGAGGGAGGCCTGGTGCTTTACCCATGTGGCTAGAGTGAGCAGCACCCTGGTTTGTCTAGGAAAGAGGTGGTTTCCAGGAGGCAGCACTTTCAGTTCTGAAACTTGGGCAGTCCCAGGCGAATCCGGAGAATTTGGTCACCCAGGTTATGGAAAACCCTCCCCATGATGGGAATGATCAGAAATGGGGAAAGATAACTCTAGTCCTAGTTTTCCCTATATTTTAATTCTCTGACACTGTAGTTCTCAAACTTCAGCTGCATCGGCGTCCCCTGGGGCTCCTGTGAAAACACTGGTGTCTGGGCCAACCATGGAGTGTCTGGGTGGGGCCTGGGGGTCTGCACTTCTAACAGTTTCCCAGGGACAGTGCAGTTGCTGGCCTGGAGCATGCTCGGCTGAGGACCGCTGCTCTGATGCGTGGAGAAGAAACATGAAGTCCGCAGCTGCCCACATTCAGGGAAGATCTTTGAAAGCTCTTCAGACAGTGCCACCCATCTTCATGAAGCTGATCCCCGGATCTCACTCGCTTGTTTCTCCTCCTTCACCTGCTGATGATCAATGTAGACTTTAGCCCTCAGAAGCTCTCAAAAGGTCAGTGCCATTACATAATTAAATTTATGGCTCTCCTCTACACAGGGCTAAAAAGTCACTCCTGATTTTATTTCCTCTCCCAAAATATGACATCAGAATTTCTGGAATAAGATTAAATAATATCAGTGATATTCTAATAATAGATGGTTAAAGAGAGTCCAATAATAAAATTCCCCAAACATAGAGATGTCCACAATTTAAATATATGTTAAATTTTTGTGAAGAATAAGTCACCAATTAAATCACCTGGCAAATTAAACTCAGTCCAAAATCAAATTATTTTGCTCTTGTGAGTTAAAAGTCCAAAGGTACTGGAGTGAAAATGCACCATTCTCAATTTCTTACTCTGTTCAGTCTTTGCCAAGGAGTTCTGGGTGCTGGTAAAGTCAGGTCTGGGGTCCCTTTAGCAGCTGTACTGCTTCTCAGGGCTTTCCACAGGGCCCTAAGCTGAATTAGTTTAACCTCAAGTCTCCCATGTCTTTACTTTTGAAAGTGTCAAAGAGCCACTGGGACTCACATACTTCACAGGCCTTACTTGACATTTTTAGAAAATGAACCAATTTCCATCCCTGAGCAGTTAATGTAGAATTATGTACGTAGGTTTGCAAAGACCGTAGCAGAGACTGAACAATATCTGAGTGAGGCAGGCACCTTGTTCCCTGCCCCACTGAATCCCAGGCAATCATTCCGTCAGGGGCTCAGAGAATGTGCTCCAGGGCTGTCTTCCTGGGCACAAACTGCACTGCACCCAGGAACTTAGAGACCCCCACTTGACTTAAAGTTCTGCTATTGCTCTCAAAATTTTTAATGATTTTAAAGGGCCTAAATTTTATTTTGCAATAAGCCACATAAATTATGTAGTCTATTTTGCCATGGTCTTTGAACTCAAACCCAACTGGCAAGGGAGCTCTCAAGGTGAGCTCAAATATGGCAGTCTGCTGATCCTACCAGGGAGAAAAATTCCCCGAACACAGAACAAACCCTGTGTTCTCTGAGAAAGAGAGTAACATTTGAGACACTGCTCCCATCTTGCAAAGATGAGAAATTTGCTACCAAGTGATCCTCGATCACCTGGCTTTATGTGTGGTAAAACTTCCTTACTATCCTGTTCATTTCCTCTTTGAGCCCCAAGTTTCTGTACAAGTAGACAAAGCCCAACCAAATGAGAAAAGCAAGGCTATTTATCCAGAGCTTGCTCTAGCAGGGGGGGTCAACTACTGTCACTTGTGTTTTGGCAGAGACTCAAAGGCAGGCAGAGGAGTGGAAAGCCTCACCGTAGAAGGAAGGGAAGGTTCAGATGTGCCCTGACTGGAGGCTGTCGGTCTGGGGTAGCTGCAGATGGCTAACTAGAAATAGGGCCTCCTGTGTGATGCACTGGGGGGCAATGTTTGGCTTTCTAGGGTTGGTCCTACATTGAAAGTTGGTGTTACAAGAACATCAGGAGTTTGGTCTAGGTCCTGTTGCTCACTGCACAGAAAGCCAATCCCTGAGACAATGAATATTGCTAGGGAAGAAAACTTTTTATTCAGGTGACATCAACTAGGAGAACAGGAGGTAAGTCTCAAATCCTTCTGCCTGAGTAAATTTGGGGTATTTATATAGCACAGGAAGAGACGTAGCTGCAAGGGGGAAGGAATGAGGAAGGTGTAAGAAGGCAATCAAGATGAATTGCTTTCTCATTGGGTCGGCTGTCTCATTGTCTAGATGTGGTGATCTGGTGAGTTTCAGTCCCTTGAGCTCCATCCGATTAGGTAATGTAACTTTCAAGTGTTAAGCCTAGGAGAGTAAATTTCTATGCTTATTCAAAAAGTCCTGTAAATATCAGTTCTCTTAGACAATTGGGCAGGTTTCATAGGGACAAAAAAGAGGAAATGTGTCAGTCACTAATCAAGTGTCGGCCATGTGGGGCTGATTGTTACAGGGCTTATGATTTAGCTTCCTGGATTGTTGCTAGAGATAGTGGCTTGACTTCCCACTAGCCTGACATAATAGTAGGCTGGCTTCCTGGGCTGGTTATTGTAGATAAGGGGCTGGTTTCCTGGGCAGGTTGTGGGTCAGAGTTCTATTTTCATACATGGTCAGGCCATTGTCCCTTTGTATATTCATGCTCTTGTTTCTGATGCCCGAGGCCTGGGTTGAGGCTGAGCTTTATTTCCGGGCATTGTTTTCTGTGGGCTTGGTGGCTTCTGGCACAGCCCAGGCCTGGGAAGCCTAAGGCAGGCCTCTCCTTCTGTTGAAGGGTGTTCAGCTGGAGAACTGCCCTCAGCCGATTCCTGAAGCACCGTCCTGAAGTGGTGCTTTCCAAACCTTAATGTGACTAGGCATCACCTGAGTCTCTTGTTTCAGGAGGTGGGTGGGACCTGAGACTCTGCACTTGTAAGAAGCCCCAGTGGTCCAGTGCTGCTGCTCCGAGGACCATAGTTGGAGCAGTGAGAGCCCAAGTGCACATTATGGGTCTTAAACTAAAGTTGCTGCTGCTGCTTCAGAAGTATATTCTCTTAGTGGTCTCAAGAGCACTTCATCATCCCTTGCATCTCCAGGCTCTGAGTGGAATTTCCGGCTGCTGCGCATTGTTATTTTTATTTTTGCCAGTGCAAACTGTACCTCTGGTGTGCAGTTCCCCACCAGGCTGCACATGGGAATCCCCTGGAAAACTGGGTGCCTCTGCCCTACCCCAGGCAGAGGTCCCATCATGTCTGAGGCCCACGTCCCTCCCATACGCAGCCAGGACTCAGAGCACCCACTCCAGTATTTCTCTTCATCTACTCTCCTCAGCCAGTCTCCAGCAGTCTGTAAGAGTTAAACTGCTTTTTAGATGTCTTGCCTTCCTTCTACATACATGGGTCATGCACAGGGCTGGAGACACCAACTGGAACCAAAGGCCCTTCTTTCTGAGGTTTTTCTTTGCCCTCTGGCTCAGGTCTGTTTGTTGTCTAATACACTGCTCAGATTTTGCTCAGTGGAGTCTCCCACAGTGGGAGATATGCAATCAATGGGCCCAGGGTTTGCCAAAGCATTCACTCATCCATAAATCTTGTCCACGCTCACCTAGTTAGAGAATCTTCTCTCCAATCAATACCTGATCTAGGCCAGAACTCATTATCCTGTTGGGTCCCATTTAATAAACTTCACTCTTGCTCACCTTCCCTATGGGCCCAGATTCCACACAGGTCTTGGGCATGTTTGTTCAGGGCATAGGCAGTACCGGCACCCTATCTATCATAACTTGGTCTACTGAAGCATCATACAGCAATTATTTTTCTTTTTATTATGGAAAAGTACACATGACATGAAATTGATCATTTTAAGCATTTTAAAGTGAACAGTTCATGGCATTTAGTGCAGTGATAGACTGTGCAGCCATTGCCATTATAGATAGTGTTCTACCACGTTTTCGTCACCCCCAAAGGAAACCCTGGACTCATTAAACAGTTTACTTTCCATCCCCTCCTCTCCCCTGTCCCTAGCAACCACTAATTTGCTTTCTGTCTCTGTGAATTTACCTATTCTGGATATTTTATATAAATAATGTATAATATGGCCTTTTGTGACTGGCTTTTCATTTAGCATAATATTTTCAAAGCTTATCCACATTATAGCTTGTATCAGTACTCAATAACCAGCACCTCCTTTTTCCATCCCAGTGTGGAAACAGCAGGGAGATAAGATATAAGAGTCCGCAGTGAAGTGCAATGAAGGACAGAGAATTTGTCAATTGATTTATCTGTACGAGGCCAAAGATATAAAATACACTTTTTTTAAAAAAATTACTTGGCCCGGCGTGGTGGCTTACGCCTGTAATTCCAGGACTTTGGGAGGCCAAGGCGGGAAATTGCCTGAGCTCAGAACTTTGAGACCAGCCTGGGCAACACGGAGAAACCCTGTCTCTACTAAAATACAAAAAAATTAGCCACGTGTGGCGGCATGCATCCGTAGTCCCAGCTATTCGGAGGCTGGGGCAGGAGAATCACTTGAACCCGGGAGGCAGTGGTTTCAGTGAGTGGAGATTGCAGTACTGCACTCTATCCAGCCTGGGAAAGAGAGCGAGACTCCATCTCAAAAAAAAAAAAAAAATCACTTTATGAATACAACTCACATACCTAAAGTATACAATTCAATAGTTTAAAGTATATTCACAGAGTGGTGAAACCATCACAGAATTAACCTTTCAACTTTGGCACTTCACCTCCCAAAATGAAATCCCATACTTGTTAGCATTCACGGCCATTTACCCCTGACATGCCTGCCACCCCCTCTTCTGAAACTCCTAATTTACTGTCTTCATAGATTTGCCTGTCGTAGACATTTCATGTAAATGTAGTCATACACTATGTGGACTTCAGTGACTGGCTTCTTTCACTTAGCATAATGTTTTCAAGTTGTATACACGTTGTAGCACCTGTCAGTATTTCATTCTTTTTTATTGTCAACTAGTATACCACTGTATGAATGTATCATTCTTTTTTTCTTTTTTCCTTTTTGAGACAGAGTTTCGCTCTTGTTGCCCAGGCTGGAGTGCAATGGTGTGATCTCGGCTCACTGCAACCTCTGCCTCCTGGTTCAAGCGATTCTCCTGCCTCAGCCTCCTGAGTAGCTGGGATTACAGGCATGTGCCACCATACCCAGTTAATTTTTAGTAGAGACAGGGTTTCACCATGTTGGCCAGGCTGGTCTCGAACTCCTGACCTCAGGTCATCTGCCTGCCTCGGCCTTCCAAAATGTTGAGATTACAGGCGTGAGCCATGGCACCCCGCTGAATATATCATTCTTTACTTATCTACTCATTAATTGATGGACATTTGGATTATGTCTACATTTGAGGTATTATAAATAATGCTACTATGAACATTCTAGTGTACACTTGTGTGTGAACATTGGTTTTCATTGCTCTTGGATATATACCTAGAAAAGGAATTGCTGGGTGAAATAATAACTTCTATATTTAACTTTTTGAGGAACTGCTGGACTATTCTCTAAAGTTGCACCATTTTACATTCCCACCAGGAATGTAAGAGGGTTCCAATTTTTGCACATCCTTGCTAGCACTTGTTACTTTTTTCTTAAAAAAAAATATTACCATCCTAGAGTTGTGAAGTGGTATCTCACTGTGGTCTTGAAACGGCCTGAAGTCTGAAAAACCAGACTGCTGGTCGCAGGTTCCTGCAACTCAGGCTCAGAACTTCTGTTCCTGTTTTCCCATCCTTTCCAGATTGATTTTTTCTGAAGAATGCCTTTTAAGCAATCGAATGTTGCCTTTTCTAATGCTACCAACAGTCTGCCCCTCCCCTATTCCGAGCCAATAAAAAGCCTGGGATCAGCCGGGCACAGTGGCTCACGCCTGTAATCCTAGCACTTCGGGAGACCGAGGTGGGTGGATCATGCGGCCAGGAGTTCAAGACAAGCCTGGCCAAGATGGTGAAACCCTGTCTCTACTAAAAATACAAAAAAATTAGCTGGGCGTGGTAGCACCGCCTGTAATCTCAACTACTTGGGAGGCTGAGGCAGAGAATTGCTTGAACCAGGGAGGTGGAGGTTGCAGTGAGCCGATATTGCAGCACTGCACTCCAGCCTGGGCCACAGAGCGAGACTTTGTCTCAAAAACAAACCAAAACAAAACAAAAAACAAACAAACAAACAAACAAAAAGACAGCCCAGGACCCAGCCTCGCAGGGAGGAGAGAACCACCCAACTGTAAAAGTGGGGGACCATCCTCCACACCCCCTCTCTGCTGAAAGCTGTTTCATGGCTCAATGCAATTATTTTCTGCTTTCCTTACCTTTCAATGTCCAGCATATCCTCATTCTTTTTGGGTGAGGTATAAGAGCTCAAGGACCGCTAAACGTGGGTACAAGCTATAATTCAGGTGAGCAGGGCTGGCCGGGCATCACCGACTGGGGGGCCCCTGGCTTGCAAAGTGACTGAGAAGAAAAATCCTGCATAAATATTGAACATATTTTAATGTGCTTATTAGCCTTGTGTATATTGACTTTGGAGAAATATCTCCTCAGATGCTTTGCCCATTAAAAATTGTGTTATGTGTCTTTTTATTGTCTTTATTGAGTTGTAAGAGTAGTTTAGAGTTATTGTGATTTTAGTATCATATTGAAGAAGATTGCCTAAACCAAGATAGTGAAGATCTATGTATTCCTCTAAGAGTTTATTTTGTTGTGTCATTGTTTTTTATTTCCTCATTTTTTTTTTAGTTGTAACTCATACAGTTAGTTCTATATCTACTTGGAGTTAACTTTTGTTTATGTTGTAAGGAAGAGTTGCAGCTACTTTCTTTTGTATGTGGTTATTCAGTTGTTCCAGCACCACTTATTGAAAAGAAATGTATATCCTTTTGCAAGGAGCAAGAGAGATCATTAGATGAGCTCAAAGGAGAATCTGCAGTCTGTTCAATGGAAATATGAGTAGAGATTTAAGAACAACTCGTACAATGAAAAAGAGAATAGCTCATGAATAATTAAAGTCTCTGTATTTTATTTTCTTTAGCTGTTGGTGAATATTTACTTTGTATCAATAAACTGTGTGGCAGACACTGTGGATTGTTTAGCTCAGCCTATTCCAGTTCCCTTCAGATGTTCAGCATCTTGGAAGGCATTGGAAATAGACTTTCCAATTTCATTTAGGTTCCACCAATAAAGTGCATTTGTGTAAGACTTTGGTTCGGAAATGGACCAAATGGGAGGAGATTCAGGGTAGGTTGTGGCAGAGACAGTACGATCCTGAAACCTGCAGCTGTAGGTGTAATTTCCCGTTTTCTCGACGAGTTTCCTGATATAGCGCCTTTCTGATCCTGGCAAGGGTAGAGTGATTTAGGACCTGGCAAGTGTGGAAGCAGCTCCTGAGCTCTGCAGCTTCTTGAGGGCGGCACAGGCAGCAGCTCCCTTGGAAATCTGGGTTTTGTGATGTGTTTCTGAGAGTGCTGGAAGTTTGCTCTCCAGTGATTCTACACATAATTTACAAATGTCTTTCTGCTTAAATTAGCTAAAGAAGACTCTGTTATCTGCGATTAAGTAAACTGATAAATGGAGTAAATTTAATAGAAGTGGCCGCAGGAAAGACTCCAAAGGGAAAGGGAATCTGGGGCTGGCTCTCCAGCCTGGATGGGTTTGAAAGCAGAGAGGGACCAGTTGCCCTTTAGAAGATGGAGCATTGGTTGTTCTTAGTTGTCCTTGGTATCCCCTTAATGAGCATTTCTCATCTGTAACTGATAAGATAGGACCCATTCTCAGACCTATCTCAAGTACCATATGCCCAGAAATGGTAAGTTTCCTCCAGTGTGCAGCCAGCTGTGAGAGAGGATGTCTTTGATGTCCAGATGCCTTCTCTCTCACTCTCCAAGTTAATCTACCACCTGCCCTGGAAATTCTACTTCTTTAATGCTTCTTAAATCCATCCATTTTCCTTTATCTCCATTACAATATTTTTGTCCAAGTCACTACTGTTTTCACCTAGGCTACTAACATGGCCTTCTGGCTGACACTGGATACCAAGCTTGCCACAAGGGACATGTCAGTGGTGCCTTTGAACTGGAAGTTGGGACTGACACCTAGCTCCATGCATCACAGGTGAACAGGCTCAAAAGAAGATTCCCACACTGGCTGGGGTGGGTGATCCTGATCACTGAGGGAGCTCTGTCTTTGCCATCACACAGGGCAAGCAGCGATGAGGTTTCCTGGAACTCAAGGATCCTCAGTGTGCTTTCCAGTACTGCAGGTGTAGCAGTCAAAGTTAGTGAAAAACCATAGCAAAACCACATAAGTGGGACTACGAAGTACTCATACCCTTGAGAATGAAGGATCAGGTCATCCCACCTGATGGAGAAGTTTCACCCGCTGAGAAAGTGAACACAACTGGAATGGGTTGTAGGAACAGAAGGTAGTGGATGCCAGCATGGCTCTGCTGCCGGTATGAGGACTGCAGCAGTTACCTGAAGTTCAGTCCCTTCCTATTGTATAAAGTGCACATTTCAGTATTGTAACTAAGTGGCACTCCTGTGAAGGACGGATCCCAGAACTAGAGGAGATCTTGAGGGCGCAAACCTTGAACAGTCCCAGAAATCGAAGGAGGGCTTTGAAATTCCATAGGCCTTGACAATGAGCTACTTTAGCCAATTTAACTTAAATTTTGAGGAACAGGGAGGGAGGTTTTGCCTAACATTGTGAGAAGCGTGTGAACCAGGAGCAACTCCAGCTTTTTTGTTTTGGAGATGGAGTCTCGCTGTCGCCCAGGCTGGACTGCAGTGGCGCGATCTCGGCTCACTGCAAGCTCCGCCTCCCGGGTTCACGCCATTCTCCCGCCTCAGCCTCCTGAGTAGCTGGGACTACAGGCGCCCGCTACCACGCCAGGCTAATTTTTTTGTATTTTTAGTAGAGATGGGGTTTCACCCTGTTAGCCAGGATGGTCTTGATCTCCTGACCTCGTGATCCACCCAGCTCGGCCTCCCAAAGTGCTTGAATAGGGGCTAGGTAAGATGGGGCTGAGACCTGCTAGGCTGCATTCCCAGATGGTTAAGGCATCTAAGTCACAGGATGAGATGGGAGGTTGGCACAAGACACAGGTCATAAAGACCTTGCTGATAAAACAGGTTGCAGTGAAGAAACAGCTAAATCTCACGAAACCCAAGAAGGCGGTGAGAGTGACCTCTGGTCATCCTCATTGCCACACTCCCACCAGCTCCTTGACAGTTTACAAATGCCATGGCAATGTCAGGAAGGTACCCTAGATGGGCTAAAAAGGGGAGGCATGAATAATCTACCCCTTGTTTAGCATATAATCAAGAAATAACTATAAAAATAGGAAACCAGTAGCCCTCGGGGCTGCACTGTCTATGGAGTAACCATTGTTTATTCCTTTACTTCCTTAATAAACTTGCTTTCACTTTACCCTACTGACTCACCCTAAATTATTTCTTTCGTGAAATCCAAAAACCCTCTCTTGAGGTCTGAATCAGGACCCCTTTCCTGTAACAACATCTAAAGGATCAAGTAGCAGAATTTGCTCTGCTCTTCAGACTAGGTTTTGGGAGTCATCCAGAAAGTGATTTAGCTCATGACACTCAGACATAGTAGATACCGTCCCCCAAATCTGAAGAGATACTCTCAGTGTTGGGTCCCCTTTTTAGTGGTAGTGGGAACTAGGTACACCACTTGCTTTTCCTTTTCCTTTGGGCAATAATCCAATTGCCCCAAATTCTGAAACATCAGACGCTGAAACGGGCAGGTGCCTCTATTTTTGTTGCACTTATTTTCTGTCCTCTATCACACGAGTTCTCGAGTTCTATCCAAGATGTCCTGGAACCTACTATTTCTTGCTCTAAGGGTCCTAGCCAGGATGCTGCCCCTGCAGGGGGCCAGGATGATGTCCTGCAGGCTGAGTCCCTAGGGCCATGTGAGCCTCTCAAGCCTGGTTAGGTCATGGGGTGGGAAATGTATGGGATTCACTATTAGATTGCCCCAGCTACTTTCCCTCTGATGGTCACTGCTGCACCCTGGCTCTTCTCTTCAGTGCGATCCTGAAGCCTCTCCCATGGGCATTCCAGTCCAGTGAGAACAGCCAGCACAGATTCTTTAAAGTGTCCTGCACTTTCTTCCCCAACCTTTTCCTCAAGGTCTACATGAAGGGAACCTCTCTGGGGAGCAGAGTGTGTGTGTGGGTAGAACAAACAAGCTACATCCAGCCCAGCATTCCAGTCTCCCCAGGCCTTTGATTTCCCTCATTTTCGTTATAGCAAGGAATGCATGGCCTTTTGAAGTCATTTGCCGCAGGCCAGCTTTCAGCCTAGGTCTGCATCCGCCATCCCAGCAAAGTAACAGATCTCCAGCCAGCTGTGCATATTGCACACCCAACCGCCCTCTTGATAAATGCAACCATAGCACAGATTCAGCTCAGTCTAACATTTTGTTCCAGCACAGTTAGCTGAGCCCTGTCAAAATCCACTTCCACAAATATTTCCCGGAGTTTGTATGTGTAAAAAGCACATTTCTGTATCTCCTTTGAATCTTTAGTAGAATCCCATTACGACTGGTTGTTGGAGGGGAGGATTCAATGGCCATGACCTTGATAGGCTTTGGAGCTCTGGTTCCTGATTTTTTGGAAGCCAATTGTCCAGTTCTGTAAACTTCAAGGTATTCTCTTTACACATTTTTTTTTCTATTAAAGCGAGCTAGAATCCTAGCAAATACAGATATTGGTGTTACTGGAAAGGAGTCCGGATCCAGACCCCAAGAGAGGACTTTTGGATCTTGCTCAAGAAAGAATTTGGGGCGAGTCCATATAGTAAAGTGAAAGCAAGCTTATTAAGAAAGTAATGGAATAAAAGAATGGCTGCTCCATAGGCAGAGTAGCCCCAAGGGCTGCCAGTTGCCCATTTTTATGGTTATTTCTTGATTATATGCTAAACAAGGGGTGGATTATTCATGAGTTTTCTGCAAAAGGGGTGGGCAATTCCTGGAACTGAGAATTCCTTCCATTTTTAGACCATATAGGGTAACTTCCTGGCATTGCCATGGCATCTGTAAACTATCATGGCACTCGTGGTAGTGTAGCAGTGAGGTCGACCAGAGGTCACTCTCATCGCCATCTTGGTTTTTGTGGGCTTTGGCTGGCTTCTTTACTGCAATCTGTTTTACCAGCAAGATCTTTATGACCTGTGTCTTGTGCTGACCTCCTATCTCATTCTTTGACTTTGAATGTCTAACCTCCTGGGAATGCAGCCCAGCAGGTCTCAGCCTTATTTTACCCAGACCCTATTCAAGATGGAGTTGTTCTGGTTCAAACACCTCTGACATTGGCACCAGAGAATAAGCTGCTGAACGTGGATTTTCAGAGAGACAAGGAGTGGCAATACTTGGAACTAGTAATTGGCCCAAAATGAGAAAAAGGATGGGAGGGTCTTAATTGTTCTCCAAGATGTGAAGCAGGCCCATGCTGGGGGTCGAGGCAACACAGCTAGTTAAATGTGCACCTGTGGTCCCAGGGGACAGGAATGCCACAGAGGGCAGAATCCGGGGGCACCAGGGCTTCTGATTGCAGATGGATAGGGCTCAGGTCATCTGGGCAGCACTTGCTCTAACATCATGGAGAGACTCAAATTCCAAACATCTTTAAAGGAACAGGACGAAACTCAGAGCCCTTTTGCAGCCACTGGCTAGGGAGCAGACCAGGATTTAAAACTAAGTAAAGGGATTGATTCTGAATATTAAAAGCAGTTGAGTTCACAGTTGTGTGCAGTCCCTTTTGTAAACGTTGGTGATGACGAGGAAAGAGTTGAACTGTGAAATCCTATGCCTCAGAGACCCCGTGCTACACAGGGTCTCTTGCCTAAGGAGTGTGTCTCCTGGGCCAGAGGAGCTGTAGCTGTTTATCCTGTCCATCCCCTCCTTACTGCACAGCTAAAACAAGGATCTCAGCTCAGCTTGGCCTGGAGAAGCAAGGAACAGGGGAGGGTGGAAGGATGAGCAGATAAAATGCTAAAATAGTACACAGAAAAGAAGAATTAAAGCTGGAAAGGAAATGGAGACCTTTTAGTTGTCTGAAATCTGATTGGCTTAGCCCAGGTAAGTCCTACCCTTGGTTGAATGGGAGAGTTCCTCGGCAAACAGCTGACCTGAGCCACAGTAGGAGGGAGAAGGGATGTTCCCCAAAGGAAAGGCTTCTCAGGGAAGCAGCACTGGGAAGTTTGCCACAGGTGGACATTGGGCACCTGACCCTGATATGGCCAATTCCCAGGCTTCTTGGGATCCATCATTAAGAATGTGTACAAGGAATTACAGCTAATCTTCACTGAGCACTTACTATGTGGCAAGCCTCCTGCTGGGAGTCCTACATAAATTTTCACATGGAACTTCATAAAAACTCAGGTGTAGGTACAGTTACAAATCCCAGTCTGCAGAGCAGGAACCACTGTGGGTGGAGCGAGGCCTGGGCAGTGGGTCTCCCCAGCACCCCAACCTTACAAGAGCTACGTTAGCTAGGATGACCAGACTCATGCTCCCCAGCCTTCACTGGAGCAGATAGGAAAGTCATGCAGTCATTGGTTAGAAGGGAACAAAATGGATATGCAGAGAAAAGCAAGGAAGAGGCGGGGAGAGAGAGGGAGAGAGTTGTTGGTCCATAGAACAACTTAAGGTCCTGAGGAAGAACTAAGTTCTAGTGCACTTACAGCCTTAAAATAAATTAGCCCTCTGAAAGAAAAAGATCCGATGCCAACAACAACAACAACACAACAACAACAATAACAAATTGCTTCTGACTGAAGGTGACTCCATAGAATTTTGTTCATTGTAACAGAAGAAGCAAACGGAGGGGTGATAATGCATTAGGCTGTTGTCAATATTCACAACCTCAGGAGAGGGACTTGATCTGATTGCTGAACTGGTGAATTTGACAGAAGGGGGATGGCAAGCCCAGGGGAACGCCGGGTTCCCAGGGACCAGAGCTAGCCCTTTTGATGACTTAGGAAACAGCAGCTAGGAAGGCTGCTCGGAGGTGCTGCTGTCTTCCGGGCTGATTGTCGCAGGGGTCTAGTGTTTCAACATTATAAAAGCTCCCTGGGGAGGTAGGAGCTACAGTTCAAAACACTGGAAGAGAATATATATTTTTAAAATTGAGAAACATTTTTGAGACCTAATGTTTGTTTGTTTGAAACAGAGTCTTGCTTTTTTGCCCAGACTGGAGTGCAGTTGTGAGATCTTGGCTCACTGCAACCTCCTCCGCCTTCTGGGTTCAAGCGATTCTCTTGCCTCAGCCTCCTGAGTAGCTGGGATTACAGGCATGTGCCACCTTGCCCGGCTAATTTTTGTATTTTTAGTAGAGATGCAGTTTCACCATGTTGGCCAGGCTGGTCTCAAATTCCTGACCCCAAGTGATCCACCTGCCTCAGCCTCCCAAAGTGCTGGGATTACAGGTATGAGCCACCATACCCGGCCAAGACCTAATGTTTTGCATATAATGTCCCAACGGTACCTTTTGGAAAAATCCATGGCTTCCTCCCTCTCTTCCTCTCCATGTGTGTTACTCACAGTCCCAGATGTTTCTCTAGGGACAGTCGTTTGGGGGCATGTCAGACACTGCAACAAGAGCACACTTAAGATCTAAATTTCCAGGCTGCAGACACTCATTTCCAGGCCAATGCCACATAGACCAAGGTTGTTTGCTGAGGTCCAGGGCTGCCATCACCTGAGAGAAAACATCAATATTAAAAACATAGAGTTAAGGCTAAACAGAAATAGTCTACTATGCAAAGAAGGTCCTTGTGTAGGAAATTGAAGGTGTTTGCCCATGTGATGGATGAGGCTCCTACCAGCTTTTACATACTTTTTAATCAGAACAGTAAGGCAAGTTTATAAAATAGAGAAAACATCACCCGTAATTCCATCACCGTAATACAATTTTAAAAATTCTTGTGTGTTCCTTTGTTCCCACGCTTGGGTATACATCTTACCCAGTTGCATAAAGCCCTTCTACTTTTCTCTACTCAACAGGGGAGCTGGACATTTTTCCATGTTGTTATTTGCTAGTTGTCATTCTGTAAATCCCAGCTCTAACATTCTAAAGCTTGTAAGAGATTTTATTCACCAGATTCCAGCTAATGGTTTATATATTAGTCCATTCTTGCACTGCTATAAATACCTGAGGCTGGGCAACTTATTAAAAAGAAAAAAGAGGGTTAATGGGCTGACAGTTCTGCAGGCTGTGCAGGAAGCATAGAGGCTTCTGCTCTGCTCCTGGGGAGACCTGAGGAAGTTTTCAATAATGGTGGAAGGCACGCAGGGGAGGCAGGTATGTCTTACATGGCCAGAGTAGCAAGAGAGAGAAGAGGCAGGTGCCACACACACTTTTTTTTTTTTTTTTTTTTTGAGACAGAGTTTTGCTCTTGCTGCCCAGGCTGGAGTGCAAGGGTGCAATCTCAGCTCATCACAACCTCTGCCTCCAGGGTTCAAGCGATTCTCCTGCCTCAGCCTCCTGAGTAGCTGGGATTACAGGCAAGTGCCACTGTGCCTGGCTAATTTTGTATTTTTAGTAGACAGGGTTTCTCCATGTTGGTCAGGCTGGTCTCGAACTCCTGACTTCAGGTGATCCGCCTGCCTTGGCCTCCCAAAGTGCTGGGATTACAGCCATGAACCACTGCGCCTGGCCACCACACACTTTTAAACAACTAGATCTCCTGAGAACTCTGCTACAAGAACAGCAGCAAAGGGAGAAATCCACCCTCAAAATCCAATCACCTCCCACCAGGCCCTGCCTCCAACTTTGGGGATTAAATTTGACATGACATTTGGGCAGGGACACAGACCCAAACCATTTCAGCTTAGATATAGGTTGGTGGGAGAGGTTTCCCAAAACTTACTCCTAATGGACTTTAGATTCTTACTGTGACATGACTTTGCTGTATCAAGTATATTCAGCTTTGCTGTAGAGAACAATGAATAGATGAAAAGGGTGAAACTGAGAAGCATATTAAGCACAGAGGGTAGGCGAGCTGCCAGCTCATGAGGTGCAGGTGCATCTCAAAGGGTGTGTTACGGTAAGGAAATGAGTGAGAAGTGGCTTGTGAAGTAAGGGCAGATTCATCAATGTGTTCAATGGTGAGTTAATTATGGGTGTGATGTGTTGAAGACAGAAGTCTTACATGGAATATATGATGGCGCAAATAGTGTTACTGATCATGCCCTCACTGGACTGACAGCTCTGTTACCCCTGCATCAGCCCAGAGCATGCCAATCAAACTGTGGCTGTCCAGCAGGCTAACTGGCGACCTGCAGCTATAGCCAGTGCAGTACGTCTCTCAGAAGAACAAGTTGCTGTGTTTCTCCAATAGGACACATCTGTGCTGTTGGCTCTAGGTGCCCTTTGTCTGTGAGGCCCTGATCCAACTCCAAATCTGGTCTTCGTCACCACCCCATCAGCAGGGAAAACCGATGTGGGAGAGGAAGACAGGACATGTGAATATGGTGCTAACCAGGCCTCATGCTCTGGGCTTCCCCCCAAATGCTGCCCTGCTATTAACCTGCCCCGTCTCTCACCCCTCACTTCCCTATGTGTGTTTTAAACACATTTAATAAACCATGGGCTCATCACAAGGTCATCAGATGATGTCATACCCTGGAGACAACTTTCATTTCCCTAAACTTGCACTTCCCTAGTAGTCCTAGTGAAGCTCTTCAGTTTCAGAGTTTACATTTCCTTGTATGACCACAAGCTTGAACTTCCACTGAGGAGGCAGAAAATTATGGTTCAACGCCACCAAGACACGACATCTTAAAAACAGCTTATCTTACTTAATTTTAAGTACAGTATGCACAGAAATCCCCAAATGAGGTTAAGAGAGGTGTGTGGCACACTTGCACAGATTTCTCATTTGAATCCACATATGCTTAAAATCTCTTTTTACTTGGTGTAGAGCTTGGTTCTATAAGTGCCCTTCAGCTCTCTAAACACCAGATTGTAGCTCCTTGTGGAATGCCCGAGGAAGCGACAAGGAATGAAAAGAAGAGCATGGCTGTTCTTACTGAAGTGGCGGTCGATTTCTAAAAGCCCTTGCAGAGGATTTCTGTTGTTGCCACCTCTAATTAGTACTGCTGGGATTAAACTTAATAGGTTCTGAAGATAAAGTTAGCACGAAGGAAAAACAAACACACTGACAAAGCACATTCAGAATCAGCCGTGGGACAGCCGTCACGCCTGCTTGTTGCTAAGCTAGCTTCAGGCACCTCGCTTTGGAAATTAGCAGGGTAATGAATGTAAAATAAATGAGAAGTCTCTGTGAGGCTCCTTTTCTGACCTGCGCTGAGAGCTGGTGGATGCATGGCCCCAGAGGAGTCTCAAATGCTCAGTGATTGCGGAGGCCTGCGGACCTTCAGTGCTCAAAGTGTTTGCACGCATCTGGGTGTGCCCAGACAAAGCTGCTGGTCTAGGGAAGCGTAAGTCATCAGCTTGACTACCAAAGACCTTGCAAGCTTCCTCATGGTGGCACAAAACTAGCCAATATGACTCAATTCCCAAATAACACTTGCCAGTGATTTGAGAAACGGGAAAATACGGTATAGGCAGGGTGGTCAACTCAGGGGCTGAGGAAGGTTTAGGCTGTGAAGGGGAATTTTGAGATGGAGCCTTCAGCCTATGTAGGCTATGTATACATGAAGAATATTCATCTTGTTGCTTTTTGCTTGAAACGGTACACAAATGGCCTGCTTTTCTCTTTACTTGTTCTTAAAATTGATCAGAAGTAGCTTTCTTGGCTTGTTTCATAAGATCTTAGGACTTGAGCATCTACTATTAGCAGTGATTAAAATTTCCCCATGTTGTAATAAGGGTGACTGTGAATCTGTGTGGCACTTGAGATCTCACAAAGTGCATTTACCTTGGAAAATTCACCTTTGCGCTATCTAGAGCCGAGCAGTGTCCTGAGTAGGAATTCCTGTCTGTAACACCCTTCCCCACCTCCTACTCCCCAGATGTTCACCTGCATGTCACTATCTCTGGTAATAGCTGGCTTCCGTGTGTCCAGGCACTCCTGGGTCTTGGCCACATATTTTCAAAGGTCTGGCTCTTGGCATCTGTGCTGAGCTTGGACCCCTCCCTCTTCATATTATGCTCTCCACCCACCCACCCTTCCACACTGCCTCAAGGCTTCCCCTGGGGGCCTTCCTTGCCCTTCCTCATCAGGCCGGGCACTGCCATCTGAAACAGTCTCATATGCAGTGTGTCCCCCTCCCAGAGCTTGTGCACGGTGTGACTGTTTATCTGTGTGACTGCATGTGTGTGATCAGTAGCTCATGAACTAGTGACACATGAGGACTTCAGAGCCGGGTTCTTGCAGCTGGTGTGTGCTGGCTGAACTTCTGACTCTACCTGGTCACAGCGCAAGTGAACACGTGTTCACTTACACACCTTGGCCTCACTCATTTCAGGGCCAGGGCAGTGCCTGCCCCATGGAGTTGCTGTGTTGATGAGTGAGGCACATGAAGCACTTAGCAGAGTGCCTGGTGCCCCCACAGCACTCGGGGCCCATGTGTGGGTCTCACCTGTGTGCTGAGACCTCCTGTGTCTCTTCACCACTGTGTCTCCAGCAGGTATCACAGCACCTAGCACAGGGCAAGCTCCTTATAAATTTGTGAAATAAATGGATGAATAAGTGAGTTCAAGGGGAAATATATATATTGGTCCCAAAAGGCAAACATATTTATATTTCTAAAATTTAGAGAACTACTTTATGGAATTGAAGTAAAGATGTTTCTTGTTTCCACGCCAAAACATGGAAAGTTGATGTACTTGGGACACAATACCATGTGTGCGGTGTGCTCATCTTTTATTCTGAAGACAAATAAGGGGTCTTACTGTGGAATTAGGGGGCCACACGGGGCTGCAGCTTCTGGGCATCATTGCTCTTTGCTGCTTAATTCCAGCTTACAGGATGTTTCACACAAACACCAAAAACATTTTTAAGATGGACCATATCATATTTATCATTGTCTCTACAGTGTTTGGCTTCAATGCATCAAACTTCAAAATATGTGTTTGCTTGAATTCCAATTTCTTGACGGATACACGGCTTGGAAACCAAGCCTCCTTTGGCTGATAAAATAAGAACAGAATCTGACACTTAAAAAATTATTTAAGCTTTGCCAAGTGGGAAAAAAAAGTGTATTCTCCTACTGCTGAGCATCTTGGCTAACTTAATCACTGTTCCCGTCACTGAATCTCCCTTTTTTGTCATGGGACTTCCTGATCGTTAAATCTATTTCATAGTAAACATAAGTGAATTTTGGTTTATTGTTATTCTTGTTTACATTGAGAATTAATTTTGAGTGGAAATTATATACTTCATGTTATGTAGATGAAGTTAGGGTGGATGTTATATTCCAATAATTTTATGGCTTGAAAGAAATTCAATTTTGTTATGTGGAATGATTTCCTAAGAATGAAAAAAGAAAATGACAGCTTCAATGATCAAAGAAAGAATCATGCAGAGAATCGTTTATGTAGACCTCTCAAATTAAAAAAAATATCCAAGTATTACTGTTTCTTAATTATGTGGTCTCAAGATGAGTGTTGGAATAATTATGTTATTAGAAACTCAGCCTTTGTGAGAAATTCGTATTTTCATTATTTTATTTAAAAAGCTTTTCAACATTTCTTACTGCAAAGAAATGACAATTAGCCCTAGGAGACCAGCCCACCAAAGGCGCATTAATGTCAATCTCAAAACAGATAAAAATAGGACCAAGAATGAAGTCAACTGGCAGTACCACTCCCTCATTTAGCAAGTCGGCTTGTTGTTCTGGGTGAGCCAAGCAGGCAAACCCCCTGCTTTCAGGACTTTCACAGTCTTGAGGGGGAAAAAGTAAATCAAGCAAATAATCATCCAAATACTCCTTTTTTTTTTTTGAGATGGAGTCTTGTTCTGTCACCCAGGCTAGAGTGCAGTGACGCAATCTCAGCTCACTGCAACCTCTGCCTCCTGGGTTCCAGTGATTCTCCTGCCTCAGCCTCCTGAGTAGTTGGGATTACAGGCGCCTACCACCACGCCAGGCTAATTTTTCTATTTTTTGTAGAGATGGGGTTTCACCATCTTGGCCAGGCTGGTATCGAACTCCTGACCTTGTGAACCACCTGCCTCGGCCTCCCAAAGTGCTGGGATTACAGGCGCAAGCCACTGTGCCCGGCCCCAAATACTCTTATAACTACCTTTTGCAGTAAGTATTCAAAGTGACAACTAGCGGGTGTCTTGAAGGCATATCAGGGGAGCTTCATTCGGCTGGGGGAGTGGAGACAGCCTTTTGGGGAAAATGACCTTTAAGAGACTCAATGGTCCACAGGAGCCCAGCAGGAGGAGAGGGAATGAAGAGTTTTGCAGAGAGCTGGATGTGCAAGGGCCCTGTGGTGGGCAGGCTTGGTGGGCTGGGGCAGAGGAAGGCAGGCAGGTGTGGTTTGAGGTAGGCCACGGTGGCACGCTGGCTGTGTGACAAGGTCTGCAGCATGCCTGTTTGTATCTGTGTATCACTAGGACCTCCCACTAACTCTAGATCCCTCTCCGTCATTCATGCTCAAAATTGGTCAGTTTCTTCTCTCTTGTTGGTGGTTAGTGACCCCCTATGGAAGTAGGGCCACTCACTCCTGAATGTGAGGTCAAACGTCCTCTTCCCCCAAAACCAGATTATTTCCCTTTGGTTAGGGCAGTGGTATTCAACCAAGGGGCAGTTTTGCACCCCAGGGCACATTTGACAATGTCCAGGCACATTATTGGCTGTCAGAACTTGGGAAGGGGATGCTAGTGGCATCTAGCGGATATGTTGCTAAACATTGTGCAATGAACAGGACAGCTCCCACAACCAGCAATCACCTGGCCCAAAACGTCAAAGGTATGAGGTTGAGAAACCATTTTAGAATGCATTTTTCAAACCGTAAGATGCGACCTGTTAGTGGATTATGAAATCTCTCTCTATTAATGAAATAGAGACCATACAAGGTGGGAGTGCATTACATATTGTATGTATGTTTGCATTATATGAATGTCCACCACACATGCATGTATATTTCTGTATATTGAGTGGCATTGTGAAAGGCATTCTTTATTGCAGGTTGCAGTTTAAAAAGTTGGAAAGTCACTGGAATAGAGAACCTACCAACATATTTCATCCCTTCTATCCTTCCAACTCCACCACGAATCTGCCCTATCTTGGCAGAGCTGTATCCAGAGCCCAGGCATGGCTTCAACTACAGCCTCTGCCAGCCATCCCATTGCAGTGTAAGCTAGAGGTCAAGGCTGTTCACTCTCTGGCGGGACCACCGTTCCCCATGGCTCAGCCTTCACTCTACCTCCAGCCAACTTTTCCTTCTTCCAACTCTCCATAAACTTTGTCTTGACTGTTCCCTGTCTGATACGCCACTTGCCACTTTAACTGGTCAATTCTTACTTAACCTTTGAAGACAAACCTTCAGCCTCCCCTCCTCTGTAGATCCTCAGGGACTTCAGCCCTTGTAGAGTTCACGGTCTCCGTCTCTGTTGTCTGCACAGCATTTTGCGCATCCCTCTGATATAACAGTCATTATCTGGGGTTCACGGCTGGTCAGCTGTGGGCTCACTGCGGGCAGTAACTAGATCTGACTTCTCTTGCCATCTTTGGAAACTAAAAGAGTGACTTATACACATATGAGGTGCTCAAAGGCATTTGACTAATACAGTCATGAATAGAGATTGTTACTTAGAGTCCTTATATTACTAATTATTTTGTAAACTGAAATATATTTTTGTGAGGAAAAACTCTCAATATATATCCTGGATTTTCATTAATGTGCATTTTCTTCCACTTTCAAGTTAATTCTTTTTTTTTCCTGATTATTTAACAAATACATGCCTATTAAAGACAACTTTGGGTAGACCAGAAGGATGTAAAGAAATCCTTCCCCATGAAGGATATATATTATGTAATGTATAAAATAGGTTATATAAATATATAGGTATATATTATATATGAAGTATATATTATATATGAAATATATATTATATATGAAATATATATGAAACATACTATATATGAAATATATATGAAATACATACTATATATGAAGTATAAATAAATATAAAAGTATATACATTTTACATATGTATATGTACGTATGTGTGTATAAGTGAATACATGTGCGCCCATCATCCAGCCCCGGCTTATCAACTGAGCAGTGCCCCTAACATTTCCGTACGTTGCTCGGGGTCAGGCTAGACTCTGCTGCCCCCGTGTGTTCCAGCGCAGAACTGCATAAAGAAAGAGGAGCGCTCGGCCATGCCGCACAGGTCCGGGAGGTTCGCGTTAATGTACCCTGTTTTTGAGCCCAAGGAACAAGTATTTAGTCATGATTGCCACTCGTTATAGGCTCTGTTAACAGTGTAAAGAAAGTTGGAAGTTCTCTCCTGAGAAGAAGTAACTTCAATGCGGAAGGACCCGGGCTTCTCATGTTTCTCTTTGTATCCCGACCGCCGGGAACTGCCTTACCTGCAGCTACAAAGTCCTGCAAGTGAGGCTTAGGTATTTTCAAATAAAATATCAGGCTTGGCGGAGTGGCTCACGCTTGTAATCCCAGTACTTTGGGAGGCTGAGGCCTCCTGGGAAGATCGTTTGAACCCAGCAGTTCGAGACCAGCCTGGGCAATATAATAAGAACCCCTCTTTACAAAAAAATAAAATAAAATTAGCCGGTCGTGGTGGCACCCACCTATGGTCCCAGCTACTTGGGAGGCTGAGGATTGGAGGATTGCTTGAACCCGGAAGTTGAGGCTGCCGTGGGCCATGACTGCACTACTGCACTCCAGCCTGGGTAACAGGGCGAGACTCTGTCTCAATATAAATAAATTAATTAAACAAAATAAAGAATATAAAAGTAAAAAGAAACAAAATATCCAAAGCCAAGACTGCACCACTGCACTCCAGCCTGGGTAACAGGGCGAGACTCTGTCTCAATATAAATAAATTAATTAAACAAAATAAAGAATATAAAAGTAAAAAGAAACAAAATATCCAAAGCCTGTCAATCCATGATGTAAATATCAGGATCTTCTGAATTCCAGTAGCCCTGGACCATGGAGAACCCAGTGAAATTACTCTTATTGACTGGAGCTAGGGCTGTCTTAGTTGGACAGTTTATATTTCAAGCTTTCTATGAGTTTCACAGGTTCCATGAACTTGGATGGATTTCTGTGGATTTGTGCTTATACACTGAAAGTTTTGTGATGTACATTGCCCATCTTTTGCATCTGATTCGATTGTTCTTCTCTACTCATGAAAGTCCTATTTTTCTTCCAGACCCAGATCTTGTGAACTGTTTTCACATTTCCCCATGGATGCCTAGCAAGGGACTGGGACTGCCTGATCCGCTTTGGTCAAGAGCACGTGGGTGGCCTGTGTGCAGGCTTATCATCAATAATTGCAGGACTTGGTGGAGTATGGTTGAACAGGTGCTCAGACTGCATGCGTGTCTAGCGAGGCCATCCTGAAGCTGCATGGGAGTTGTAAAAAAGTTACCAACAAGTTTTTAGTTATTTGAATAGGTTTTTGAATAGATTTGGAATGTGGGAAGCAGTTGCAGAAATAAACGTCTTAATGACTAAATGTAGCTTGCTGTTTTTAGCCCAGTTTCACAGATCACAACTCTGACCATACTAGTGGGTAGTTTATGTGTCTTCTCATGCGGGGAGAGCCGTTCAACTCACTCCTGAGGCTTAGGCCCAGGTTGGAAGGGGACGGACTCCCAGCTGGGCTGTTGGGGTCTGGCCTCCTCTCAGCTTCCTCTGGAGGACAGACACAGCCCTTCCAGGCTACCTTTCCAGACACTGTCCAGTCGAATCCACTTTCTTACTCATGACCCGAAGCAAGCCACTTCAGCTTCTGATGTCTCCACAACCTCATTTGCGAAATAAGGGACTAGGCTGGACGGTCTTTGAGGCCTCATCCAATTCAGAGATTCTGGATCCTGCGTTGGAGAAGTGAGGGAGCCTGGTGTGAACTGGGAGAAGGCAGAGGGTGGGAGTGGGCTGTTTCTGTCGGCTCTCTGAATGGCAGTAAAAGTCCGGGAGGGGACCTTCAGGAGTCATCTCACCTCCTGGAGGTTTTTTTGGGTGTTGACTGTTGAAGGCATCCTCCAGAGTGGTTCTCCATAGGTCTGGAGGCTTGACCTTTGGGGGATGCTTGTAGAAAGCTGGTTCTTCAGTAAACTTTCAGTGCTTGCAAATGCAGACGCTGAGCCAGAGCCCCCCAACACTCAGAGGAGGATCATGCCCAAATGTCCTCAGGTGAGACGTCAAGGAGCACCTCCCACCTGGTGCAATCTTCACTCTGCATGGCTGGTGTCGCCCCCTGTGGGAAACACAGGGGACATGGGAAGCCATGCTGTTGTCACAGGGTTTGCTATGCCATCCTCTGCAGGACGTAACCACCTCTGTAGTAGGCTCCTGCTAAAAGCCAGTAGGATGCTGACAGCAAGTACTAGCAACAAGTGTTTAATCCATATTCCGAGCCTGCCACCGTCTCCTTTCACTGATATGACTCACATGGCTATAGCATCGCACAGTGAAGAAAGCAGACCCTGGCGATGTGGAAAGGAGTAGAATTGACCGCCGTAATCATTAAATGTCACCGTTTAAATAAGAATTGAACGACCTCTCCTTCTGTGGACTATTCACAGACCCCACACACTTGACCTCACTGTTTATTGTACAGGGGATTGAGAACCATCAACAGATGGGTGCAGGCCATATGGTAAAGGGTAGGATAGCTTTCCAGTGGGCATCAGTGCAAGCGGTTACAATTCCAGGCCTCTCTTTGTTGATCAAGAGGATCCCAGCACTTTGAGAGGCCGAAGATTGCTGGATCCCAGGAGTTCAAGACCAGCTAGGCAATATAGTGAAACCCCACCCCTACAAAATATTAAAATATTAGCCAGGTGTGGTGGTATGCGTCTGTAGCCCCATGGTCCCAGCTACTCAGGAGGCTGAGGCAGGACGATCATTTAAGCCTGGGAATTTGAGGTTGCACAGTGAGCAATGATTGGACCACTGCACTCCAGCCTGGGTGACAGAGCAAGACACTATCTAAAAAAAAAAAAAAAAAAGAATTCCATATTGTTGTCTACTTTTTCGTTAAAACACACTCTGCTTCTGCAACAATATAGTTTTCTCCTGCTTTTCTATCTCCTTGGATGAGTCCTCTTTCAGCAATCACATAGATGGCCGACAAACAACAGCTGTAGTAATAATTATTATTATTTATGCCTTACTGCCACTACTCTAACTGAGGCCACTGACATGCTTTACCGTAATTATGAGCACAGCCTCCTCACAGATTTCTGGTCCTCTAGTCAGTCAGCCACCCATCCCAGTCCTGTCTTCACACGGCATTCCAAGCAATCATTTATAAAGGCAGCTTCTGAACATGTCTCTTGTCTGCTTAAACCACTCTAATGCCTCCTGTTTCCCATCCCAATAAGGCCTAAACCCTTTCGGATGGCTCACACTGATTTTCATGTACTTCTTGAAAAGCTAAATAAGAGAGCTAAAAAAGATGAATTACTTTATCTTTTCAGTAAGAAAGACCCATGAATGGAATTCCAGGGGCAGCTGTTAGAGTGGGTGGCAGAGTCGGAAGAGTTGCTGCCATTTTTTGAATATCAGCTGTTTCTGGTGCTTTGATATAGGGTATTTCATTTATTTTCTTCAAAAAATCCTATGAGGCCTATATGCTATATTATTATCTTAATCTTACAGATGAGGAAACGTAAGCCCAGAAAGGATGAAGTGAAACCAGCAAAGTCACACAGGCAGTAGGTGGCATAGCTGGGATGTAAACCCAGACCGAGTGCCCACCCGGCACCTGCCGCCTTCACCACCAGCCTCAGGACTGTCAGTGGGCAGTAAGTTGGAATTTTAATAACTTTGGAGACAAATTTAGCTTCTTAAACAGAAGTGTTTTCTTAGATAAGGAAGGAAATGATATTTTCTTACCACATTTAGTATAATTCATCCTAAACAGAGAAGTTATAATGACAGTGACAAAGCAGGAATGTGTGTCTTTATTTTCCAGGTCATGCAAGATAAACAGAAAGATTGCTGGCTTCCGGTTTCTAGATTGTAAAATGAGGACTGGAGCCCATAAACTCCAATAGCATTTTCAGCTTTGAAATTCTGAGACTCTCGGACTGTTAGCTGCAAAACATGTATCTTAAGTTTCTAAGGCAAACGCTTATAAAATTAGGAGAACTCACTTATAGTTTTCACACGTTTTAAAATTTAAATACATATGTGTGTGGTTACATAAATATACCCATCTATTGTGGGAGAAGCTATTCAGAATACCAAACATTTTATTTTCATTAAATATAACAATGCTATTTTTTGCTGTGGCTGGTGTTTTGGTCATCTGTTGCTGCATAAAAATCATTCCCAAACATAGCAACCTTCAACAGCAGTAATATATATTTTACTCATGAATCTGCAGTTTGAGGAGGGCTCATCAGGGAAGCGTCCTCTCGGCTCTGCTCAGCCTCCCAAGGCAGTCCGAAGGCTCGGGCTGGAGACACGGAGAGCTCACTCACTTGTGTAATGGATGCAGGCTGTCTGCTGGGACCTTTGCCAGGGCTGCCGGCTCCGACCTGTGGCCTCTTTACGTGGCCTGAGGTTCTCATGATATGGGAGACGGGCTCTGAGGACAATCGTCTGGAGACAGAGAGAGAGAGGGAGGGAGAGAGAGCATGCACCAGGTGGAAACCCTACCACTTTCTGTGACCCAATCTCTAAAGTCCTGTGGTGTCACTTCTGCGCCTCTTCATTAAGGTAGCCAAAGATGGCCACCCAGGAGACGGGAAGGGAAGTTGACTCCATCTTGTGATAATGAGTGGCAATCCTCTGGGACATCATTGAGATCAGAAATAATACTGGGACCATTTTTTAAAAATGCAGTTTGCTACAGCATGACTCACTATTGTCTTCCAGCACCATGGCAGACTAGCTCCCTAGAATGTCATACCCTGGAGGAAAAAGATCTTGTCTGCCTTTTCTTTGATGCGCACAGTGCCTGGTGTGTAGTAAGTTCTACTATCTGTATTCGTGGAATGAATGAAGACTCTGAACATTCAATGATAAGAAAACAACAAGCCAACAAAAAATAGGGAGATTTCAGCAGACACTTTACCAAAGAAGAAAAAGAGATGAGAGACAAGCACATGAAAAGATTCTAAACATCATTAGGGAAATGCACATTTTTTTTAACTTTTATTTTAGGTTTGGGGGTACATGTGAAGGTTTGTTACGTAGTTAAATATGTGTCATGGGGTTTTGTTGTACATATTATTTCATCATCCAGGCATTAAACCCAGCACCCAGTAGTTATCTTTTTTGCTCCTCTCCCTCGTCCCACCTTTCCCCCTCAAGTAGACCCTAGTCTCTATTGTTTCCTTACTTGTGCTCTTAAGTTCTTATCATTTAGCTCCCACTTATAAGTGAGAGCATATGGTATTTGGTTTTCTGTTCCTGCATTAGTTTGCTAAGGACAATGACCTCCAGCTCCATCCATGTTCCTGCAAAAGACATGATCTCATTCTTTTTTAATGGCTGGATAGTATTCAATGGGGTATATGTACCATATTTTCTTTATCTAATCTGTTATTGATGGGCATTTAGGTTGATTCCATGTTATTGCTATTGTGAGTAGTGCTGCAATGAACATTTGCATGCATATGTCTTTAGGGTAGAATGATTTATATTCCTCTGGGTGTGTACTCAGTAATGGAATTGCTGGGTTTAATGGTAGTTCTGCTTTTAGCTCTTTGAGGAATTAATACCACCCCATACCTATTAGAATGACTAAAGTTCAAGAATGGCCACACCAAATGTTGCAAGGTTGGGGAGCAACTGGCATTCCCTCATGTGCCGGTGAGAATGTAACTGGTAAAGCCACTTTGGAAAAGTTTGGCTGTTTCTTAAAATTTTGAACATACACTTACATGATTCCACCTGAGGAATTTAACCAGAGACAAAAACATAAGTCCATGACAAAACTTGTACATGAATGTTCATAGCAACTCTCCTCGTAATAGCCAGAATCAGGCAACACCCCAAATGTCCATCAGCACATTTGTGGCTAAACATTATGGTATATCCACACCATGGAATATTACCGATCAATAAAAGAAATGGGCTTGGCTGGGCGTGATGGCTCACACCTGTAATCCCAGTACTTTGGGAGGCCAAGGCAGGCGGATCACAAGGTCAGGAGATAGAGACCATCCTGGCTAACACGGTGAAACCCCGTCTCTACTAAAAAAATACAAAAAAATTAGCTGGGCATGGTGGCAGGCGCCTGTAGTCCCAGCTACTCAGGAGGCTGAGGCAGGAGAATGGCGTGAACCCGGGAGGCAGAGCTTGCAGTGAGCCGAGATCACACCACTGCACTCCAGACTGACAGAGAGAGTGAGACTCCGTCTCAAAAAAAAAAAAAAAAAAAAAAAAAAAAGAAATGGGCTCACACAGCAATAGGGATACATTTTATTTTATTATTTTATTGTATTTAATTAATTTATCTATTTATTTATTTATTTTGAGATGGAGTTTTGCTCTGTCACTCAAGCTGGAGTGCAGTGGTGTGATCTCAGCTCACTGCAACCTCCGCCTCCCAGGTTCAAGTGATTCTCCTGCCTCAGCCTCCCGAGTAGCTGGGGCTACAGGCACGCACCACCATGCCAGGTTAATTTTTATATTTTTAGTAGAGACAGGGTTTCACCATGTTGGCCAGGCTGGCCTTGAACTCCTGACCTCAAGTGATCCACCCACCTTGGCCTCCCAAAGTGCTGGGATTACAGGCATGAGCCACTGTGCCCGGCCAAGATACATTTTAAAATAATGATATCTAATGAAAGAAGCAAGACAAAAAAGAGTACATACTATAGAATTCTATTTCCATAAAATTCAAGGAAATGCAAACAAATCTTTAGTGACAGAAAACAGGGCAAGGAGAGGTGGGAGGGAGCGGGCATGAAGGACCAGGAAAATTGTTTGATTGTAGTTGTTTTAGTTTCCTATTGCTACAGTAACCAATCATTGCAAACTTAGTAGCTTAAAACAGCACACATTCATTCCTTATCATTCTGGAGATCCAAAGTGAGTCTTACGGAGCTAAACTCAAGGTGCCGGCAGAGGTGGTTCCTTCAGAGGATCCAGGGAGATTCTGTTCCTGCCTCTTCCAGCTTCTGGAGGCTCCTGTTGTCACGTGGCCTTCTCCCTCGTTTAAGAACCCTGTAAGACCCCGATAGTCCAGGATAACCTCCCCATCCCAAGGCTCTTAACTTCCTCACATCTGCAAGTCCCTTCTACCATCTGAGGGAACACATTACGGGGTTCTGGGGGTTAGGATGTGAACATCTTTGGGGGCCATTATTTTAGCCTACCACGGTGGCAGTCTTTCCACAGGTGTATACATATGGCAAAACTTATACAGTTTATGTGCAGGGCGATTTATTTTCTACCAAATGTAAATCATATATAAATATAATTACATAACAATTATATAATTAAATTATGTAATATAAATATAAATATAATTATATCAAAATAAGAGAGAGAGAGAGAAAAATATATTTCCTTTTTTTCTTTTTTGAGATGGAGTCTCCCTCTGTCACCCAGGCTGGAGCGCAGTGGTGCGATCTCAGCTCACTGCAACCTCTGCCTCCCAAGTTCAAGTGATTCTCCTGTCTCAGCCTCCCGAGTAGCTGGGATTCCAGGCACCCACCACCACGCCCAGCTAATTTTTATATTTTTAGTAGAGATTGGGTTTTACCATATTGGTCGGGCTGGTCTCAAACTCCTGACCTCAGGTGATCCACCAGCCTCGGCCTCCCAAAGTGCTGGGATTACAGGCGTGAGCCACCGTGCCCAGCCTGAGAAAAATATGTTTTCTAGCTGCCTGTCTCTGAGCTCTGAAAAAATGCACTCAATATGATATCTGAATTATCACTCTGAGTAATTATATGAATGTGTGTGTGTGTATATATATATATATATATATATATATATATATATATATATATATACACACAATACATAATACATATATATAAAATCACAACTGCTGGCTGTTGGATCTTCTAGCAGCTCTCATCATGCGCTCATATCTACATGTACTCTGTACATCAGAGATGAAAATAAAGTTTTTGGCCGGGCGCGGTGGCTCACGCCTGTAATCCCAGCACTTTGGGAGGCCGAGGCGGGTGGATCATGAGGTCAGGAGATTGAGACCATCCCGGCTAACACGGTGAAATCCCGTCTCTACTAAAAAAAATACAAAAAATTAGCCGGGCGTGGTGGCGGGCGCCTGTAGTCCCAGCTACTCGGGAGGCTGAGTCAGGAGAATGGCGTGAACCCAGGAGGCGGAGCTTGCAGTGAGCCGAGATCGCACCACCGCACTCCAGCCTGGGGACAGAGCGAGATTCCATCTCAAAAAAAAGAAAAAGAAAAGAAAATTTTTAGTTTTGTAGTTGCATTACTGC
Source organism: Homo sapiens (assembly GCF_000001405.40). NCBI lineage: Eukaryota > Metazoa > Chordata > Mammalia > Primates > Hominidae > Homo > Homo sapiens. Next base: position 106,551,220 of record NC_000002.12, read on the forward strand.
TGCTGCAGTTTTTTATTTTATGGTGCATTCACTTCACTCAGCTTCTAAGAGGAATATAGCTTTTGCTCTTACAAAATTAAACTTTACAAACCCATTTGCTGAGTGGGATTTAAGGCATTTGTCCAGTGGTCTTGATGGATTTTCCGTGATACTTGATCCAACGCTTATTCAAAAAAATCAGATGTAAACGCATGCATAAAAATCCACTTGGGGTTATGAAGGCAATTAAAATGTTTTGACAAACTTTCCTTAGTCCTTGGGGTGATTTTGAAGTGGAATATTCATCCTGGCTGGTAGCTGCTCTCAGAGGCAGCTGGGTAGATGCAGTTGATGACGGCCTTCTAACTCCAGACCCACAGTACTGCGAGGAGGGGGCACCCTCACTGGACGCCTGGGTCAGGCTAGAGGCATGTGCTGAGCATGAGTGATGAAGGCGTGCAGCACCCATGCTCCTCTCTCCTCCTATGTGTGGGGCCTGTGTGAGCAGTAAGGGGCTGCTGGCCCTCAAGAAGGCGTCTTTTTGAAATACTCAGCATTCCTGTAGGACCATGCCCTGGAGCCCAGTCCTTAAGAGGGGGGAAAAAGGAGACTTGGAAGGCCAGCCCTCAGGACACCAATAGGTGCACAGGCTCAAGCAGCCACAGGTAAAGAAAAACATTCTGTAACACTTTGTTTCTTTGCTCAGGTTAAACTTTGACCTGGACCCGTATAGTTGAGGCCTCTCACATCCTTCCTGGTTTCACATTTCTCACTGCTCCTGTGACATCCAGCACTCACTATGTCCCTTCCCATCCCCACCAGCTTCTGTATCCTGCCCAGTGTCCTCAGAACTCGTCAACTTTCTGACCTGTTAGTTTATACAAATTTACATTAATCCTAGGCCAAGAGAGGCTAGGACTGCTTGAGAAATGATAGCCTTGGTGTTTGCGGAAACTCCATCACCAAGAGTCCCTAGGGAAATGCATCCATGGAAAGGAACGAAATTCCTTACATGGTAGGAGAGATTGTCCATTGGTTGGTCATGTCCTGGGTCTGTAGTTAAACATCACTGGAGTGCCAAATGGGCCATCAGCCCCAAGGCGGCTTCGGCTGTTGTCTCCTGGGACATCAGTACAGGACTCTGATTTGTTTTTTGTTTGGTTTTGTTTTAATGGAGTCTTGCTCTGTCACTCAGCTGGAGTGCACTGGCGAGATCTCAGCTCACTGCAACCTCCACTTCCTGGGTTCAATCGATTCTCCTGCCTCAGCCTCCCAAGAAGCTGGGATTACAGGTGTCTACCACCATGCCTGGCTAATTTTTTTTTTTTTTTTTGTATTTTTAGTAGAGATGGGGTTTCACCATGTTGGCCAGGCTGGTCTGGAACTCCTGACCTCAGGTGATCTGTCCACCTCAGCCTCTCAAAGTGCTGGGATTACAGGGATGAGCCACCGTGCCTGGCCAGTTATTCTGAGTCTGCACTTTTTCACATACCCCACAAATGGGGCTCAGTGAGCTCTGAACTGAGCTGTGTTACTTTCTCCAGCTCCAGATCTATGCCCTTCAAATCTGACGGTGCACACATCTGAATGTTTTTACCTGGAGTTGCTTGTGATGATAATTTCTATCATTACTGATAACTACACTCAAACATTTATAAATAAAGCTCATTAAGATATCGAATGGCCTCGCCCAAAGCCTCCTGGTAGCTTATGTTTTATGTAGAAGTTCAGCTTGTTGATTCGGGTATATGTTACAAATGCATACTCACCTTCATCCTTTATCTGCGTGTCTGTGACTGGCACTGTAATATTTTGTGAATCTTGCTTTTCTGCACTTTTCCCTCTCTTCTCCAGAAACTTCTCCTGGAAAGGCCCTTTCTGAGCACTCACCCCGTCATTCTTGATGGGCCTGTTTCACATCCTCTTCCCAGCTGTTGTCATGTCTTTTCCTCCTCCCGTTTCATGCTCACATTGCTCCTGTGACCTGGTGACTCCCTTTAACACCAGGGGTGACAAAGAGCATCCTAAATTCATGGAATGTCTTTTATCTACGACTTGGGAAGCTGAACTGTCTTGATGAAGCATGACATCCTAGGCAGAATCTCAGGGTAGCATGAACGGCTGTGCTTCTTTATTTTTTCTTCTAAAGGGTTAAACATTTTCCAAGTTGGCTGCCATCAGCATGGGCTGGTTTATGCTGTGACTTTCTTTTTCTAGGAAGATTAATGCCAGAGCCATTTATCTGTGACGATACCTTTGAAGAGAAACAAATGAAAAAGTGGAATTTCAGTCCAATCTAGTCTAACGAATTCAATCTGTTGCAGAAATAACATGGGGAAGCAAGGGAATGAACACTTGCTGGGCAGACGCATCAATCATCTGAATCGTGCCACTGAGCCGGACTATAACTATAGCAAGAACGAATCTAACTATAGTCTTATTAGGTGAAAGACTGGATTCTATTTATCTTTTTATGTAGAGCCAACTCAAAAGCTTGCAAGACTCAAGCACCTTTTCTGTTCTCTCTCGGGCTTTGAAAAACTGTTCCCATTATCAATTCAGTATACCCTTAAGGCAAATTTGTCCAACCCGTGACCGTTTGGCCCAGGATGGCTTTGAATGCAGCCCAACACAAACTCGTAATTTTTCTTAAAGCATTACGAGAGTTTTTTGCGACATTTTTAAGCTCATCAGCTATCATTAGTGTTAGTGTATTTTACGTGCGGCCCAAGACAATTCTTCTTCTTCCAGTGTGGCCAAAGGAAGCCAAAAGATTGGATACCCCTGCTTTAAGGTAAGAATTTGGGTTGCCAGTTGGTTGGTACGATTATTCAACTGGCATCCATAATGGTTTCTGGAACACAGAAGATGCACAATGTATTAGCTCCATTCTTCCTTCCCTTGCTTTCTTGCCCTCTGAGGCCAGAAATCCCAAGAGGTAGTGGCAGTCACACCTGGACCAGAGCTCTGAAGAGATGGGTTCTCACCTGAGCTCTGGCTCTCACTGCAGGAATGATCTTATGCAAGGTGTCTTTCCCCCATTCTTTTGTGCAATTGGGATCTGCATAAGTCAGTGGTTCTCAAAGGGGGCAATTTTGTCCTTCTGGGGAAAATGGCTGGAGATATTTTCAGTGTTCACAACTGTATGCGGGGAGAGTGTCCTACTGACATTTAATGAGCAGAGACCAGGGAAATTGCTGAACATCCTACAGGGCACAAGACAGCCCTACAACGGAGGGCTCTCCAGCCCCCAGTGTCAATAGTGCTGAGGAACCCTGGTGTGACAGTAAACGATCACCACTGGAATCATTTACAGTCATGCACTGACTAATGACGTGGATACATTCTCAGAAATGCAATTTTGTCATTCTGTGGACATCACAGAGTGAACTTACAAAGACCTAGATGGTATTGTCTACTACACACCTCAGCTGTACAGGCTGTACTCTGTCCTATTGCTCCGAGGCACAAACGTTTACAGCATGTGACCGTACTGAGTACTATAGGCAATTATAACACAATGGTAAGAATTTGTGTATTTAAACCTAACTAAGCCTAGAAAAGGTACAGTAAAAATATGACATTATAATCTTATTTGACCATGGTCCTATATGCAGTTCATTGTTACGTGGCACATTACTATACTACAAAGGGAAGGTGTGGATTCCTACTATGTAGCAGGTGCTGTACTAGATATTTAAATCTTACTTGATTTGATTTTCACAAAACTCTGCAAGTGTGGATATTAGTGTTCCCATTTTATAGATGAGGCACCTGAAGCTCAGAGAGACTAAGCAGTAGTCATATCACTAGCATGAGTTGCAGTCGAACTTGGAGCTGTTTTCATTAATTTGATGATAAAGACTTTGAAGCATGCATGTGTTTGGTGGTGCTTATAGAATCATAGACCTCCAGAACCAGAAGGTATCTTGAAAGTAGTTGGTTAGTCAGATGTCCTCGTTTTACAGATGGAGAAACTGAAGCAAAGAGGTTTACTCTATAACAGAGCAAGAGCCAGAGTCTGGCCTGGAGCCCATGGCTCAGCTAGGAGAGGGACCAAGCCTTCTAACCAGTGCTCTCTGGGGTGTGTCTGCCTGTAAGAAGACATGGAGTGGGAACACTTGTTTCTCCTAGCAGGCCTGAATTGCCTCTTTATTGCTAGCCAGGCAAATTCCCACTGTAACAGGCCATGGCTGGGTTTCTGGAGGTGGTGGACAGGTTTTCACTTTGGAGCCCTCTAAACAGGTAGTCTTGGCTTTGCAGGTGTTCTTGGACAAGGCTCACACATGCTGCAGGAGAGTGCCTCTGCTGGTTCAGATGCTGTCCCTTAGGACACATCCTTGGCTCTTCCCTACCTCTATCCTTTCGCCTGCTTTCTCACTCCCCACCTTGCATCCCTCTCTATGCCCTCCAACTCTGACTTGCAAAATAGACCAAGGAGACAGGTTAGGAAGAACTTCTGGGAGCAACACGGAAAAAAGTACGTTTTTGGAATCTGGGTCACTATCGTAATCTGCTGCAGATAATGAGCAGTGAATGTGTGTTTGATGAGATGGGACTTCTTCCCCTTAGGTCTGAAGGAACTCATTTGGAGAACAGGCATGCAGATGCCCTGAGAGCTCGGTGCCACACGATGGACACACAAATGGAGATATGGCTTCCACATGCTGTGTTCCCACACCTCTCATATTTCAGACGCAGTGCTTTGCCCTTCATCCATTAACTCGCATTCTTTTTCTCTTCTGTCTCCCTCCATTTGGGATGATCAAAATTTTATTTCTGGATGAGCTCCTTTTTGCCCACTCTAAGAGTTAAATACCTTTGCTGACACTGAATTTGGAAACACAGACTTAGGGAAATTTTTCAGAAAGACTGCTTTAAGAGTAATTTTTTTTCCCAACAGACAACACAGAAGTAGAATTTTATTTACTTGCTTTTGCTATTATTAGCCATTTATATCATATCATAACTTATGAATAAGACATTAAGATGAGCATTGTAAACGAATGCTACCAATTGCATAAGAGAGAATCCATTCATTTTTGCTAGCTTGTATTGTTTTCTGTGTTTCCACCATACAATTAGATGTAAAATAGAAATACAATTCTATTGCATTAAAGAGTAATACTTGTTTATATGTTACTATGTGATAGGCATATAATTAAAGCTTAAAAAATTTTTGCTGAATTAAATTGAATGTAATAAGGAACATTTGAAAAACACAGAAAAATAAAATTTTTAAAAATATAAAGTTTTCCATCCCTATTAAATAACCAATATAAACATTTTGGTGTATATCCTTTAACTCTTGTCCCTATGTGTGTATCTGTATCCATATCTCTAACTCTATCTGTAGCTCTATCATCTCTACACGAACACACACACACACACACACACCAACACTTACAAGATTAACAAATGTGGTATCATAGTTTATAAAATGTGTAGTATTATAACATTTATAAATGTTGTAGTATAGTGTAGGAGCTCTACATGAGATAATGCATGGTTTATTTTGTATGATTCATGTTGCATCCTGAGAATCTCATCCTTAGCTCAAACCATGGGATTAGAAGTTAGACAAATCTGGATATAATATTGAATAAGTTTTTTGACTTCTTTGTATCTGTTTCTTTATTCCTATAAAAATGGGAATAATAATACTCACCACACATTTTTGTGAAGATTAAATGAGATAATGAAAAGGCATGAAAAGCCCTTAGCACAGTGTGTGGAACTTAGAAGTTTTTCCGTATTATTAAAAGGTCACTGATGCACTTCCATGTATATATATCTTCAGCCTCATCTCTTTATGTTTTATAAGCATTGATTCCTGGAAGTAGAATTGTTGAATCAAAGGAGATAATATTTTCCCCAGAGAACTCAAGAGGGAGAAGAGGGAGCAAACTGGAAAAGTCCTAAATGCCAGGGAGGAGGGGGTGAAGTTGGCAGGATAGAAGAGAAGCTGATGTTAAGTCCAAGGCCTTTAAAAAGATATCAAAGAGATGGATTTTGGAATGGGGTGGGGTGAAGGTGAAATCTGTGATTTTTGATAAGATCTCTTAATTTTCTTTTTTCTTTTTCTTTTTTTTTTTTTCTTTTTTAGGTGGAGTCTTGCTCTGTCACCCAGGCTGGAGTGCAAGGGCGCGATCTCAGCTCACTGCAAGCTCCGCCTCCCAGGTTCACGCCATTCTCCTGCCTCAGCCACCCGAGTAGCTGGGACTACAGGGGCCCACCACCACGCCTGGCTAATTTTTTTGTATTTTTAGTAGAGACAGGGTTTCACCGTGTTAGCCAGGATGGTCTCGATATCCTGACCTTGTGATCCACCTTCCTCGGCCTCCCAAAGTGCTGGGATTACAGGCGTGAGCCACTGAGCCCGGACAATTTTCTCTTTTCTAAAGTTAAATAAACAAGTTAGTTTATTTTATAAATCGTGTTGCCTCCTGAGAATCCCATCCTTAGCTCAAACCATGTTCTTTTCACTTCCCAATGATGAAGGTAACGAGAGAGCATTGAGTATTCTCCCCTTTTCCAGGACCCCCTATGTAAAAACTTGGTGTTCTGAGAAGGTTAATTTGTCACTGAGAAGGGGTTCACCGACTATTCTTTAATTCAGCTTTTAACAAGAGAGTGTCATTTTCATGAAAACAAAAGCATCCCTGCTGCTGATGGAAGCTTTCCATCTTGTGTTTATGCTGATGGTTGTCCCCACCCGCCTGGCCTAGTTATTTCACACTCAGATAAACTATGCAAGCATTCGGGATGGGCTGCAAGGCAGTGCCCGCTCCTTTTTATTTGCTGCCATGGCTGGTCAATTGGGAGCAGAGTAGATGGTCTGTGGTCCCAATTGTGGTGGTCTGTGCCCTGTTAGGATGTTAGGATGGTCTGTGGTCCCAATTGTGGTGGTCTGTGCCCTGTTAGGAACCAGGCCACACAGCAGTAGTTGAGTGTCAGGTGAGCAAGGAAAGCTTCATCTGTATTTATAGCTGCTCCCATGGCTCACATTATCACCTGAACTCTGCCTCCTGCCAGATCAGCAGTGGCATCAGATTCTCACAGGGGCACAAACCCTATTGTGAACTGCAAGCAGGAGGGATCTAGGTTGCGCGCTCCTTATGAGAATCTAATGCCTGATGATCTGTCATTGTCTCCCATCACCCCCACATAATATCATCAGTTGCAGGAAAACAAGCTCAGGGCTCCCATTGATTCTGATTCCACATTATGGTGAGTTGTATAATTATTTCATTATATATCACAATGTAATAATAATAGAAATAAAGTACACAATGAAAGTAATGCACTGGAATCATCCTGAAACCATTTTCTAGCCCTGGTCCGTGGAAAAATTGTCTTCCACTGACAACTCCCTCCACCTCCATGCCCCCATTTGACAGGTGAGAAACCCAGGTGCAGTGTGATTTGCTGAAGGTGAGTCTATTCCTGGCAGAGTTGGAATGGTGACTCAGGTGACCTTCACAAAAACTACCTGGGTTTATCCCAGTTGCAGACTTTTTTCCCTAAGTCCTTTTGGAAAAGGTGCTTGGTAGCCCGGTGCTTAGATTTTCTTTCTGTAACAACTTGCATAACTGTGGTATTATGGGATTTTGTGGGAAGTTCTAGATTAGTGCCTGGCACCTAGGGTGCACTCAGTGTTAATTAGGTTTATTATTACAGCAGCGGTTTTCAATTTTTTGATTTATTGATTTGTTCATTATTTATTTTTCATTTTTTATTTATTTCAATTGTTGCTCCAACTGTGGGACCAACCTACTCATCAACATTTTTTTTTGGAACGAAGGCCCAATGTCTACACAGAGTAAAGGTGGATGTGACTGGAATCCTTGCTGCCAGAGCATCTGCCTCTTCCTCCTCCTCCTCCTCCTCCTCCTCCTCTCACAGCCCTGATGAGGCCTGGCTGTGTCAGAGACTGTGACTTGGGCCTACTGGCTTGATTTTAAACTGCCGTTTGTGTGTGATGCCTACCTCTGGGACTTCACCTCTATCCAAGTGATCCTGTTTATTAAAGATAGCATGGAGTGGAACGGAACTGGCCTAAAGTTGTGGTTTGCAAATGTGGCTGCCCATTGGGATCTCCTGGATGGTGTAGAATATGTCCCGGTCCCACCTCTGGAGGTTCTGATGTGACTGGTCTTAGGTGCACCCTGGGCACTTGGATTTTTTAAAGCTCCCAGGTGTTTGTAAAGTACAGCCAGTGTTCAGAATTACTGGCTTTGATCAATAATTTTCTACCTCAGCTGTACACTGAGATCACCTGGGATCTTAAAAAATAAGTGCATGACTACCTGAATCCTACCAAGGGAGATTCAGATTCAAAAGGCATACAGTTGTGCAGGGGACCCAGGGCCTCCTTCCTCCCTTCGTTCATCCGTTCCTTCCTTCCATTTCTTTTTTTTTCCTTCCTTCCTTCCTTCTCTTCCTTTCGTTTCCTTCCTTCTTCCTTCCTTCTTTCCTTCCTTCCTCCTTCCTGCCTTCCTTTCCCTTCCCTTCCCTTCCCTTCTCTTCCTTCCTTCCGAAGTAAAGTAGAAGTTCCTCTTCAAAGACTTTCCTCCCCATCTAATTAGGAATAAATAGTAACTTCTTTTAGAAGCAAAATTTATTCAAAGACCTGTGCTAACATTATTAAATATCTGCTAGCCACAATAAAGAAATCAATGTACTTTATGTTCTTGGCTCCCACAGTTTAGCCTAAATATTTGTCCTGGCATGCTTATACTGGTCCAAGCAAGCATTAGGTCATAGCCTGTTCCTCTTCCTTATTTGTAGATGTTTTTACCTTTCTCAGCATTCCACAAGTTACTTCCTCCTTCCTTTGTTCTCCTCTGCCTTTGCCTCTTTTAAAAAGTTCTAAGTTGCTAGCCAATCGGGACAAATACAGAATGTGAAGTCCCATTCTAGCCAGTGGAAACTGGATACAGCAGTAGAGTGGACGCGTCAGGTTATAAATGACCCTGTCTCCTTTGTTCGATGTACTGTCATGGCTAAACTGCTGGCGAGTGTAGCCTTTCTGCAGAAAGTAAAAATGGCCTTGCTGAGGAAATTAAACTTATGTTCAAGGGCTACTTCTTTATGGCACCAGGGAACAAGCATTTCTAACACTTCCCTCCCTCCCTCCCTCCCTCTTTTTTCCCAGGTGATTATACCCTGGGGCATGCATTGGAACACTTGGTGGGCTTGTCAAAACACAGATGCTGGGGCCCCTTGTCAAGAGTCCTTGATTCACCGCTGAACCCAGGAGGTGGAGGTTGCAGTGAGTTGAGATCACACCACTGCACTCCAGCCTGGGTGACAGAGTGAGACTCCATCTCAAAAAAAAAAAATTAAAATTAAAATTAAAAAAGAGTCCTTGATTCAGTAGGTCTGGGGTAGGGCTTAAGAATTTTAATCTCGCCAAGTTCCCAGGTGAGGCTGCAAGTGCTGACTGGGGCCCCATTTTGAGGACCCTGGGATGGAAGATGAATGCGGTTTGAGAGGGAGTGAGGGGGTGCATCCTAACCTTCCTTAGGACTTGCTCCTGGCATCAAGGGTGCCAAGGAGGGATGCCATCCTCCTGTTCCTCCACCACATGCCTCCTTGGGTCACAGCACTCTAACCTGTATGGCTTGGGACCAGGTGTCATTTCCAGTGATCTCACCAACTCTGATGGAAAACCTAGTACAGATCCTTCAGGCTGATTCTCCTCTGGGAAAATGTATTGTAGAGATCAACTTTAGCTTATCCTTGGCATAGATCTAGCTCCAGCCAAAAATGCTTTCCCAACAATGGCAGTGTTTCCGGGTGTCAGCAGGGATATGTTTGCCTTGGGAAGTTTAGAGAAAGGTCAGAGTAGTCAGTGGTCAGAAAAGTAAGCCCAGATACTACAGGCTCACAGGGGCAGGCAGGCTACCAGAGCAGGGCCCAGCAGCAGACAGAAAGGGGGAACCATAGAAGACAGGTAGCTTTCAGCAGGTGGACGGTGTGAAAAGAAGACAGAGCAGACACCCAACGTGTGCCAGGGAGGACTTGGGCTACTTCGGAATCCAGTCACACAGGAACGTGAGCAGCTTGACTTGGGGATAAGACAGAGACAAAGGAACAAGGACATGAGGCAGGGGCTCTGTTATTGAAAATCTGGCCCACAGAGGGTGGGAGCAGGATCAGCATCCACATCTCAGAGCCAGGGACGGGGTGGAGAGCACAGAGTTCAGGGTTTGGCCGGGCATCCTCTAAGCACCTGCCAGTTATCATGCACATTCATGAGTACCTTGTGTGCACGATGTGAGCATATGTGGTGTGTGCGTTCTGGCAGCCTGCTGGCTGTGGTTGTGTGGAAACAGTATGCCCTGCACTTCTGCAGTGAGCAGCTGTTGGCACACTCTGGCAGCCCGTCAATCCAGGCAGCCTGAACGATGACACAGGTCCCTCCCATTCACACCACCCCAGCTGCCAGCACAGGAGAGATTTACGAGTGCCCAATGCTGGCACCATTTGCAGGTCCCATTTGCTTTTAAGAGGCCTTGTTAGTAACCGCCCCTCCCAATGTGCCATTATAGACGTGCCCACTGGACTAAGGTTGTCTTCAGAAGGGCCCTGTCATGATACCAGTTTCCCATGGTGTTTGTTCTGTGGCAGTGGGGAAGTCAGCACACATAGAAAGCATCATGGAAAAGGAAATAGTTGAAATGGTTCTTCCAGGATGAGAGGTTTTTCTGCTGACAATGAACATTCGCTATATTAGCACAGTTTGGTTCATCAGTGTTTTGACACCTTGAGCTTGCCATTTGGACGAGATCGCATTTGTCTGTGTTTCTAAATCAGTGGATCTCAACAGGGGACAATTTTCTCTCAGGGCTATTTGGCAATGTCTGGAGACACTTTATTATTATCATAACTTGGCAGCAGAAGCGTACTACTGGCATCCAGTGGGTAGAGGCAAGAGATGCAGCTAAACATCTTGCCAGTGCCCAGCACAGCTCTTGTAGCAAAGAATTATCCAACCCAAATGTTAATAGAGGATGAGAAATTCTGTTCTAAACAGAGAGAATCTTACATATGTCAGGTTAGTAACAGAGAATCTTACATTTGATTTCTGATGGGTTCTCAGTGCAGACTTGTGTTGTGTTTTTAAACTGTTATCTGTTTTGAGTCTATAACACGGCTTACCAAGTACAACTGTGTCCTACTCAATAAGCTGAAGGAGTTGGCAGACTATGGCCGGTGGGCCAAATCCGGCCTGCCAAGTGCTTTTGTAAACAAAGTTTTCTTGGAACAGAATCATGCACATTGCTCTATGTCTTGTTGATGGCTGTTTTTATGCTGCAACCTCAGAGTTGAATAGTTGCAACAGAAACCATATGGCTAGCAAAGCCTAAAGTATTTTCTACCTAAACCTTTGTAGAAAAAATGTACTGACCCCTGGGTAAAGGGATATGTTAAATCGCTTTCTTTTGGTCAAAACACAGCCATGAAGGAATAATCTTTGACTATAGCTCTAAGCACAAGTCTGCAATCTTTTGTAAGATTACTTTTTATGTTCTTCAAAATCACTTTCTAGTCTCTCTGACCTTCTTTTGACTTATTTGGAAAAGAAGGCTTGGATGTTCTTTCTTCCTTAGGTCGGGGGATTAATGTAACCCAAGACCTCTCTTACCAGCTTTCCCCAGCTCAGCACTGCACCCAGCCGAACGGGAAGGAACAGGCACAGGAGAGCATTAATCACTGGGATGAACTGGGGAACTGGCTCCTCAGAACTTGTTAGCTGAAAATTGCTGGTCTTGTCAGCCTCAACTTGTTAGCTGAAAATTGCTGTACTCGTCAGCCCCAAAAGGTGGCTCTGCACGTTAGAGTATGAGTTTCAGCCACACAGACCTAGCTATGCCTGTTGGGCTTCCAGGCATCTTAGGGCCTGTAATTAATTGGGTGCTATGTAGGATGTGGATCTGTTTTGGGGCAAGCATCAATTTGGGAAATGGATGGGTCTATCTTTGTAGAGACAGCTTCAATTTTACAATTTCATTGGGAGTGACATCTGGACCCAATTTTTCAAGGTCTTTCAAGTCAAACCCATGTGAGGAGCTTATTCACTCACTCATGAATTAATTTTAAAAGTACTTAGTGCAGAGACAAAGTAAAAAGGAGCTCACAGGCCAGTATGGGAGGAGACAGGTAATATTCACAGAGTGGTCATTCAGTTGGTGACCACAGTGGGGCATAGTGGGCAAAGGAAAGAGACGCTGAGGCACTGAAGGGGTCTGGGAGGATGGGGAAGGCTGTGGCAGATGCCAGGAAGGTCTGTAAAAGTCTGAAAGGAGACTTTAATGAGAAGGAGAGGAGTGGCGCCCAGAAGCCTGGCCTCTTCTGCAGTCACCTACCATATTGGATTTACACTGGTCCTTGGTCCTGCAGCCTCGGAAACTTGATCCCTCGGCTCCCGGAGTTGACCAGTCCTAGGTGTGGCATGAGCTCACGAGGATGAAGCTCACAGGAAACAGTTCTCGGAGGGCGCCATTCCTGCCCCTTCCACCACCTACCGCACCTACTACCAATGAATTGTCTTCAATTACATGCAACAGATAGTGGAGGGATTAACCCTTGAAGTTGTTATAATTTCTATTGTACAATTTAGTTTACTCAAGTGATGTCCAAAACAGCAGCATACTGACAACAGGAGGGCAAGGGCAGGAAGAGGGTACAGACAGCCCCGAAGAAGAGGAAGGAGAGGCAAGGTGGCACTGCAGGGGAGATGGATCCAAAAGTGAAGCCCCAGAAGGAGGCTTTGTCTGCTCATGTGTTCATTTTATTCTGGGCTCAAGAATGTGGAACAGCACCATGGCCTTGCCATTGAACAAACAGTCCTCTCTCCGTGTAAATTTCAGAGGATTTTTCTTTGAGGTTGAGTAAATCAAAGGGAAATAATAAAATCATGTTTGGAAATTGTAATAATAAAAAATTCAAGCCAAGTTAAACGCCTGGAATATTGAACATGGATATTCACCTGGGAACATCCCACATTTTCCCTTTCTTAAGAATAACAAATGAAAAATCTAAAAAGACAAGTAACAGCATATAAATAAAGTTTACTTTGATTCTTCCATCTACTGAACTTCTCTCTGAAGTTCACAGAGGACTATAATTAACACAGAGGAAGGAAGTACATTTAAGTAGCTTTTAAGAGATAAATCTTTGAAATTCTTAGTGAAGAAAATCTAGAGTTCTGCTATTTCCAGTTAGCCTTGAAAAAAAAAGTCCACTTATTAGTTTAATCAACAGTTTGTAAAAGGCCAACCATTCCAGGGCAAAAGCATTTAATCAAAGCAACAGTATTCAACTAGCAGCAAATGGGAAATTCTACACAAAAGGGGAAAAGTCAGATAATTCAGACACAGGAGTGCAGTAAAATTCTAATGTGGGGATAAGTTTAGTGCTAACTAGTTCACTGCTAACTAGTTCACTGCGAGTATAGAGAAAGTAACTCAGAGAGATGTCTGATAATTACGTTGAACAAAATTGTTGTTCATGGACAATTGGGCCAAAATTTTTGTTTATTTACTTTAATCATGAACTGTTACATAATGGAATAAATTTAAAGTTCTACAACGTTCCATCTGCTGCATTCAGATCTTTACCAATGAGCTACTCACATTGTTTAAGACTGGACGATTTGTGAAATGAGTTAATGCATGATATAATTCATTTTAATTTTGTTTGTTTGTTTGAGACGGAGTCTTGCTCTGTTGCCCAGGCTGTAGTGCAGTGGCATGATCCCGGGTCACTGCAACCTCCGCCTCCTCGGTTCAAGCGATTCTCCTGCCTCAACCTCCCAAGTATCTGGGATTACAGGCGCCTACCACCATGCCCTGCTAATTTTTATATTTTTTGTAGAGACAGGGTTTCACTATGTTGGCCAGGCTGGTCTGGAACTCCTGACCTCAGGTGATCTGCCCTCCTTGGCCTCCCAAAGTGCTGAGATTACAGGCATGAGCCACTGCACCTGGCCTCATTTTGAATTAAAAAGTTCTAAAATATCTCTTATCCATTAAAATTAGACCAAAGGGCTTATAATTACCTCATTTCCAGAAACACTTAGATTATCTTATGAGCTCATTCCATCTTAATGTTAAATAAGGCTTTTCATTAATTAGTCAAACAACTAATTTATTCATGCATGAATCCAACCAGTATTTATTAAATACCTCTGCTGGGTGCAACTCCATGTCAGGGGCCCAGGTGCTGCCGGGCACAGGATGGGTGGGAGTGACCCTGTGGTCGGGAACATCACCTTGAAATGTGGGGAGCACCTTACACTTTCAGGGGCAGCAAAACTAAAATCATATGTTGAAAGGTTCCATTTTTAAGTAAGAGTGTTGTGTCCCCAAGGAAGCTATCTCAGAGCTCCCTGACACTCAAGCCAGTAAGCTGCGCTGGTACCTAGAGAACAGCAGACCCACAGTGGGTTTATATTTATCCATGGGGGAAAAAAGAAAAGAACATTTGTTATCAGCCTAATCTTGCTGAAGTTTGCCTTCCTGGTTGTACTTCTGGTTATGTGCTTTCTTTTTTCTTTGAACAATACAATAGAATCCTAGGGTTTTGATGTCAGTGTAGAAACTGACTTTGAAAGCCAGCTGACTCAGCCTCTCTTTCAAAGCAAGAATTTCACCTCAGTATCTCAGGTGAATAACCATGCTCTTTACTTTATGAAGCAGAATGTTTCTTCTCTTTTTCTGTTTCCGTTTTAAAAAACAGTTCCAATTTTTCTAAAAAAGGGTTTCTCTAGATTAAATAAAAATCTCTGCAACTTGGACTGAGTAATGCTGCCTAGGAATGAATATTTCAAATCAAATCCATGTGAAAACCTTTCAAATGTATTGTATGGGACATGTTTTATTCATTTTTTTCCAGGCCAGCATCTTGTAGGTTGGAGACCCTTGCCCCCTCCTTGGTAACGCCACTGTGTTTACGCTTTGGGGGCTGTCCCTCTCCCAGTCGCTGTAGGCACAGGGATGAGCCAGCAAATGAGACGATGTCATCGCCCTGGCCACATGACTGGTCTAATAAAGAGAACATGACTCACAGGAGCCTCTCAGTGTTACCATAAGTAGCTTTGCTGGAGCCATCTGGAAACATGTGTCCCACAGTGATGGAGGGGGCTGTGATCCTGGAGCTGTGGTGGTCTTGTTTTCTGCCATGTAGAACGTGTCTGCCTGAAATGGAAGCAGAGTGAAAGGTGAAGAAGAGAGGGGAAGGAAGTAGGGAGGGAGGGAAGGTGAATTTGAGAGAGCACCTAAGGGCTTGGATCTTTCTATGCTCATATTAGTCCAGAGTTTGGGGGTCCTTGAGCTGGTAGATTTTTCCCTCTCAGGTTAGATTCTGGACACTTGAATCCAAGAGTTATGCCTAACACTCAATGACTGCAGCCCCTATGCTCCACTACATCTTCTCTTTCCTTCCTTCCTTCCTTCCTCCCTCCCTCTCTTCCTTCCTTCCTCCCTTCCTCCCTTCCTCTCCCCTTCCTTCCTTCCTTCCTTCCTTCTCTCTCTCTCTCTCTCTCTTTCTTTCTTTCTTTCTTTCTAGGCAGGCTCTGGCTCTGTTGTCCAGACTGGAGTGCAATGGCATGATCTTGGCTCACTGCAACCTCTGCCTCCTGGGCTCAAGTCATCCTCCCACCTCAGTCTCCCAAGAAGCTGGGACCACAGGCACACACCACCACGCCTGGATAATTTTTGTATTTTTGTAGAGATAGGGTTTTGCCATGTTGGCCAGGCTGGTCTCAAATTCATGAGCTCAAGTAATCCACCCACCTCAGCCTCCCAAAGTGCTGGGATTACAGGCTTGAGCTGCTGCACCCGGCCTTCAACCTGTGCTAATATAAGAGGATTCTGACCTTTTACTTTTCTGATAGTTTCTCCTCGGAGAAGAGCTAACTGGTTAGATTTCTTCTAAAAATGTGCCCAGCATCAAGCACAATAATCCAATCATGTTTCACCTCCCTTCATGTTCCATGATTTTCCCACTTAGAGAGAAGTTGGAAGCAAAATAGCAGCTGAGCAGTTGTACTTTCTTTTTCTTTTCTTAGCCCCCATTGGTGGTCCTTTTTCCCATTGGTTTTCTTTGATCATATCTAATTGAGGGCTTTTGAAGGCCCATTGCTTTTTCAACAAGTTTCCATTATTTTGAGGTCCCAGTTTTCCTGAAACAATTCATTTCACTGCTCTTCATTTGCATTTGCGGTGGGTCAAATATTCTATGTTCATTTTTTACACGTCTCTTTTATTCCTAAGCATTTCAGAGGTCTTCTTGATTCAATGACATTTTCTGCTTTGGGTATCTTCACTCCTCATTTCCTCATTGGGATAATATTTATTTGTAGAATCAGAGTTTTGGGGGTTTTCTTTAAGACCTTTTAATGACTCGAGGTTTTTTTCTGTCTTGGACTTTCTAGGCATGGGCTTATACTTTAATGTGTTTCAGAAAGTCTTGAAACCTGCTATATTAGTTAGGTTAGCTTGGGCTATGCCCCACCCTAACACACAAGCCCCAAGTCATACAACAGTACACAGAAGAGTGTGTTCTCCCTTCACTGTGGGTTTGGTCGGCTCCTCAAAGCCATGTCCTCCATACAGAGACTCAGGGACCCAGCTTCTTCCACCTTTTTTGCTCTGGCCAGAGACATGTCAGAGTAAGGCATGGCTTCTTCACCACCTCCACCTGAAAATGACCCGTGCCATTTCTGCCCACCCTTCCTTGGACAGACCTAGTCATATGGCCTCCCAAGTGCAAGGGGGCTGCCAGTACCATTTTCTGAGTTCCAGAATAATGGGAAAGCTGCTGGTGGTGAGTACTCATCTTGTCTACTCTGGTTCATGTTTGACTACACCCAGAGTTCCCTCCTTTTACTATTATCCAACCTAAGATGACAGGCCCCTTTCTCTCTAAATGTTCATGTTGGCACATTTGCTTAAACCTGGGTTCTCAGTAGCAAGACCTTTTTTTGCTTCCCAAACACTCCTGAGAGTAGACTGCTGGCATACCTTTCTGTTGAGCAAATTAGGGCTTCCAGAGATATATGGTTTGTTGCACTGCTCCAGCACTACCTCCCTTGTCCCTTTGCCAGATGTGTTATTTTTAGGGGACTCTGAAGCAGACTGCTCAACTCCTTCCAAAGGACTATGGCCCTTACCTATGCCCCAACTGGTAGCAGGGGCCCTGCCACCCAGGCAGACCCCCCAATGCTGCAGCTCACCTGCCTTACCTGTCGAGCTCCAACAGCCCAGGATTCCCATCAATATGCCCCAAATTATTCTCTTGCCTTCACTGTGTACCATTTTCCTGGCCCATGAACAGACCTCACTGAACTGATCTGACTACAAGTTTTACCTGCTTGACTGTACCACCTCCGTCAACGCTGGCTTTTGCATCATTTTTCCTAAATGCCAACGCTTCTTGGGGTGCTGGCTGTGTTCTCAGCTCTCCTGCATCATGCAAGTCCTGAGTGTTCCTGCAGGACTCTCAGAAGCGTTATCACTTGAGAAAAAGCTAGTATCTCCTTGGGATAGACTGAACGCTGCCTTCTCTATACCTGATGTGTATAATGTCACCTGGAAGAACAAAGCCATCAGCCTGCATTTCAACTAGACACCGGGGGTAGGATCAGGGGTAGGACTTGGGGGACACCTTGTCAAATAATTTAATTGGATTCTTACAAAAAAGGAATCAGAATCTCCCGCTGAGTCTCTCTGTGGCTATGGACTGGCCCTTTAGAAGTTTCTGCTTGGCTGATTCAAGTTCTTTTCTTATTTCTAGCACCCAGTCAGCAAATTTGAAAATGTACCAAAGACAAAAGAAAAGGAACCACTCCTGCTCTCCAAAATCCTGTGAAGTCTTGTGAAGTACTAACTGCACTGTGGGCAAGGTGGCCTCAAAGAGCGAGGACTGGTTAGGAAACTGTTCTCTCCTTAAGGGGATGGGAAAAATGGCTACTTGCCATTGGAAAGAGGGTGTGTGTGTGTGTGAGAGAGAGAGAGAGAGAGAACGTGTGTGTGCATATGCGCCTGTATGTGTGCATGAGTGTGTGTGTGTGCGCGCGTGTGTGTGCACATATATGTATGATGACAGCAGTTACCCTCTGGACAACTGGAAGAAAAAGGTAGCAAAGTCACTGAGCTATAACCCACGTGCAGGTGGGGCCTCAGAGGGGACTGACTTGGCGTGCCTGTGCCCACCCTGAAGGACTCCAGCTGTCAAAAGCCATCTTGCTGTATTTGCAGGTCAAGTGTACTGTGCCAGAGAGAGTAAATCAGACTTGGGGACACATACGCTGGATTTGAGAGTGGAGGGTTAAAGAAAGGAGGCCATCTTGGAGAGCAACCGCGGCCTGGGAACAGGGTGAGAGCTGAGAGCATGCATCACATTCCCAGTACCAGTTGTTGGAAGCCATGAGCCATCAGGAGACTTAGAACCATCTGACCTTCAGGATTGATCACTAACCTGCGGAAGGAAGGGTGATGTTCAATGTTTGAATTTTCCACCTTATTGAAATTAGACTTGTCTGCAACATTGCTGAACTAAGAATTAGTTAATTCATATGAAACACCTCTCATGATGATTAACATAGGTGGTAGCCACTGCAGTTGAAGATTATCTGGAAGTTTACATATAAGAAGGATCCAAGCAAAAATTGTTCTAAAATATTTTTCAATGTGGTCATCCTTTTCCATAGCTCCTGCTTATTGACTGTGTGGCCTACAGGCTGCCCGTGTCCATCTGGGGGTTGGGGGGACCCTGATCTAATCAACACGGACAGGACAGCCTGGGTCAAACTGGCTCTCTCTGAGGTGATTGAAGGCTGCTGGACTCACACGTTCCGTGGCGCGAAGTCCAAGTGCACACGAGGGCATATGGGGCGCTATGGACTGAATGTTTGGGTCCCCCCCCAAAATTCATATGTTGAAACGCTGCCCTCCAATGGGATGGTATTGGGAGGTGGGCCTTGGGAGCTGATTGGGGTGAGATGAGGTCATGAGGAAGACACCCCATGATGGGATTAGTGTCCTTATAAAAAGAGAAGGCACCTGGAGCTCTGTCTCAGCCCTATGAGGGTGCAGCTAGAAAGCGGCCACCCACAGCCCAGGAAACGGGCTCTCCCCAGGCGTGGAATCTGCTGGCACCTTGATCCTGGACATTGACCTCTGGAACTAAAGAATACATGTTTGTTGTTTAAGCCTCTAGTCTACAGTAATTTGTTATAGCAGCTGGAGCCTATTAAGATGTGGGAGGAGAGCCCTGAAGGAGTGGGACCTTAAGAAAGGGACATGGTCAGCGTGGCTAGAGAGAGAGGCAGGAAACAGGTGAGAGAGGCCAGGGAGACTGGGGAATTCTGATTGCAGAATACATGATTCTGCAAGACTGGCTCACTGGAAGAACTTCCACTTTAGCCCTAGAGGGAGATGAGCTGTGAGTGGTTTGAGCAGGGGAACATGAGTGACTGCATTTTTAGGAGCTCATGGTTGTTGCTTTCTTGAGGACAGCCTCCAGGGGGAAGGTTGGGACAGAAAGAAGCAGGCACAAGGCAGTTATGATAAACCAGGGCAAGGCACTGAGGGAAAAGGTGGGGCTCGGGAGGTGGGGAGAAGGTGCTCCTTTGAGACAGAGCTGGGAGAATTTGCTGAGGATTGATGTGGAGAGGACCCCAGGCCCAAGGATATTGCTATCATCCACCAGGATGGAGACGACAAGAGACAGGTTTAAGCCCACGTAGAACTGGAAGAAACCTTCTTTCCTTTTTTCCTTCCTCCTTTTCTCCCTCCTTCCCTCCTTCCCTCCCTCCTTCCCTTCCTTCCCTATTTCCCCCCCTCCCTTCCTTCCTATCTTTCTTTTTTCCGGGATGAGAAAAGCGCCTGCTTGTTTGTGTCCTGACGGGGTGATCCAGGAGAGGGGAAATCCCGTGATGCCCGAGAGGAAGAGGAGAGAATTGCTGGAGGCCTGTCCTTGAGATGGCAGGAAGGGATGGGTTTAGTGCCCCAGAGGATTTGGCCTTGGTTGGTTCATGAACAGTTGGCACAAACAATTCCTCTGCAGTAACAGGAGGGAAGGCCAAGTGTGGGTCTAGACACGGGGAGGTGGGTAGACGCAGACATCCTTTGTTAATTGGTTTTTCTCAGTGAAAAAGAAGGTTAGGTCATCAGATGAGAGTGAGGCTGGGAGAAGGGTTGAAAGTTTGGGGAGAGGGGAATAGGAGTGACATAGTCTCCTAGGATAGGGGGACACTGAAGTGACCAGGTGAACACAAGATTTCCAGGCAGCTTGGAGGGTCCTCCTGAGGTCAGTGGTCCTAAATTCAAGTGCGGCCAGTAGACCAGGTAGGAGTTTTTCTCCAGTATAATCAGGTGCAAGGGTGCAGTGAGGGGCTGGTAGAGTTGGGTTTAATTGGGTTTGGGGGCTTTCCAGGTTAACGTGACTGTGGGAGAATGGACAAAAGTGCTGAATGCATATGGAGGGGAAGGATTAAAATGGTGGGCTCTGGAATCCAAGCTGGTGTGGAGGGAATCAAGGATGAAGAGGAAAGGAGGGACCATTGCAAATCTAGCATCAGGGAGGTGTAGGTCCCAGGGAGATCAAATTATTGTTGGGGTGGAGGTGCATGGCCAGAAAACTGGAGGTGGGTTCAGGGAGTGGGATGCTTGACAGAGATTATGAAGGGTCACAGTTATGATCATGACACTGTCTATGATGTGATGGAAAGTGGCTCCTGGTATCCTGTGGGCAGCAGTAACCTGGAAGAGAGGAGGAAGCCACTGAAGGGCCAGGTATTGGAGGGACCATCAATGTGGATATGCACACCGATGCATTATAGCAGAAGCAGTGCTGGGGAGACAGACAGGGACCAGGTGCTAAGGTCTTTAGGGAATGAGGCCGGTGGCCTCAGAGGAGACCTCTAAGGCTCAAGGTTGGTGCCACAGTCTACAGCATAGGCCACACAGCTTTTTCTTTAGGCAGGGATTATGGGGGACATGATGAGGGCAGGAGAAAAAGTATAAACATTTGAAAATGATGGCAAGGAACAAACAGGACTATCTCCTACTTCTAAGCCCAGGGATAGAATGGGTGTGAGCAAAAGACACCGACCCCTCAGCAGACAGAAGCACAAGTGGCCTCTCAGGGCAGCACCAGATCCATTCAGGCAAGCGACTGAAGGCATTGCTCACAGCAGATATTTGTGAGCTGCAGAAAATGACAAATACATAGTTTATTAATATTTTCAACTGGATTCCTATGACATTTATTTTAAATAACATGTTTGCTAAGACATATGAACTTTTAAGACTCATTTATTTCTTACCTGTCCATCATTGTTCTTTCAGAATTCAGACATTTCAACTCTGGAACTGTTATTATCTGGCAAATTGCAATGCATTATAATTGTTATGCTCTTATGCAGACCAGGCAGCTTTGCTCAAACAATAGCTGGATAGTGACATTCCACGTTTCTATTTAGTTTGTTTCAGCAGTTGTAAAACACAGGCAGCACTGCTGCCCCCAGGTGGTGTGCAGGAAAACTGCGTCTTCATCTTCTAAGAAACACCTACCTGAGCGCCTTGTTGGTATAGGCTGTCTGGCCTCATCTTTTGAACTTGATACAACTCAGTGGAATGACTGTAAAGGCTACTAAATGTAGTGTTTTACTGTAGCTGATACACACAGGTAATTATTTATTAATTGACAACTCTAAGAAAATGAATACTCCTCTTCACACCCAGTGCCCCAATACACAACCATTGATGTGTGTATGAAGATAAACATGCATACATTTCCAATTCCTATGGTGTTTGAAGAAGAGATGGATTAGTGTGAATATTTAAGAATTTTCAATCTTCAGAACTTAAAATGAGCATGCAAATAACCGTTAAGCATGTGAAATTAAATAAAAACTTAAAAGAATTCAAATTTAAGCTGTTGGAACTTTAAATTATCCCGAGTCTTGAAAGGAATGACTATGCAGCCTGCATCAAGCATCATGCAGCTGCAACTTCTGCCTTTCATGTCACCATACATAATTAAGACCAAATGGTGCCAGAGATAAGCCCCCCTCAGATCACTACCCCTTCTCATGGAGTAATAATTTTTTTTTTTTTTGAGACGGAGTCTCCTCGCTCTGTCACCAGACTGGAGTGCAGTGGTGTGATCTCAGCTCACTGCAACCTCCACCTTCTGGGTTCAAGTGATTCTCCTGCCTCGGCCTCCTGAGTAGCTGGGACTACAGGCACGCGCCATCACGCCCAGCTAATTTTTGTATTTTTAGCAGAGATGGGGTTTCACCATTTTGGCCAGGATGGTCTCGATCTCTTGACCTCGTCATTTGCCTGCCTTGACCTCCCAAAGTGCTGGGATTACAGGCATGAGGCACTGTGCCTGGCCGAGTAATTTTTTTTTTTTTTTAGAATGTAACAATCTGTAATCAATCAGATTGCTGTAGTGTATGGAAAATGTTGCAATCCTGCTAAAATTTCCATATAGATGAACCCTTAACCTCTCCACTTTGGAACACTGACTCCATTGGTTCAGTGTTTCGGGGTGGCCATCCTTGAGCTTTGTACTCAAATAAACTCTATACTTAATCATATTTTCTGAATCTCATTATTTAAGGTTGACAAGCATTATTAACCAATACAGAAGACCTGTGGTTTTCAAAGTGTGTCCCTTGACTGACAGCATCAGCATCATCTAGGAGCTTGTCATAAATGTGAATTTCCAAGCCCCACCCTGACCTATTGGATCAGCTACTCTAGGGTGGGGCCAGAAATCTAAGCATTAATGAGAGATAGTCTGCTGTTCCTGGAAGACTGAATCTGAATCTGTATATGGTTTCTAGAGAGCTATTTAACTCTTGGCATCATTGTAGTTCATCTCATTTGCCACCAACTTCACACAAATGCTGTGAGCCTCACATAAGATGATCTATATGAAGCCAGTTTGGAGACTGCACAGTAGCAATGAAACAAAAAGAATTATAATAACTACTATCATTTTTGCACTGATTTTTTTTTTTGAGAGGGAGTCTTGTTCTGTCACCCAGGCTGAAGTGCAATAGTGCGATCTTGGCTCACTGAAACCTCTGCCTCCTGGGTTCAAGTGATTCTCCTATCTCAGCCTCCTGAGTAGCTGGAATTATAGGCGTTCGCCACCACTCTTGGCTAATTTTTGTATTTTTAGTAGAGACGGGATTTCGCCATGTTGGCCAGGCTGGTTTTCGAATTCCTGACCTCAGGTGATCCACCCACCTTGGCCTCCCAAAGTGCTGAGATTACAGGCATGAGCCACCACGCTCGGCGGCACTGACTTTTTAACGGGTAATTTTGAAAATGTTTGCACCAATTCATTTTCTAAAACAGGGAGCCACCATCAGTAAAGGTTATCAGTTAGGATCTCTTAAATTTTAATTCCTTGATTACTTGACCTCAGGTCTCTTTGGTCTATTATACTCTTACTTTCCCTTCAGGAAAAGAAAATCCGTTTGGAACTACAAATACACATGAACTAGACCCATTTTTTATTTCCTAGCAGTTGTTTAGCCCCAGCAGAAAAAAAAAATAGGTAGATACACAGTTTTCAGCAAGAAATATTACTTTAATTCAATGCACCCAATTTGATCATGTCTTTCCTACATGATGGGTGCCACAATAGGGTCTGGATATAGAAAGCTGAATAAAATATGATAGCTTCCCTCAAAAAGTTTATCAACTGGGGGTGGGGGGGGCATAGACATTTAACAACAGTAGTATCTTAGCTGGAAAGAAAGTTAGAAGAAAAACTTTAGACACATTAAATGTAACAGAGTTTAGTTGAGTAAAGAATGATTTTCCAGTGGGATAGGCCCCTGAACCAGAATAGGTTCAGAGCACCTCCAGGGCTGCCGCATGGTGAGATAACATTCATGGTTAGAAAAGAGAAGGTGAGGCACAGAAATAGCTGGATTGGTTACAGCTGGTGCTTGCATTATTTGAACGTGGCTTGAACAGTTGGACATCTGTGCATGGTTGAGCTAATCTGCTGAGAAGAGTCAGTAACAGTCTGTTTACAGATACAGTTAGGTTATGGTTCACTGTGTATGGAGAAACCTTTAGGCCAAACTTAAAATATGTATAGAGACAGTTTTAGGCTGGGCTTAATTGGGAAAATGTGAGCCTTTTATGGCACTTGTCTTTTTTTTTTTTTGAGATGGAGTCTGGCTCTGATGCCCAGGCTAGAGTGCAGTGGCATGATCTCGGCTCACTGTAACCTCTGCGTCCCGGGTTCAAGTGATTCTCTTGCCTCAGCCTCCCAAGTAGCTGGGACTACAGGCACATGCCACCACGCCCGGCGAATTTTTGTATTTTTAGTAGAGTTGTGATTTCACCATGTTGGCCAGACTGGTATCGAACTCCTGACCTCAGTGATCCGCCCACCTCGGCCTCCCAAAATGCTGGGATAACAGGTGTGAGCCACCGCGACTGGACAGCACTTAATTAATTCTATTAGTGTCTCACACTGCTCTCTCCTCTCTTCTGTGCTCTCATCTAGAGAGGATTCTAGAAGGATGGCAGGGGCAGCCTGGTAGGGTTTGAATTTCCAGAATCTGCCCATAAAAGCAAACAAGGCACTTAGGATAGCATAACCAAAGACACTCAGACAACATCTCCCAGAGAGCCAAGTGGGTGGTAAGGAACCCCACACGCCCCGAATGCAAGCACGCAGGATGGGACCACCTGCAGCCCCAGGACCAATGTGGCATGAGCGCTTGTGTGGAGGAAGCAGAGGGAAGGGAAGGGGAGGGGAGGGGAAGGGAGGGGAGCCAACTGCCCTGGGAGGCGGCTCCCCATCCTCCATCTGCCACTGTGGGAGGTGGGTCGGGCCAAACAGGCACTGCGGGGGCGTCTGCAGCATTCCTGTTCCAGAGGCTCTGATGTAATCAGCCTGATGGTGTGGGAGAAACCTGACCTATACAGTCTCCTGACCAAGGAATTCAACTCCCTTCTAAAACAGATCCACAGGGAGGCAAACACTGGAAGGAGAATCCAATTACAGTCAGACAGGAACGGTAAGAACAGAGAGGAGAAGGTCCAGATAAAAGCAGAAGATCACAGCTGATAATAATGTGTTGTGTATTTCAAAATTGTTAAAAGAATAGATTTTTAACGTCCTCATCACAACAAAGTATGTTGGTGAGGTAACAGGTATGTTAATTGGCTTGACTGAATCTTTCTACAATGTAGACATAGATGAAAACATCACATTGTACCCCATCAATATACACAATTATTATTTGTCAATTAAGAACGAAAGGAGAAGAGGCAGATTGGAGAGAGAACAGGCCATTTTTGACCACTCTCCAAAAACAACAGAAGACAGACAAGCTATGCTGACTCGCAGCTCCTGCCAATATGTTCAGGGAAACTCTTGTTGCTAAAATATTCATATCATAATCATAAAAATAAACAAGAGACATGGAAAGTTATCATAAGAAAATAGACCATACGCGCAAAAGAAGTCCCTTGAGATGATGAAAATATGACAAAAGGGCCACAAAACGGAGCGAAACTAAGTTTTTTTTTTTTTTTTTTTTTTTTTTTTGAGACAGAGTCTCGCACTGTCGCCTGGGCTGGAGTCCAGTGGCGTGATCTTGCCTCATTGCAACCTCTGCCTCCTGGGTTCAAACGATACCCCTGCCTCAGCCTCCTGAAGAGCTGGGATTACAGGTGCCCGCCACTATGCCCAGATAATTTTTTTGTGTTTTTAGTAGAGATAGGGTTTCACCATGTTGGCCAAGCTGACCTCATGATTCACCTGCCTCGGCCTCCGCAAGTGCTAGGATTACAGGCGTGAGCCTCCGCGCCCGGCCTAAGGTTGTGTTTTTTAAAAGAGAGTCCTGTCTTCTGGAGCCGCACACGCCTGCGTTTAGAGATGAAAGTGTGTCCGGAGCTGGTTCCTGCTGGTGGGTTGGTGGTCTGGCAGACTTCAAGAATGAAGCCGTGGACCTTCGAGTGTTACAGCTCTTAAAGATGGCATGGACCCAAAGAGTCAGTGGTAGCAAGGTTTATTGTGAAGAGCGAAAGGACAAAGCTTCCACAGCATGGAAGGGGACCCTAGCACGTTGCCACTGCTGGCTGGGGTGGCCAGCTTTTATCCCCTTATTGTCCCCTCCCATGTTCCATTTCCCTTCTATCAGAGTGCCCTTTTTTCAATCCTCCCTAGGATTGGCTACTTTTAGAATCCTGCTGATTCGTGCATTTTACAGAGCGCTGATTGGTGCATTTTACTCAGCACTTACTGGTGCGTTTTACAATCCTCTTGTAAGACAGTAAAGTTCCCCAAGTCCCCACTGGACCCAGGAAGTCCAGCTGGCCTCACCTCTCAAAAGCTCTGATGTCTGGGAGTTATTTCCAATCTGGGGAAGAAAAAGTGGATTGAAGTGTAAGAGAAAAAGATTGGTTCATTCACGGATGATGGGTGAAGCCTGATGATGGGCATGTGGTGTTTGCAGCATGATTGGCAAGGTTTAGTCCATGACCTCCTCCTCTTCCTAGGGTGTCCCTCACTCAGTTTCCTTTGTGGGCACCTGTGAACGATGGGCTGTGTCTTCAGCCCTCTCTCCTCTCCTCTTTCTACAGAGGGAGGTTCTACATTTTCCACGTAGACATTTCTCCTGAGCCCCCGCGTGTCATGGATGTCATGGACTCAAAAGCCCCTGGGGCATGTGTAGCTCAGGGTGGCAAGGGCTGAACACATTGACTTGTCCTTAACCGGCTCCTTCTCCTCTCTCCATTTCTACGAAGCACCTCACCATGCACCTCTTACCCAAGTCAGAAACCTGAGCCTTATCCTGGATTTGGCTCTTTCTGAATCTACGAATCTGATTGTCCCTCCAGCCTGCCTGATATGCCTCACAGGTCCCATGTCTCTCTCCCACCTTCGTGCCACTTATCCTCTGGACATACAATGGGCATACACCAAGCATCTTGCTTCACTCCACATCGTAGTTACGGTGACTTTCTCAGGTAAAAAGCTGGCCACTCTCGCACATATTCTGTGGCCGCTCAGCGCCAGGAGCATATCAACCAGGCTCGTCCCAGGGCACACGGGATTGACTTTCCCAATCTCCTGCCCACCTGCTTGGCCTCATCTTTACTACTCCTGCCCTCCTCTTTACCCCCCAGCAGAATGGAAGTCTGATTTGAAGATCGCGATTTCATTCCTATGTCACTTTGCACGTGCATTTCCCTTTCTGAAACAACTTCCCTGTTTGACAGCAAAAGCCAAGACTTTTTCTCTTTGTTTTCTCAGCATCCAGCAGAGTGTTTAATGCATATATGATGCTTTGCTAAATATTTTGAAAAGATAGATAGGAACGCTTCAGAAAACATCATGTTTATTTAGACATATGTCTTTGTTGTCTTGCCTCGCCAATCAGCTACCAACTACAGACGGTTACAGTGGTTCAATTTAGGCTTTTTTGACTTTATGATGGTGCAAAAGCAATATGCATTTAGTAAAAATAGTACTTCAAATTTGTAATTTCCATCTTTTCTGGGGCTAGGGATATGTGGAACAATACTCAGAATGGTGGGCAGGGCAATGAGCCAGATGTCCCAGTCAGCTATATGATCATGAGGGCAAATAGCTGATAATGTACAGGGTGCTATGATTTCAGATGATGTTACCTCACTGTAGGCTAATGTACGTGTTCTGAGCATGTTTAAGGTGGGCTAGGCTAAGCTATGATATTCTATAGGTTAGGTGTGTTAAATGCATTTTTGACTTGGATAGTTTCAACTTAACCATGGGTTTATCGGGATGTAACCCCATTGTGTAAGTTGGGTTGCATCTGTACTTTGAAAGTAACATTCTTCATCATGCACATAAAAACTCACTCCACTTCCAGTTCCTTTAATTCCTTAGATGACTGTGTCATTTGGAAATGAGGACAAAGTAGTAGTCATCTATGAGACCCATTGTTGGAAGCTTTCTAATTTTCTTATGAGAGTATCCATCACTTGAAAAGCTGAAATAGTATAGCATTTTTTATGGGCAATGTATGAGAAACTGCTATAATTGGCTCTAGATTTATAGCAAATAAGACAATAAATACAGCAAACTGGATTGGTTTTTAAGGCAGCAGCCATTGTGAAACAAAAAAATGAGATTGATATTTTCAATCTCAAAATGACTATGTTGTAAACTGTTTAGAGATCATCTATTATCAGACTAAAAGTCAAACAATCTGGAATTTCTCTTAGATTTTCAAAGATGATTGGGAGATGGACTCAGATGGCACCATGTGGCAAGAATTCATAAGATTACACACGCTGTTTGTAAATTGACCTTTAAATATTAGGCTTGACGGAGAGACAAGTGTATGGGCAGATTTGAATTCAGATAAAGAAAGAATGTGAAAGTATCTGTGTAAACTGTAAACTAAGTTATCGATACAGTGTAGGTTTTTTTCTGCACATAAACACGATGTACATGATTTCAAGCTAGCTCAAATTTATGAAAACTCCCAGACAGCATGAGAAATAAGAAGGAAGCAAGAGAGCAACACTTCCCCTTGCTTGCTGCCCTGTGGGTCATTGCTCGCTAACGTCCAAGGTCAAAGCCCTTGGCCGAGGGGCACTGCTGGCAGCCTCTGGGCTGGCTGACAGAAAAATACACTACCACTTTTCATCTTGGTGAGTGGTCTGGCGACCTAGGGTCAAAACCGCAGCTAAAGAGATCTGCTGACAAAAAGGCAGAGTGGAAATTATCTAGATGAATCCAACCAGCTGTTAGAAAAACAGAACAACCCTGCTCTGAAGGTGACAGCAGAGGCCAGCCAGGCGTCTGTCTTTTTCCTCGGACTGGGGCCAGCTTTAAATGCAGCCAAATCAATCCATTGTACAACGGTGAACCAGCCAGTCCATGGTGCCTCTGGTTATCTCTAGGATCATCTCGTATGTTGGTAGCTGGGGAGATTGTGGCACCCCATAATAACCAGGCAGCCTGCTCTCTTACACAGGTGCATAGTGGATGCTGCTGCTCAGAGGCTTTCGGGAGTGGCCCTTCCAGAACCCTCTGAAGGTCTATACTCCAGGCATCTGAGGTTCCCCACCAAGGGTTTTGTTTGCTCTGTTTCATGCTTGTAACATGCCAGAAGTGCAGGGCAGTTGACACCACCAGGAGCAGCCACTAAAGCAGGTAACAAGAGCCGGTGTGCCCAGCATCCTTGCCTTCAGGAGAGGCAGCCCTGGGGTGTGTCCACACTGTCCAGGAGACCCAGCCGGTTGGGGCCCCAGCTGCCTACAGAGGAAACCACTCA